>NC_000019.10:42089358-42392389 GCF_000001405.40 Homo sapiens | reverse complement strand
GAAACTTGAGGACAACTCAGAGTGTCATGCTGGGAGCCCTGGGGTCCTCGGAGATGACTGACCTTGAGTCACCTGCACCCTTAGTCTGGACAGCAGGGGGGATGGGGCCCTGTAGCTGCCTCCACAGGGCAGGTCTGGAGATGAACAGAGATGGGAAGCGAGATTCAGAAGAGATTTTGACATAGGAGACAGAGACCCCGGGATAAGGGCACAGAGACACAGAGCCTGGAAGGAGAGGGACCCAGAGATGGAGAGACAGAGATTTGGAAAGAGATTTGCAGAGATGAGGAAAGAAAGACAGATTCACAGCTGGAAAGGTGAAGATGCAGGGTGAGAGACGAAGATTCAGAGATGAGGAGACAGGGATGTTAGGACACAAGTGAGGAGATGTCCCCCAGACATCCAGGCTCTAGGACCAATGACGGACGTGCACCGGCAAGACAGTGAGCGCTGCCGGGAGTTCTGGGGACAGGAAGACCCAACCATCTGGGTGGTGCTGGGAGACCAAGGCTTGGGTCCTAATGTGTTGGAGGGAGGGAGGGAGGGAGGGGACACCTGGGATCCCAGCTAGCAGGGTGATCCACCTGCCATCACCCCATACCCGGCGGGGTGATGACACCACCTTCTCTGCAGGTGACACCCCAGTTTTCTAGTGCCTCCTACATTTTTGGGGTGACACCCGTGCTGAGAACCCCACCCAGCTCTAATGCTGCTTCCCTCACTGAGTCACCTCCCAACCCCGTCAGGCCTGTTGGGGGGAAACTTTGGCGATTCAGGCACCCAGACCCCCAGCTCCTTCCCTGCTCAGGAGCCCAGCAGTGTGGAATCCCAGGACCCCTACCCTACTGAGGGATGTGCAGCCTGGCCTCATGAGACGCAGGAGTCCAGGGCCCCAGCCCCTCCTCCCTCAGACCCAGGGGTCCAAGCCCCCACTCCTTTGCTCCATTAGGACCCAGGAGTCCCAGGTGACGTCCACGTCCTTCAGGAACTGCGGCTTTTCAGTTCCCAGCCTCCTCCCTTCCCAATTTGGAGCTGGGGTGAGGTGTGTTTATTTACTTTGGTTCCAACATGAGTCATTCCCCAAAACACACTGCCCCCCATGTGTCTCCTGGCTTGAATGGGGAGGACACTGTCCCCCTCTCCCAGGAAAGTGGGGATATCACTGAGAGAGATGAGCGAGACCCTGAAAGGGGAGTCCCACACAGCACTCTCTCCCACTCCACCCGGCCTTTTTCTCTCCCCACCCATCACCTCTCCCCATTTCCCTGCCCTCTAAGCCTGTTCAGTGATCCCCCCACCTGCCTCTCCACTTTTCCATCTCCGTCTCTCTTCTGTCTCCCATCTCCCCTTTTCTTTCCTTTTTTTTTTTTAAGACAGGGTCTTGCTCTGTCACTGAGGCCGGAGTGTAGTGGCGGGAACACGGCTCACTGCAGCCTCAAACTTCTGGACTCAAGCGATCCTCCTGCCTCAGCCTCTCAAGTAGCTGGGACTACAGGCACATGCCACCATGCCCGGCTAATTCTATTTGTATTTTTTGTAGAGATGGGGTATCCCTATGTTGCCCAGGCTGGTCTTCAACTCCTGGGCTCAAGCGATCCTCTCACCTCAGGCGATTACAGGGTTGGGATTACAGGCGAGAGCCACCATGCCTGGCCCATCTCCCCTCTTCTTGTTATTTCTTTTCACATTTTTGTGCCCCTCTGTTTCTTGGCACCTCTCCATCTCTCTACATCTTCCTGCGTCTCTCCATCTCTCTGAATCTCCTCTCTCTCCTTTCTGTCTAGAGGGACTTCCCTGCCTGCCTTTCTGACACTGTGTTTCTGTCTCTCCCTCTCTTTTGGTCTCTGCGCATTGACCCGGCTGTGGCCCCCCGCCCCCGCCAAACCTCCCACCCCCCGCCACCTTCTTTTCCCTGGGTCCTGGGAGCTGAGGCAGGAGGAGAAGTGGGGGGATGGGAGTGGAGAGGGAGGGCGGGAAATCCCAGTGTGGGGAGAGGGTCGATCAGACCGGCTTGGCTCCCTGGGCACCTCTGTCAGAGCCCCGCCCAGGGCTGCGTGGCCGCCCATATAAGTGGCTCTGGGCTGAGACGGAGAAGTCAGTGCCCGTGTCTCCACACGTCTGCCTCCATCACTGCCATCGCGATCCTGCAGGTAGGAACATCCCCTCCGCAGCCCTCTTCTTTGAGGTTGGGCGCCTCTGCTCTGTTCTCCCTCCTCCTCATCCCACTCATATCACTCTGTCTCCTTTCATATCGCTGATTGTCGGTCTCTCGGGACATCTCTGTCCTTCCCAATGCCCCCAAATCTGTCCTTCTTAACTGGGGTGTGCTGAGCTGAATTTAGAAGTCTTGGGGCCCAGCATCACCTCTATGAACCCCCTTGGCCTGGGCCGTCAGACGTGGGGCGTTCCTCCTCATGTCTCTGAGCCTCAGTGCTCATCTGTGAGATGGGCTTGCAGAGGAGTCAAAGTGCTGGGCACATGTGGGCATTACTGGTGACATCTCTACGGGCACCTGGCTCTGATCTTTCTCCCCTTGTCTCTGACTCTGTCCATCTCCATTTCTTGTTCTCCCTCAAGCTCTATCTCGGGTATGGGGAGGGTCCTCTGCAATCTGTCGGGCAGTTGGAAAGACATGGGCGAGTTTCTCGCCCCCGCCCTATCCATTCCCTATTCCATGTCTCTCCTGGTTGACAGGCTGACTTGGCCTCTTTCTCCCCAGCTCCCCTCCCCCTGAGAGCCCAGCCCCCAGTGCCCCAGTCCCTTGCCCCCACCTCCCCAGTATCCAGCGTCCCTTGGACAGACTCTGCCACTGTTGCCACAGCCACTTCTGCCGTCCCCAACGCCACCTCCTCAGGGCCAGCAAGATGCAGTTTGAGATGCACGACAACGTGAAAGGCAAAGGTGGGACCGCTGGGTGGACCAGCAACCCTCTCAGTACTGGAACCTGGCCGCCTCCCTCCCCTGGGCACCCTTGCTTCGAAGACAGACGGCGCCTGCTTCCACCCCAGAGGCCCCAGAAATGCTGCAACCCAGAACCCAGGCCCAGACGTGGAGGAGGAGGCGGCACCGCCAGGCCCCACCCAGATGTGGTCCCCACCCTTCCTCAGATGTGCAGGAGACCCCCACCCCCAGCCTAACCAGACGTGCAGGAGCCAGCAGCAACAGGGACAGACTGGGGTTGCCGGTGCCCAGATGTAGCAGAAGGGAAGGGGGAGGCACAGTGGTGTCCCTTCAGTGGGCGGCCTGGCGGCCCCGCCCAGACTGCCCGGCACAGGGAAGGGTGGCCGAAGTGCGGGGCCCAGGAGATGCTGCGAGGCTGCCAGCTGACCCCTACCCTCCCACCTCTGCAGCTATGTCCTACCCTGTGACCAGTCAGCCCCAGTGCGCCACCACCAGCTGCTACCAGACCCAGCTCAGTGACTGGCACACAGGTCTCACGGACTGCTGCAACGACATGCCTGTCTGTGAGTGCCTGCCTGCTCCCTCTCCAGGCCTGGTGGAAGATGGGTTTGGGGGGAATCAGGAGAGGGAAGCTCACCTCCAACCTCCTCCCACCGCTTGCTAACCCCACTCCCACCTCCCTTCCCTGGACTTGGAATTCCCACTCTAACAGTCACCCTTTCCTCAGACCCCCAACACTCCTTAGGATACTACCTCATGCCTTCCCACACTCAACTTATCAGGCCCTCAACCTCCCCTTTGCATGCTCAGCTTTCCTCACTGTGACCCCCAACTCCCTCTTCAAACCCTAGCTCCTGGCCCAGTGCAGTGGCTCATGCCTGTAATCCCAACACTTTGGGAGGCCAAGGCATGACAATCCCTTGAGGCCAGGAATTCAAGATCAGCCTGGGCAACATAATGAGATCCCCATCTCTACAAAAATAAAAATAAAAAATAGGTCGGGCGCAGTGGCTCACGCCTGTAATCCCAGGACTTTGGGAGGCCATGGCAGGTGGACCACAAGGTCAGGAGTTCAAGACCAGTCTGGCCAAGATGGTGAAACCCCGTCTCTACTAAAAATACAAAAAAAAAAACCGGGCGTGGTGGCGGGCGCCTGTAAACTCAGCTACTCGGGAGGCTGAGAAAGAGAATTGATTGAACCCGGGAGACAGAGGTTGCAGTGAGCCGAGATCACGCCACTGCACTCCAGTCTGGGCAACAGAGCGAGATTCCGTCTCAAAAATAAAAATAAAAAATAAAATTAGCCCGAGGTGGTGGCACACACCAGTAGTCCCAGCTACTCGGGAGGCCGAGGCGGGAGGATTGCTTGAGCCCAGGAGGTCGAGGCTACAGTGAGACATGTGATCACACCACTGCACTCCAGCCTGGATGACAGACCGAGACTTTAATTTCTTTTTCTTTTTTTTTCTTTCTTTCGTTTTTTTTTTTGTTTTGTTTTTTGTTTTTTTTGAGACGGAGTATTGCTCTGTCGCCCAGGCTGGAATGCAATGGCACAGTCTATGCTCACTGCAACCTCCGCTTCCCGGGTTCAAGCGATTCTCCTGCCTCAGCCTCCCTAGTAGCTGAGATTACAGGCACACACCACCACGCCCGGCTAATTTTTGTATTTTTAGTAGAGACGGGGTTTCACTATGTTGGGTAGGCTGGTCTCAAACCCCTGACCTCGTGATCCTCCCGCCTAGGCCTCCCAAAGTGCTGGGATTACAGGCGTAAGCCACTGCACCCAGCCTCCAATTTCTAAAAAAAAAAAAAAAGAAGAAAAAAAAAAAAAGAAAAACCCTGCCTTCCAATCGCTAAGCCATCCTCTCCTCGGACCTCTAATTCCCTCTGGGACCTCTCCTTGGCTGGGACCCTCAATGCCCCTCCGCGGCGAATCAACCGCGCCCCCCCCGGGGCGGAGCCGTCGGGAGGCCCCGGCTGGCCCCGCCCCTGAGCGCCTGCGCCCCGCCCAGGTCTGTGCGGCACTTTTGCTCCTCTGTGCCTTGCCTGCCGCATCTCCGACGACTTTGGCGAGTGCTGCTGCGCGCCCTACCTGCCCGGAGGCCTGCACTCCATCCGCACCGGCATGCGGGAGCGCTACCACATCCAGGTGCGCGCCGGGCTGGGGACCCGCGGGAGCAGGGAGCTGGGGACTGGCCTCCTGGGACCCACCGCGGGGCTCCTGACCGCTCTCTCCTACCCTCTAGGGCTCCGTCGGGCACGACTGGGCGGCCCTCACCTTTTGTCTGCCCTGCGCCCTCTGCCAGATGGCGCGGGAACTGAAGATCCGAGAGTAAGGAAGTTCCCTGTCTTCCCCGTCCTTTTCCACCAGTCTCGCCTCTGGCCTTCTCTGGCCACTCCTGGGAGGGACTGCCTCACCACCCCTGTCCCGCTGCCAGAAATACACCCACAATAAAAACCTGAAAACCAACTCCGCCTACATCCATTTTGTCCCAGGGTAGGAATCTGGGTGGAGAGAGAGGATTGGTGAGAGAGGTGGGGACAAGACAGATGCCTACGTGTGACCCCGCCAGGCAGTGTGTGACTTTGTCAAGTTATCCCTCCCAAACCCCAGTTGCCCTCACCCTAACAAAGTAAAACCACTAACTCTTTAGCTGCAGACTCCCTGCCTGAAGCTGCCTGCATTCTGAAAATAAGCAAAACCAGAAAGTCAGTCTTGGGAGGACGGAGGCACTGAAGTTCAAAGAAAAAACAGGAGAGCGCCCTTGCTTGCTCCATATCTATGGACTGTTGGCCTGCACACAATTCGAACAGGCGTGGGGGACTTTTGTCTCCAAAGCAGAGAACTTATAAGCTTAAGGCTCTCTGGAGCTAAAAACGAATTTTTTTTCTTTTTTTTTTGAGACGGAGTCTCACTCTGTTGCCCAGGCTGGAGTGCAGTGGCGCGATCTTGGCTCACTGTAAGCTCCGGGTTCACGCCATTCTCCTGCCTCAGCCTCCCGAGTAGCTGGGACTAAAGGTGCCCGCCACCACGCCCAACTAATTTTTTTTTTTTTTTTTTAGCAGAGACAGGGTTTCACCGTGTTAGCCAGGATGGTCTCAATCTCATGACCTCATGATCCGCCTGCCTTGGCCTCCCAAAATGCTGGGATTACAGGAGTGAGCCACCGCACCCGGACCTTTTTTTTTTTTTTTTTTTTGAGACGTAGTTTCGCTCTTGTTGCCCAGGCTGGAGTGCAATGTTGTGATCTCAGCTCACTGCAACCTCCACCTCCCGGGTTCAAGCGATTCTCCTGCCTCAGCCTCCCGAGTAGTTGGGATTACAGGCATGCGCCACCATCCCCAGCTAATTTTGCATTTTTAGTAGAGACGGGGTTTCTCCATGTTGGTCAGGCTGATCTCGAACTCCCGACCTCAGGTGATCCTCCCGCCTTGGCCTCCCAAAGTGCTGGGATTACAGGCATGAGCCACCGCGCCTGGCCTAAAAAGGAATTTTTAGGGACTGTCTACTTCAATCAACCCTCTTTCCTGCAAAAGCAACCAACAGCAGATCAAAAAATGTTCAGGTCTCAAAATTGGACAGACCTGGGATCTAATCTTGACTCCTCACCATTTAGCTGTGTTATCTTAGTGAATTCATAAACCTTTCTGAACCTGATTCCCCCTATAGGACTAACAGTCCCTAGCATGTCATATGGCTATTGTGAGAACAAGAGATGGTACACAGGGAAAGGCCAAAGTGTGAACTCAAATCACTGTGGGCTGGATGTGTTGGCTCCTGCCTCTAATCTCAATGCTTTCGGAGGGCTGAGGCAGGAGGATCACTTCAGGACAGGATTTGGAGACTAGCATGGGCGACACAGCGAGACATCTCTACGAAAAAAAAAATTTTTTTTTTTTTTTTGAGATGGAGTCTCGCTCTGTCGCCCAGGCTGGAGTGCAGTGGCGCAATCTTGGCTCACTGCAAGCTCTGCCTCCCAGGTTCACGCCATTCTCCTGTCTCAGCCTCCCGAGTAGCTGGGACTACAGGCACCCGCCACCATGCCCGGCTAATTTTTTGTATTTTTTAGTAGAGACAGGGTTTCACCGTGTTAGCCAGGATGGTCTCAATCTCCTGACCTCGTGATCCACCCACCTTGGCCTCCCAAAGTGCTGGGATTACAGGCATGAGTCACTGCGCCCGGCCTCTACAAAAAATTTTTGAGCCAGGAGCAGTCACGCCTATAATCCCAGCACTTTGGGAGGCTGAGGCAGGAGGATCGCTTGAGCCCAGGAATTTGAGACCAGCCTGGGCAACATGGCAAAACTGTGTCTACAAAAAATACACAAAAATTAACCAGGCATGAGGCGGGGCGTGGTGGCTCATGCCTGTAATCCCAGCACTTTGGGAGGCGGAGGCAGGTGGATCACCTGAGGTCAGGAGTGCAAGACCAGCCTGGCCAACATGGTGAAACCCCTTCTCTACTAAAAATACAAAAATTAATCAGGCATGGTGGTGGGTGCCTGTAATCCCCGCACTTGGGAGGCTGAGGCAGGAGAATCACTTGAACCCGGGAGGCAGAGGTTGCAGTGAGCCGAGATTGCACCACTACACTCCAGCCTGGATGACAGAGCAAGACTCCTTCTCAAAAAAAAGAAAAAAATTAGCTGGGCATGGTGACGTGAACCTGAAGTCCCAGCTAACTGAGAGGCTAAGGTAGGATGATCACTTGAGCCCAGAAGGTGAAGCCTGCAATGAGCTCACAAGATGAGACCCTGTCTAAGAAAAAGAAAAAGAAAAACATTCTTAAAAATTAGCTGGGCAAGGGCACGGTGGCTCACGCCTGTAATCCCAGCACTTTGGGAGGCTGAGGTGGGCGGATCACGAGGTCAGGAGATCAAGACCATCCTGGCTAACACAGTGAAACCCCGTCTCTAATAAAAATACAAAAAATTAGCTGGGCATGGTGGCGGGCACCTGTAGTCCCAGCTACTCGGGAGGCTGAGGCAGGAGAATGGCATGAACCCGGGAGGCGGAGCTTGCAGTGAGCCAAGATTGCACCACTGCACTCCAGCCTGGGTGACAGAGCGAGACTCCATCTCAAAAAAAAAAAAAAAAAAATTAGCTGTGCATGTGGCTCACACCTATAGTTCCAACTATTCTGGAGGCTATGGCAGGAGGATTGCTTGAGTCCAGAAAGTCAAGGCTGCAGTGAGCTGTGATCACGCCACTGCACTCCAGCCTAGGTGACAGAGAGAGACCCTGTCTTAAAACAAAACAAAATCATTGTTTTTTGTTTTCTTAAGACAATCTCGCTCTGTCACCCAAACTGGAATGCAGTGGCATGATCTCAGCTCACTGCAACCTCCACCTCCGGGGCTCAAGCAATTCTCGTGCCTCAGCCCTACAAGTAGCTGGGATTGCAAGCGTGTGCCACCACGCCTGGCTAATTTTTCTATTTTTAGTAGAGACAGGGTTTCGCCATGTTGGCCAGGCTGGTCTCAAACTCCTGACCTCAAACAATCTGCCTATCTTGGCCTACCAAAGTGCTGGGATTACAGGGGTGAGCCGCCACACCTGGCCAAAATCATTGTTAATATTACTATAATATGTATAATATAGTAACTATCTTTTTTTTTTTTTGAGACAGAGTCTCACTCTGTCGCCCAGGCTGGAGTGCAGTGGCATGATCTTGGCTCACTGCAAGCTCCGCCTCCCGGGTTCAAGCGATTCTCCTGCCTCAGCGTCCTGAGTAGCTGGGACTATAGGCGCCCGCCATCACGCACGGCTAATGTTTTTGTATTTTTAGTAGAGATGGGGTTTCACTGTGGTAGCCAGGATGGTCTCGATCTCCTGACCTCGTGATCCACCCGCCTTGGCCTCCCAAAGTGCTGGGATTACAGGTGTGAGCCACCACGCCCGGCCTATTCTAATATTAATATATTACTATTATTTGCTGTTATCTCTCCCTCTCTCTTTCTGGAGCTGTATCCACTCATTGAGTGACATCTTCCCTCGGGGTATCTAACAGCCACCTCAAATTTAACATATATAAAACCTAACTGCTGATGTACCCCAACCCCCAAACTGACTCTGCCTAGTCTTTGCCATGCCAGGAAAGAGCAAACTCTACCCGTTCCGTTGCTCAGTCACTTTCTCTCTCACCCAGCGTCCAATCTGTCAACAAATTCTGCTGGTTCTGCTCTCAGAATATATCCAGAATCTCACCACTTCTCTCCACTCTGCTATCCCGACCTTGTTCCAGCCACTCTCCTCTTCAACACGGACACAGGGGCTTCCTCCATGGGCTTCCCACCCTCTCCTACCCCATTAGCCTCTTCCTCCCAGGGGAATCCTGTGAACACCTACGTCAGAGCTCATTCTTCCCAAGCTCAGAATCCTCCCATGGTGCCATCTCTGACAGAGTGGAAGCTTGAGTCCTCACCGTGGTGCAGGGACCTACAGGACATAGCTCTTGTTCCCTCTGTGACCTTGTCTCCCTATCTCCCCTTATTCCTTCTTTGCTCCAACCACATGAGTCTTGTTTCTCTGAAATGTCAGGCACACTCCAACTCAGGGCCTTTGCACTGGCTGTTCCCTTGGCCTGGAATTGCTCCTCCCTCAAATGTCCCTCTGGCTCACTCCCTAATTTCTGCTCATGTATCGTCTTACAAGAGAGGCCTTCCCATCCCACCTATGTTAAATAGCAAGTCTCAGGCCGGGTGCAGTGGCTCATGCCTGTAATCCCAGCACTTTGGGAGGCCATGGTGGGTGCATCACCTGAGATCAGGAGTTCACAACCAGCCTGGCTAACATAGTGAAACCCTGTCTCTACTAAAAATACAACAATTAGCCAGGTGTGGTGACAGGCACCTGTAATACCAGCTACTTGGGAGGCTGAGGCAAGAGAATCGTTTGAACCCGGGAGGCAGAGATTGCAGGGAGCTGAGACCACGCCATTGCACTCCAGCCTGGACAACAAGAACGAAACTCCATCTCAAAAAAAAAAAAAAGCAAAATAGCAAGTGCCAAACGCCTGCTCTCTCACTGCCTTTTCTGATCACTTTCCAGCATGCAGCATCATTTACTTATTATTGGGCACCACACTGGCTTATCAGCTCCATGAGGGCAGAGACCTTATTCACTACTCTGTCCCCAGCCCCCAGCACAATGCGGGGCCCATTCTAGGCAATCAGAAGACATTGGCTTAGAAAAGGAAAGCAACTTTGGAGGTAACGTGTGGGGCAACAGAGACAGGCTTGTGTCACAATCTGGCTCGTCTCTTAATTAGCCCTGAGTTCTTAGTCAACAGAGCTTTCGAATGGGCAAAATGGAAAACCAAGCTGGCACCTCCCAGTGATGTTGGCAAGATAAGATTCACACCAAGCACCCAGCACAGTGCCTGGAGGGCTGTAGGCCCTCAGTAAAATATTCCCTCTATCCCTGAAATCCCCAGGGGGTTTGGAGCTGCACATAGCCTAGAACCAGGCATCCAGCCTTCCATGCCCAGACTCTCTCCCACCTCAGCATACGCCACTTGCACTCAGGTATGTGCAGGGAGAAGTGACGGCAGAGGGCTGACGTGGAGGGAGGAACACGTACCATAGAGCACTTGTGAGAGTCGGAGGGAGTGTGGCTATGCATCCCAGAGAAAAGGCCCAGTCGTGGTGCAAATCATCTGCTTAGGAGGGCAAAGTCACAGGATGACTGCTAGGAAGACACTTCACCTGAGAGGTCCACGCATAACACAGAGGAGTCCTAAAGAATCTTAGCTCCTTTCTGCTCATGCAGGTGGAACTCCAAGCCCTCAGGACTCCCTCTCTCAGGGCAGCAAATCTCACACTCCTTAGCTTTCTAGTTGGTATATTCTGCATTATCCCTAGCAGAAATTGGCTATTGTTTTTGTTTTTTGAGACGGAGTTTCGCTCTTGTTGCCCAGGCTGGGGTACAGTGGTGCAATCTCGGCTCACTGCAACCTCCACCTCCCGGGTTCAAGCGATTCTCCTGCCTCAGCCTCCTAAGTAGCTGGGATTATAGGCATTCGCCACCACGCCCAGCCAATTTTTGTACTTTTATTTATTTATTTTTATTTTTATTTATTTATTTTTTGAGACAGAGTCTTGCTCTGTCGCCTAGGCTGGAGTACAGTGGCATAATCTTGGCTCACTGCAAACTCTGCCTCCAGGTTCAAGCAATTCTCCTGCCTCAGCCTCCCGAGTAGCTGAGATTACAGGCGCCCACCACCATGCCCAACTAATTTTTGTATTTTTAGTAGACACAGGGTTTCACCATGTGGATCAGGCTGATCTCGAACTCCTGACCTCGTGATCCGCCTGCCTTGGCCTCTCAAAGTGCTGGGATTACAGGCATGAGTGAGGTGGACTGTTGACCCTTTTGATTTGTGGTTACAGATGCTTGGAAAAGCCTCACCCTTCCTGCTGTGAGGTACAGGTAGTCATGTGGCATCACCTCTAAACGTGTGCTGGGACAGCTTTCAGCTATGTCGACCTAATTTAAGGGGTCCTTCCTTGGGAGGTGGAAGAGCCTGGTGGTCAGGCACATAGGTCTGAGAGTCAATTGACAGCTCTCATGCAACAGCTAAACCATGTCTATGACCTTTTGTTTTCTCATCTGCAAATGGGGATTACGGGTTACTGACCTCATATGATTGCTGGAGAGACCAAATGAAACCACAGCAGTATGCTATGCAAACTGTCCAGCATGTGCTGCTCAGTTCATATAAATGCAAGTCCACGATCATATCCTGGAGGGTAGGTGCTACTAATAGCTCATAAAGGCAAAACTCACGTGAGGTCAAGGTAACCCCTGGAAATCCCTTAAATTGCCCACAAAGTATGAAGATACCATGTTAAACCTGGGCAATACAGCGAAAACCTGTCTCTACAAAAATACCAAAAAAAAATAGCCGGGCCTGGTGGCGTGCATCTGTAGTCCCAGCTACTTAGGAGGCTGAGGTGGGAGGATCACTTGACCCCAGGAGGTTGAAGCTACAGTGCGCCAAGATCACATCACTGCACTCCAGCCTGAGTGACGAAGCAAGAGCATCTCCGAAAAAAAAGAAAAAGAAAATACAGTGTTATTCCTGGCCCATAATGGAGACTCACACACCCTCTGGGTCCCACACATCGTCCTCCGCTGAGCACCTGATGAAGAAACCAGCTTGCACTTTGGAGCCGGGATGTGCAGAAAAGATACATTGTTTAACACACCCAGCAAGATGCCTATGCTGCTGAGGCTGATGGAGAGGACAGAGATCTCCAGCTCCCACCTGGGAGGAATCAGGGATTTTGTTTGCCTAGGTGCATGCCAGGTAAAGCAGCTCTCATGATGCTTTCGGTTTTGACTGTGACTCTAATGGATTAGAGAAAGCTCACTGGGCTGGGCGCGGTGGCTCACGCCTGTAATCCCAGCACTTTGGGAGGCGGGCGGATCACGAGGTCAGGAGATCAAGACTATCCTGGCTACCACGGTGAAACCCCGTCTCTACTAAAAATACAAAAAATTAGCCAGGCGAGGTGGTGGGCACCTGTAGTCCCAGCTACTCGGGAGGCTGAGGCGAGAGAATGGCGTGAACCCGGTGGGCAGAGCCTGCAGTGAGCCGAGATTGCACCACTGCACTCCAGCCTGGGCAACAGAGCGAGATTCCGTCTCAGAGAAAAAAAAAAAAAAAAAAAGAAAGCTCATTGTGCTAGGGTCTCATTTCATTCTCAGCCCTGTCTGGTTTGAACCCTTCTATTGGGGCCCAGAATAAAATCTGTGCCTGGGCTAGGCATGGTGGCTCACACCTATAATCCCAACACTTTGGGAGGCCAAGGTGGGAGGATCACTTGAGCTCCAGAATTCAAGACCAGCCTGGGCAACATGGTGAAACCTCATCTCTACCAAAATTACAAAAATTAGCTGGGTGAGGTGGTACACGTCTGTAGTTCCAGCTACTCGGGAGGCTGAAGTGGGGGGATCGCCTGAGCCCAGGAAGTTGGGGCTTCAGTGAGCAATGATTCCATCACTTCACTCCAGCCTGTGTCACAGAAAAAGAGACACCCTGTCTCAAAAAAAAAAAGAAAAAGGCCAAGTGCAGTGGCTCATGACTGTAATCCCAGCACTTTGGGAGTCAAGGTGGGCGGACCACTTGAGGTCAGGAGTTTGAAACCAGCCTGGCCAACATGGTGAAACCTTGTCTCCTCCAAAGATAGAAAAAAATTAGCCAGGCATGGTGGCGCGTGCCTGTAATCCCAGCTACTTGGGAGGCTGAGACATGCAAATCACTTGAACCCGGGATATAGAGGTTGCAGTGAGCCAAGATCACACCACTGCACACTAGCCTGGGCAACAGTGAGACTCTGTCCCCTCAAAAAGCAAAACAAAACAACAACAAAAAGCCGTAGCTGGGACCAAGGCAGCCTGTTTTCCCTCCTGAGCCAAACTGGGGTTTCCCTGAGGAAGATCTAGGGAAGGGTCAAATTCCACTGCCCACGTCTGCCCTCAGCGCGTCCCTTCTGGGAAACAAGAGCTGTTTATTGGTATTTATTATGCTTCTGTTGGGGCATACCCTTCCCCCTTCCCCCTTCCCCCTTTAAGAGGGGCAGCCAGGAACAAAGCCACCCCAGCTTGGAAGTGGCACCATCATAAGGGCAATTATCCAAGTTATCCAGCATGCGGGGCTGGGTCAGAGTTGAGACCTAGCCCTGCTGGGACATGTGCAGACGCGCTCAGACACCTGGGTTTTCCCCATACTTTTTATTTGTTAATTTCATCACCCCCCTCTTCTTCTGATGTGGTCCCCACCACCTCTGACATGCACGCATTGGCTAGGGCCTCTCACACTGAGGCTCCACGCGAAGGGAAGATGCAAAGTCCAGTCCCTCCAGGAGCTAGTGATGGAAGTCTTGGGAAAGGAGAGTCCCAAGTTCAAGAAGACAGCTAGGGTAGAAGGGAGGGAGGTCCTCAAGGGGTAGAGGACAGGAGTCCAAGGAGGTGGCTCAGGTGCGGGGTGGCGCCTCAGGAGAGCCCAGAAATCTTCCAGGCAGCACTGTCTGGAACAGGGCTGTGCACTGACGGTACCGGCATTTTCATCCCCAACCTCAGTGGCCCCCATGCCCACCTGGGGTGGGATCTCAGGCAGAGGTTTTGTCCCCTCTGAGGCTCCCCCACAACACGCCTCTGTTGTTCCAGCTTTGCTGTGTGACCCTGGTCCCCGGTGAGGTAACACCACCACTGAGCTTTATCCCTGCAGCCTGGGGGTCCTATTCACCTCTGGGCTGTCTCAGGGTGCCATCTGTCTCTTTCCAGCTGCTTCCCTCGCCAGCGCTATCAATCCCCCCATTCAATTTCTGCTGTTGAAATATTCAGTGTTTCTGTATCCCTAGTTGGACCTGAGTGAAGAGATGTCTGAAGGGCATCTCATGTCAAGAACCAGACTCTGATCTTCCTCACAAGCCTCAGTCTGCCCCATTCAATTAACGATCCCCTCAGCCACCCACAGTTCAGGCCACAAAGCTAGGGGTCATCGTGGTTTTGTCTCCTCCCTCACCCTGACATCCACACCATCATTTATATTCTTCCATACACATCCCACATCTGAGCCAGACTCCCTCATTGCCAGCACCCTACTCCAGCCCACCATCCCTGCTGCCCCTCTTGTCCCTCCGGTCCATTCTCCACAGCACAACTGAGTGACCTCTTAAATTTTTTTTTTTTTTTTGAGGTGGAGTCTCGCTCTGTCACCCAGGTTGGAGTGCAGTGACGCAATCTGAGCTCACTGCAACCTCCGCCTCCTGGGTTCAAGCGATTCTTCTGCCTCAGCCTCCCGAGTAGCTCGGACTACAAGTGTGTGCCACCATGCCCAGCTAATTTTTGTATTTTTAGTAGACATGGGGTTTCACCATATTGGCCAGGCTGGTCACGAACTCTTGACCTTGTGATCAGCCCACCTTGGCCTCTCAAAGTGCTAGGATTATAGGCATGAGCCACCGCACCCGACCCTCTTAAATTCTTAAATAGGTACATCGGATCCTGTCACTCCCCTTCATCAAACCATCCAACAGCTTCCCATTGCCCTGAGAATAAAACCCAAAACCCTATGTGGGGCCCACAAGGCCCTGGGTGATCCAGCCCCTGACTATCCCCAGCCTCATCTCCTCACACTTGATCTGGGTCACACTTACCAGTTTTCTGGTCCTTCCAATAAAACAAGCCTGCTCCCACCCCAGGGCCTCTGCCTTTGCTTCCCAAAGCTCTTCCCGTAGCTGGTTCTTCTCAGGCGTTCTCAGTCTAGCTTCTTTGAATGCCCAGCTGACTTCACCCCATCGTCCCTCACTGCCACATCCTCTGGAGGCCTCACAGTGCTTCTCCCTCTCTGAAGCCATCTTACTTGTGTGTGCACATGTGCATGTGTTCATGTGTGTATGCGTGTGGGGTGTGTGCATGTGCACTGATTGTCTCCCTTCACCAGAACCTAAGTCCCATGAGATCAGGGAACCTCGTCTCTTGGTTCCTGCTTTGCCCCACGCCTATGACAGTGCCTGACAGAGTAGGTACTCGATAAATAGCTGCTGAATGCAGAACAAAGGAGGCCCCATCTGGGCAACCCTGGGGGAAGGGGGCCAGTGGTCTCCAAGTAGACAGTGTCCAGGGGCCCCCAGGTGGAGGGACCCCAAGTCCAGGGCGGCCCTATCAGGTGACCCAGCTGCTGTGGATGAGAACCCTGGGCATGTCAGAGGGACATGCTGGTGAGGTTGTCCTGGCTCAACAGTCCCTTCCGGCCCGCACCAGTCCCATGCCCACTGCCCCCAGCACCCCCACCACCCCCACAGTACTCGTGCAGCCTGTGCCGCAGTGTGACGAGGGCTGACCCCAGGCAGGCGCCGTTGGGTGCATGGGGCCCGCCAGGCAGCTGGAGCAGCAGTGTGGCCACGCCAGCCATGCCATCTTCTGTGGGCTCGAGAGTGATGGGCCCAGCTCGCAGCCCAGCAGTGGTGGCGGGGATGGCTGGTGGGCAGCAGCCCCCTCCCATGGGTCCCCAGGGCCCACCGGCCCCTGTCAGCAGCAGGGGTGCCAGGAAGGGCTCAGAGCGGCGGAAGGCGGGAGGTGGGAGCCCAGCCGGCTTCCAGGCGGAGGCCGGGGCAGTAGGGTCAGGTGGGAAGCAGACGGTGACCTTGGCGAAGGGGCGGCTGGCCATCTTGGTCATCTCCTGCAAGTGCCGGCGCTGCTCCTGCCGCTGGTCCAGAGCCTGCTTGGCCTTCCAGAGGAGCACACAGAGTGAGAGGAAGAGGAAGAAGCAGGAGAAGAAGACGGAGAAGAAGACAAACAGGTCAATGTGGGCCTGGTCCTGCCGGAAGAAGAGCAGGCCCTGCGAGTCGGCTGAGCCGTTGGCGCCGGGCCCACTTGGGTCTCCCACGCCCAGCAGCAGCAGGTAGAAGCGGCTCGACTTGAGGGCATGGTGCTCGTGTGGGTAGGTGATGACCAGCCGGTCCCGCACGCCGCGGACCACCAGCACTGCCGACGGCTCCGTCACCGTCACGTAGGTAATCAGGCCCCGCGGCCATACCTCCCGTACCCGTGGCTCTGCTGGGGCGCCCGGCCCACTGCTGGCCCCTGCTCCTCCTGGATCCCCAGCCCCCCGGGGCCCACCATCTGCAGGGGGTGGTGGAGGTGGTGGGGCTGGGGGTGGCTGGATGTGTACAGTATGGACGCCAGTGTCAGGGGCCACACGGACCACGAAGGTGTCATAGGAGGTGGAGACATAGAGGTCCACGGCCCCGAAGGTCACGTCCAGCGTCAGGCGGATGTCCACGTTGGTGAATTTGGGCTGCACGCCAAAGAGGACAGTGCGGCCGGGGCCTAGCGCCCGGCGTTTGGGCTCATGGAAGCAGTTGGTCTGGGACGTGGGGTCCAGGCAGCACTCCTGCTCCACCGAGATGAGGCGGTAGCACTGCTGGCCGCCCAGCGGACTCCCGTGAAATGATTCCCGGCACTTGGCGCACTGCGGGCAGGGTTAGAGGCGGTGACCATCAGGGCTGAGTGCGGTGCCAGCCTGTCCCCCAAGCAGCAGTGACGAATACTCTATACCCACTGCTAAGTAGCCATTGCCCTGGGCCTCACCCCCACTGCCCCAGTCACTTCCCTGTGACCCCCCGGACCTTCTCTGCCACAGTGTAGACCTTGCCAGGACCTGGCACTCCAGCACTGCTGCCCCTGGTGCCACCCTAGTGACCTGAGCACCCTGATACTGAGGCCTCTGGCACTCTGAGGCACAGCAGTGAAGAACGCGGCTGCATTCTGGCTCTACCTCCTTGTTAGCTGTGTGGCCTTGGACTAGTGACTTAACCTCACTGAGCCTGAGCACACAGACTTAACCCATGAGCTCTGCACACAGGGAGTAACCACGGCTCGCTCACAGGACCACTGAGATCATGTGCATGGCACTCGGCGCAGGGTCAGCCAGCCTCGCCTGCCTGCCTGGATGCTTCTTCTATACTGTGCCAGGCGCCCTCCCACCCTGGGGCCTTTGCACTGGCGGACCCTCTGCCTGCATGGTTCTCCTGTCACTTGTCAGCTTGTCAAGCCCCCTTGCCTCCTTCAGATCTTTGCTCAAGAGCCTCCTTCTCACCTAGGCCTTCCCTGGCCACTGTGTCCTGCGTCTACCATTCCCACTCCCCAACAGCCCTAGCCCCCGCTTCCTACTTAACTTTCCTTAGCGCTCCTCGCTGTCTAACACACGAGCATCTGACTTGTTTGTTCATTTCTGATGCCTCCATGAGAATGCAAACTCCTAAAGACAGAACATTTGCCTGCTTTGTTCCCTACTGTGTCCCCAGCAACCTGCACGGTGCTTGCCATATACTAGGTGCTCAATGACTGTGTGCTGAATGAATGTGTGGCTGGATAGATAACGGCTATGATTCCTGTGGCTTAGTGGAAACCACTCAAGTTCTGAGATCAGACCAGGGTCACTCCAGGCACCAAGCCTAACTGACCACCTGATCTGGGGTGAGACTTTTTTTTTTTTTTTTTTTTTTGAGACAGAGTCTCGCTCTGTTGCCCAGGCTGGAGTGCAGTGGTGTGATATCGGCTCACTGCAACCTCTGCCTCCCGGGTTCAAGCGATTCTCCTGCCTCAGCCTCCCGAGTAGTTGGGATTACAGGTGTCCGCCACCACACCCAACTAATTTTTGTATTTTTAGTAGAGAAGGGGTTTCACCATGTTGGCCAGGCTGGTCTCGAACTCCTGACCTTAAGTGATCTGCCCGCCTCAGCCTCTCAAAGTGCTGGCATGAGCCACTGTGCCCAGCTAGGACATTTAATGTCTCTGAATCTGTCTTCCTCTTAAGTCTGTACCCCACTGAGGCCCCAGCACAGTCTTGCAAAGCCTTTCATATCTATGCTGTCACCACTGTCTACACAGCACAGCATCCAGCTCTGTGGCAGGCGCTCCTGGCATTCTAGTTATTACTGCAATCACTATTAGAACCAAGAGAAAACAGACGCAGTGACTCATGCCTGTAATCCCAGTGCTTCAGGAGGCTGAGGCAGGAGTGCCGCTTGAGCCCAGGAGTTCGAGACCAGTCTGGGCAACATAGTAAGACCCCCGTCTTTAAAATTTTTTTAAAATTAGCCAGGCATGGTGGTGTGTGCCTATAGTTACAGTTACTCAGGAGGCTGAGGCAGGAGGATCACTTGAGCTCAGGAGTTCAAGGCTGCAGTGAACTATGATTGCGCCATTATACTCTAGCCTGGGTGACAGAGTAAGCCCTGTATCAAAAAAAAAAAAAAAAAAAAAAAAACCCAAAAGCCCAACCAGGCACGGTGGCTCACGCCTAGAATCCCAACACTTTGAGAAGCCAAGGTGAGTGGATTGCTTGAGCTCAGGAGTTCAAGACTAGCCTGGGCAACATGGTTAAAACCCCATCTCTAAAAAAAAAATTAGCCAGGTATGATAGCACATGCTTGTAGTCTCAGCTACTCAGGAGGCTGAGGTGGGAGGATGATGGAAACCAGGGAGGCAGAGGTTGCAATGAGCTGAGATTGCACCACTGCACTCTAGCCTGGGTGAAAGAGCCAGACCCTGTCTTAAAAATAAATACATTAAAAAAAAGAACCGGCCGGGGGTGGTGGCTCACGCCTGTGATCCCAGCACTCTGGAAGGCCAAGGTGGGCAGATCACAAGGTTAAGAGATCAAGACCATCCTGGCCAACATGGTGAAACCCTGTCTCTACTAAAAATACAAAAATTAGCGGGGGGTGGTGGTACGTGCCTGTAGTCCCAGCTACTCGGGGGGCTGAGGCAGGAGAATCGCTTGAACCTGGGAGGCGGAGGTTGCAGTGAGCCAAGATCACGCCACTGCACTCCAGCTTGGCGACAGAGTGAGACTCCGTCTCAAAAAAAAAAAGGAACCAAGAAAAACTGCTACTTCTAAGCAGCCAACAGACCTGGTAGAGGAGGAGGTCTGATTTAATCTCTGAGACTCCCTGGTAAAAGCCAATAGGCCTTTCCCTTATCAAGAAAGCAGAAACTCTGGGCTGGGTGTGGTGGCTCACGCCTGTAATCCCAGCACTTTGGGGGGCCAAGGCAGGTGGATTGCCTGAGCTCAGAAGTTTGAGACTAGCCTGGGCAACATGGTGAAACCCCATCTCTACTAAAATACAGAAAATTAGCCAGGCATGGTGGCACACGCCTGTAGTCCCAGCTACTCAGGAAGCTGAGGCAGGATAATCACTTGAACCCAGGAGGTGGAGGCTGCCTCGAGCAAAGATCCCACCACTGCACTCCAGCCTGGGCAACAGAGCAATACTCTGTGTCCAAAAAAAATTAAATTAAATTAAAAATTAAAAAAAAAATAAAAAAGCAGAAATTCTGGCCCAGGATAGAAATGTTAAGGGTCAGTAAGGCTTGTAAAACTGTTGCCATTTGGGGTGGCAGCTATTATGTTTGCAGCTATTATGTTTCTGTAGATGGGTAAGGAAGACTGAGAGCAAGGGACTTTCTCTTCCCTCTGGGACTGGAGAGAGAAGGTGGCGGGGAGGTGGCGGGAGTTGTCCTCTGAGGAAGGAGCCTGGGACATCATGGAGGCAAGTCTGGAACACAGCAGCCAGCCAGGTGGCCAGTGCAGGCACTCCAGGAGCCTCTGTGCAGAAGAAAAAGGGAAATGCACTCGAGGGGAATTTGAATCTGGGTATTAAATGATATGAGATCTCTGCTAGCCTCAGTTCATCAGAGGGGGTCTGCCAACTGGGAAGAATCTGCCTGAAAATGAAGCCAATGCAGAGGAAAGCAGAGTCAAGATGCAGAGAGACTTCTGATGGCATTGTGTGAGCACCCGGATATAGCCAGTCCTGAAGGCAGACCCCAGACCCTCAGTTCTAAGAGTCAATACATTTTCTTTTCTTCTGTTGTGTGTGTGTGTGTGTGTGTGTGTTTGTTGTTGTTGTTGTTGTTGTTGTTGTTGTTGTTTTGAGACAGAGTCCTGCAGCCTCGACCTCCTGGGCTCAAGCAATCCTCCCACTTCCACCTCCCAAGTAGCTGGGACCACAGATGTGCACCACCATGCCAGGCTAATTTTTAAATTTTTTTTCAGAGATGGGGTTGCACTATATGGCCCAGGCTGGTCTTGAACCCCCGGGCTCAAGTGATCCTCCCGCCTCAGCCTCCCAAAGTTCTGGGATTACAGACATGAGCAACCATGCCCAGCCCATTTTCTTTTTTCGGTTGAGCTACCATGGGATAGATTTTCTGGCATGTGCCACCTTTAGCTGTGACTACCTGTAATGGAGACTGTCTCCCCACCAGTCTGAGAGTCCCCCAGAGGCTCATATCTTGGTCCCCAGCATCACTGCCTAGGGCCTGTAACTGAATGGGGCTCAGGAACAGTCTGTCAAGCTGCACTTGATCCCAAAACCACTGATTTGGAACCATGTTGTCAGTCCTGCCCGAGCCTGGCTACCTCATCCCAGCCCTGACCTCCACAAGGTGTAGGGCCCTCGGCCCACCACTAGCTTCTGCAGCCGCACCTGGTACTTGTAGCAGTCTCGACGGTCACTGGGGGAGCTGCCCTGGCATGTGCCCGTCTCTGTGTTATTCTGACATGGACAGCCCGTCCCATCCTGCTCGTTACATGTGTCCGCGTGGCCATTACACTGGCATCTGGGGAAGAAGTTGAGGGTTACGGAGCCCCCATGGCCTGCAGTGGTCCAGGATGGACACCCCATATGTGAGCTCAACTCTGTGCAACAGGCCAGAAGAGGAAACTGAGGTTCACAGAGGTCAAGCTGTTTGCCCAAGGCCACAAAGCAGTTAAATTACCATTGGGATTAGAACCCGAGTTGCACAGACTCCAGCACTCACTGAACACTCAGAAAGAAGGAGATGGAAAGGGGAGGTTGTTCCAAGGCCTCTGCCCTCAGCCGCCCCATCTTGTTCTCGATGGGGCCGCTCTGTGGACTGCACTTCAGCACTAGCCTTGGAGGTAGGGAGTGGCATCACATTCCAGCTCCTTCCCTACCCTGACCCCAGCCTGGGCGCTCCCTGGGGATGTCATCCTCTCCTGACTGGGGGTGGAGGACTAAAGAGGGGGCCTGGCTCCAGAGCTACTCCCAGTGAGAAGGGTGGGATCCCCGGCCTCCCCCCCCCCCCCCCCCCCCCCCCCCCCCGGTTCCTCTTACTTGGTGCACTTCCCGTCCAGGAGGAAGTAGCCCTGCAGGCAGCTCTCGCATTTCTCCCCATAGCTGTTATTCTGGCAGTTCACGCACACGGCCTCGTCTTCACTAGGACCCTCTGTCACCCAGTTTTCAATCTGGCCAAGGAAGGACAGTGTGATCATAGAAAGGCCTGGACCAACCCCCTCCTCCCTCAGACCCAGGAGTCCAGGCTCCTACCCACTCCTCCCTCAGACCCAGGAGGCCAGGCTCCCACCCCCTCCTCCCTCAGATCCAGGAGTCCAGGCCCCAGCTCCTCTTCCCTCAGACCCAGGAGTTCAAGACCCCCACCTCTACTCTCTCAGACCCAGGAATCCAGGCCTCCAGCCCCTCCTCCCTCAACCCAAGGGTCCAGGTCTCCAGCCCCCTCCTCCCTCAGACCCAGGAGCTCCCCAGCCCCTCCTCCCTCAGACCCAGGCATCTGACCCCTCTCTTTCACCTCCTCTGGGTCCAGTGAGTACTTCTTTGGCTCTCCCTTGGACATTTGTAACTCCTTCCTGGAGATGCAGATGTGGCTATTTCCACGACAAAAGGCGTGGCAGGGCCGGCAGGTCCCGCCTCCGACAGCTGAACCCACAAACAGCGGGAGGCACTGCTCACAGTGGCTGCCCTGAGAACCCAGGACAGGGTAGTTAGAGAGGCTGGAGAGTCATCAGGGGTAGGAGGGCGTTGGGGGCACAGGGGCAGGTTCTGAGAGCCCACGGGAGGGCAGCAGAGGCTCGGGTACCTGGTTTGGACAATCCCAGCGGGATTTAGCCCCCGCCTTCCCTTGCACACCTGCAGCCCAAAGTGCTGAGTTCAAAAGCCCTTCCCTCCATTATCTCAAATCCTCCTCCACGTGCCTGTCCTCCTGGCGCAGCACCCACTCCGTCCACTATTCCAGGGCAGACCCTCTGGGATCCAAACCCAGGCAGCGTCCCCCAAGTCTCCACACATCTCCCTGGGACAGGGCTCTGGCTTATCTGTCCCTGGCTTATCAGGGCTCAGGATGAGATGCGAGCCGCCTGAGCGTGGGATGAAGGCAAGTGAGGGCCTGGGTCCCAGGGTCGGGGGTCTGAGGCTCCGGGCGGCCCACCTTGGTGTGGTTGCGGCAGAGCAAGCAGTGGTCACGCGCCCCAACACCAGCGCATTCACTGTGGCGGTTGCAGCGGCATTCCGTGGAGCAGTTGCGGCCCACAAAGCCAAAGTGGCAGCGGCAGTGGTCGGGCTCCACACATGAGCCGTTCACGCAGCCCTGGGCGCACACAGGGCGGCACAGCCCTGTCATGCTGCAGGGGCAAAGTGGGGGTCAGGGCAGGTGGCCACCCTCCTCGTGGCTTCATGGCCTAGCACCCAACCAACTACCCCACCCTCTTCTCAACTGGTTGCTCATCCCTGCTCTGTCCCGTTGCTATCTTCTCTTCAGGATCTAGCCCACCACCCCCTCCAGGTGTAGCCCACAACCCTCTCTCCTCTTTTGAGGGTACCCTATTTTCTTTTTTATTTTTTTGTAGAGATGGGGTCTCCCTGTGGACTGGTCTCGAACTCCTGGCCTTAAGTGATCCACCTGCCTCGGCCTCCCAAAGTGCTGGGATTACAGGCATCAGCCACTGTGCCCGGCCATTGGGGTACCCTATGAAACTCACTCTTCCCTGCTCAGCCTCACCACTCTTGACCTTCAGGAATCAATCCCACTGCCTTCATGCCTCGAGCTTTCTTTTCTTCTGTCCTGCTTGGCTCTAGGCCTCATCCATTACTGCTCCCCACAGACTCTCCCACCCTAGCCTGCCTGGCCCCAGCGCCGCCTGCGGCCTCACTTGTCCATGGTATAGCCGGTCTTGCAGCTGCACTCATAGCCGTGGGGCTGGTCGTGGCAATTCTGCGTCTCGTTGCAGTCGTGGTGCCCGTTTGCACACTCGTCCTCAGGGGGGCAGGACAGGAAGGCCCAGGAGGCCCCCGGACGCCCACATGTCAGCCCTAGCACCGGGGATATAGCATTTTACCTGGACCTCTGTACCACCTGCCCCAGTTGCCTAGGCCCTCCCTCCTGCCTCCTCTGAGCCCCACCTCTGGGTCTGGCCCAGTATCCCTATGTTCACTGTATCAGACCCCAACCAAGGGCCAGCCCCTCTCCCCCAGTGCCCAAAGCCCTCTCACCATCACGGGGGCCGCTGAGTCCACCCTCCATGCAGCGGCCACCCCCATCCTGGCCCCCCCAGGCACACCAGCCGCAATGGGGGCGCCGCAGGCACAAGGCGCACTGAGTTGCCTGAGCACAGCCCAGGGAGCAGCTCTCAGGTCCCCGGAGCAGCCGCCCACAGCCTCCGGCCATACATCGCAGGGGCAGGTAGGAAGGGCTCAGACACTGTATGGGGGGGAGGGGATGGGGATGCAGGGAAGAGAGAGATGGGGAAATAAGCTTAAACAAACACATTCTGGGTATCTTCCCAGACCACACCCTCTTTGAGGTCTCACCCCTCCCTGGCCACAGGTAGAGCAAAGTGGACACTAGCTGGGGTCATCATGTTTTCCCTCTCAAGCGTTTGTAACTACACACCAAGGCGGGAAGTCAGGCTGGGGAGGATCTTGAAACTGGAAGGTTGCCTGGCCGCAGTGGCTCACACCTGTAATCCCAATACTTTGGGAGGCTACAGTGGGAGGATCACTTGAGCCCAAGAGTTCCAGACCAGCCTGGGCAGCACAGTGAGACACCATCTCTACAAAATATAAAAAATTAGCTGTGTGTGGTGGCACACATCTGTAGACCCAGCTACCTGGGGGGCTGAGGTAGGATTTTTTGAGCCCGGGAGTTTGAGGCTGCAATGAGTCATGACTGCACCACTGCACTCCAGCCTGGACAACAGAGTAAGACTCTGTCTCAAAAAAAGAAAATAAACTGGAAGATCGCGTAGACTTGGGTTGAAGGGATTGTTTAGATAAGCAAATGATGATTAAATAAAGAGGACGCAGACAGGCAGGAAAAGAGCAGGCTGCAGAAAGAGACAGAGATGAGAACCACGTGCCCTAAAGACAGATAGAAAGGCAGCTTTCCAGTCTGTCTCCAGTTCCTTGTGAGGCCCTGCTGTACTTTCTATCCTGGGTTCCAACAGGTACTACTGCATTGGTGGAGGGAGTTCCCCTCCTCACTAAGGGCACTTCTGTTTCTTCCAGGTAAAGGAACAATGGCAATGTTCCCAGAAGGAGACAGAAAAGAGTATCAGGAGTGGGGTTGCAAACCACAGTTTCTTAGAAAAATGTAATCCCAGCACTTTGGGAGGCCGAGGCGGGCGGATCACGAGGTCAGGAGACCAACACCATCCTGGCTAACATGGTGAAACCCTGTCTCTACTAAAAATAGAAAAAATTAGCCAGGCGTGGTGGCGGGCGCCTGTAGTCCCAGCTACGCAGGAGGCTGAGGCAGGAGAATGGCGTGAACCCGGGAGGTGGAGCTTGCAGTGAGCAGAGATCGCGCCACTGCACTCCAGCCTGGATGACAGAGCGAGACTCCGTCTCAAAAAAAAAAAAAAAAGAAAGAAAGAAAAGACAAGAAAAAGAACAAATGTGGCTGCTGAGGCAAAAAGGCTTCTCTTACCCCACACTGAGAACCTGAAGAGTCCTTGGTTAGGGGCTGGGTAGCAACTCACAAGCCATATTTGTATGTCAGGACCCCAAAAACGTGCACAATGAGATTCAGGCTCTTGGGAACTTACCTCAGTGTATAAGGCACTTTATTTATTGCTTGGGCCATAAGTGAAGAATAAGAGGAAAGAGGTTAATTTGGGCCGGCTGCCTGAAAGCACTTAGGAAAAGGCAAAGCAACCATGGAATCCTGAAATAGAAAACCCTGACTGCTGTGGCTGGAGCTCTGAGCCCACTGAGGGGCCTGCAAATCACTGAGACTTGCTGAACTGCCAGAGGCAAATTCTCTGCTGGGCTGGGCTTCCAGATCTAAATTTAGGGCACTTGTTGGCAGATGGTGGGACAATCTGGGAGGGGTAGAGAACCCTGAATCCTCAGTCCTGGACAGCACTTTCTGCTGTAATCTCCCTAGTGACCAAATGCAAAGATGCCCAACACCATACACTGCATTTCCTGAGTTCATGGAAAAGGTGTATGAACATAAGTTCTGAGAGCAGGACTCTAGCTCATCTGCTGACATTCCCCACTGCCTAGCAAAGCACCCAGCAGAAAGAAGGTGCTCAATGATAAATTCGCTGAAGAGAGGGAGGGAGGATGAGAGGAAGGAGGCAGACCAGAGAAGGAGTGTCTCCGCTGCCTGCCCCAGACTCACAGGCCAAAGCCATTAAAAAGAACAATGCTGGGCCAGGCGTGGTGGCTCATGCCTGTAATCCCAGCACTTTGGGAGGCCGAGGCAGGTGGATCACAAAGTCAGGAGTTCGAGACCAGCCTGGCCAATATGGTGACACCCAGTCTCTACTAAAAATACAAAAATTAGCCAGGTGTGGTGGCGTGCATCTATAGTCCCAGATGCTTGGGAGGCTGAAGCAGGATAATCACTTGAACCTGGAAGGTGGAGACTGCAGTGAGCCGAGATCATGCCACTGCACTACAGCCTGGGCGACAGAGCGAGACTCTGTTTCAAAAAAAGAAAAAAAGAACAATGCGGGATGGTTAGAATCAGGCAGCCCTTGAGCCAAATCATAACAGGTATCACCTGCACGCCTATTATGTTTGATTTGTGCGGTGGAATCTAAGCCAACACTTCTTTTTTTTTCTTTAGACGGAGTCTCACTCTGTCACCCAGGCTGGAGTACAGTGGTGCGATCTCAGTTCACTGCAACCTCTGCCACCCAGGTTCAAGCGACTCTCCTGCCTCAGCCTCCCGAGTAGCTGGGATTACAGGCACCTGCCACCATGCCTGGTTAATTTTTGTATTTTTAGTAGAGACAGGGTTTCACCATATTGGTCAAGCTGGTCTTGAACTCCTGACCTCACGATCCACCCACCTCAGCCTCCCAAAGTGCTGGGATTACAGGTGTGAGCCACTGCACCTGGCCTAATTTTTTTTTTTTTTTTTTTTTTTTTTAGAGACGGGGTCTCGCTCTGTCACCCAGGCTGGAGTGCAGTGCTGTAATAATGGCTCACTGCAGTCTCAACCTCCCAGACACAAGTGATCCTCCCACCTCAGCCTCCCAAGTAGCTGGGACTACAGACACACACCACTATGCCTGGCTAATTTTTTTTTTTTTTTTTTTGTAGAGATGAGGGTCTTGCTATGTTGCCCAGGCAGGTCTCGAACTCCTGGCCTCAAGTAATCAATCTGTCTCAGCTTCTTGAAGTGTTGGGATTACAGGCCTGAGCCACCCCACCCAGCTAAGCCATCACTTTAAAGCTAGGAGGTTTCATAGAAAGTCTGGTAAAAGTCCCCTCTCACATTCACATACACCATCAACAATGCTCATCTGGCCCCTGGGGACAGGCTGTGCTCTCCAATTCACTGGCCCCACCTCTTCCCCTTGCCACCCTCCTGGCCACTCCCCCATCTCCTTAGCTGCCCCAGCTCTTCAGGCGTGTGAGAACTTGGCAAGCACCGAGAGGCTGGGGGAACAGCGCATGCCCGCAGGACTGTGGGTATGCCTTCTGCTCCCTGGAGCTCCCACAAAGATAAATGATGGAAATTTCAATAATATCTGGGGAGAACCCATACTACCATTAGGATCCCAGGCTTGGAGACGAGAGGCCTCTGCTTACCACAGACCAAAATCACAGGGGCTTCTGCCCTTCTGGCCACATTGACAGCCCCCATGGGGAACTCCCGCAGCCACCCTCTTGGTGTGTCCCATACAGTGGAGACTGGGAATCCTCCCAGTGGCAGGACTTGGGTCAGCCAGATTGGCCCTCTCACCACTGCTCATTACAGTAACAATGATCATGATCATTAGCCATTTTTTAGTGCTTCCTGAATGGCAGGCATTGCTCTATGCTCTAAGTAAATTCTCCCCCATTTAACTGGTACAACCTCCCTAGGGGACAGGATCTAGTGAAATGATTCCCATTTTAGCAAACTCTCCCTGAGGTCTTGGAGAGGGGAAGTCACTCATCCAAAGTCAAACAGCCAGGAAGTGGCCAAGTTGGAGTCAAACCCAGATCCCACTGACTTCACAGCCTGAGCTTTTGATCGCAAGGCAAACTACCTCCGGGTGAGAGCTAATGTACCACTCCCAGGCAGGGCTCCTGGCACTGGATGCCAAGGTCTGTGGGATTCTTGGTCCTCCACACCCTGCCCTCCTGGTCTCGAATTTCCACGAAGTGCTGTTGGTTTCTTTAGTCCACCTCTCAAAATGGCAAGTGTCCCACATCCCTGCACTGTTGTCTACTAGTGTCTGGGTGGTGGCTGGACTGATCACTTAGTTCATGGGTTGTCGGATGGTGAGCAGTTTTGCCTCAATTGGGTCTTGCATAATCGAGGTATGAATGAGGAGTGGGCTCTGGCTGAGTGACATTGCTTCCACATGTGACAGTGGGAGGTGAATGTGTCTTATCTCCCACGGGGGGGCAGTGGGGTGGGGTGCGAATGCCTTTGTCTGCCACCACGACAGTTTAATCATGTCAGGTGGAAGCGTCTTTGGAATGGAGTTTCTGGAAACAAGAGAGCATGTGCCAGGCACTCCAAGGGGTGGACTGTCACGGGTACACACATGCCTGCCTAGGCCACACCCACCTTCAGGAATCATCTCTCCACCCCACAGCCTAGAAGAGGCCTAGATCTGACGTGCCACGTTTGAACCACGTGCTCCTAGCCCTCCCTGGCCACATCCCACTACACCAAGGCTGGACATGTAGCTCGTGCACTAAGTCAGAGTTTCTCCTCGAGAATGTGAGCTAACCGACAAACACAGAGATGAACGTGGTCTCTGGAATTAGAAGGCATCTAGACTGGGAGTCAAGGCTGCAATCTGAGGCCATGTGTGTTGACTATCAGACCGACAGAAACCCGACAATGGAGAAGTGTGGAGAACAGCTGAGATTACGGGTCATGTGGCCTGAGAGCAACAGAGCAGAAACACTTCCTGCTCTCAGAGTCCATCAAATACCCACACTTCCTTATAACAAAACCAGCTCGAGGGAGTGTCTGTTTCTTATAACCAAAAGTTCCATAAGTAGAGAGAGAAAGAGAGAGAGGAGGGAAGCAGAAAAGGTTTGGGAGGTTGAAGGAAGAAGCATTAAGAGTCGTGGATGTGAACCTATGAATTATATCGACAAAATTAAAAACAAAAAATTAAATTAAAATTTTTTTAAAGTCATGGAAAGGATGAGGAGACCATGATACCATGGACAAGAGTTGGAGAGGCAGAGGCCAGGGGTTGGGAAAGTGGCACACACAGAAGCATGGCTGGAGGACACAACAGGGACCCTCATGAGGCAACGAGGGAGGAAAGAGATGGTGGCACGAGAAGGAAGCACGACTGCAGCTAGAGCCAGGGAGATGGAAGGAGGAGGGTGGAGGAGATGGTGGAAGAAAGGTCCCTGCCAGCGCAGAGAGGAGGGAGACCTGCCCGGGCCCTTGCCTGGCACGGTCCTGGCCAGGTGCAGTACCTGCTGCAGGCTGCTGCTCCAAACACAGTGCTGCCAGCCCCCATCTGCTCCCTTAGAGTCCAGGCAGGAGGTACAGTTGGGTAGGAGGTGACAAGGGGTGGGGCAGGGCAGTGGGGGTGATGATTCCACCGGCATGGGGGACACATTCAGCAGAGAGTGGCTGAAGCACGTCCAGTCATAGGTGGGCTGCACGGAGAGGATGCGGCGGGTCTCCCCTGGGGGTGGGGCACGGGGATTAGAACCTCAGACCCAGGAGATCGCAAGCCCAGCCCCTCCTCCCTCAGACCCAGGAGCTCAGGCCCAGCCCCTCCTCCCTTAACCCAGGAATCCAGCCCCAGCCCCTCCTCCCTCAGACCCAAGAGATCAGGTGCCCAGCCCCTCCTCCCTCAGACCCAGGAGTCCAGGCCCCCAGCCCCTCCTCCCTCAGACCCAGGAGTCCAGGCCCCAGCCTCTCCTCCCTCAGACCCAGGAGTCCAGGCCCCAGTCCCTCCTCCCTCAGACCCAGGAGATCAGGGGCCCAGCCCCTTCTCCCTCAGACCCAGGAGTCCAGGCCCCCAGCCCCTCCTCCCTCAGACCCAGGAGACCAGGCCCCCAGCCCCTCCTCCCTCAGACCCAGGAGTCCAGGCCCCAAGACTCCCCTCTCAGGAACTAGGCCCACTGCTCACCTGTCCTCTTGAACTGCCGCGTCCACATGCACTTGCCCTCCCGCGTGCACTGCTCGCAGTCAGCAGCCCCGCACGCAGCCTCGGAGCAGTTCCCTGCCCAGAAGACCTCTCGCTGGTTGATCCGACAGTCATTCTCAGAGGTGCAGGACCCATTGCGTCCAATGCAAGCACCTTCGGGGCAGTTGGTACACCACTTACAGCGGGGGGTGGACGCCTGGTGAGGGAAGACAGGCTAGATGGGACCCTCAGCACCCCTCCTGAGCCAGCTGAGAACTCGGTGGTTCCTGAGACCCTGGGGTGGGTGGGACAGCTGACCAGAGTGGAGACCAGGACCTCCCTGCCCTACACCTGCTGCTTCTCATCCCTGCCTTCCCCACCACTCACCTCTCCATCTCCAGGTTGCAGGGTCCGAGGATGGCGGGCCAGGCACTCACTGCAGGTCCGGAGACGTCGACATTCCTCCGGGGAGCGAGGCATTGGGGAGCAGGGGGAGCCCCCGCAGCCCAGCCTAAAGGACATGAGGCCTGGCTCACTCACACCCATCCAGACCCCCTCCTTCTGCCTCCCAGACACTGTCCTGCAGGCCCCCAACCCTGCATCCCAAGCTGGACATAGCACAGGCCTCCTGAGCCTGGCTGTCCCCACCACCATTTGGTAATAGATGGTCCCACATCCACCTGTCACCCAGGCTGGAGACGCTGGACCACACCCCAGGTCCTCCTGCCCATGCAGCCACCGAAGCCTTCTGCCTCCTGGATTTCTCCCTGACCGTCCCCTCCTCCCCACCCCTGCAGCCCCTTGCCCAACCTGGTCCCCACCTGCAGGCTCTCGTCACTCTACCCCTCACAACAGCGCCAGGGATCTCACTGCCCAGGCCCGTCCCTGCCCTGTCCTGCTCAGGCCTTCCATGGCTCCCTGTCCTGCACAGGGGGGGTCCACAATCCCTTACCCCAAATCCCAAGAGGTACACACGTTTCAGACTGTTCTGGATTTTAGAAAAGCAGTGGGTGTACCCACTGTTACACAATACCTCCAGTGGGGTCTGGGGTAAGGAGCACTCCGAAATCAAACCATTAACATTCCTGTAGTAACTGACAACACACCCTTCGGGCAAATAAGGCCAACTAATAGCCTCATATCAGTGAGGGTGACTGGGCAGCGAAGTGAGTCTGTGCTAAGCCTAAGAAAACACTTTCAGTGTCCAGGATGTCTGCATTCCTGGAACCGCAGCTGAAGGATCTGTGGAGCTGGACAGAGCCAGTGCCTCTGCCAGGCATGGGAAGCCCTTTCTGAGCTGACCCCCTCCAGCTTCCGGTCTCAGCCTCACTTCTGAATCACTGATGGTCTCAACTCTACCGTTCTTTTAAGGCCCAGTTCAGACCCAGCTCCTCCAGCAAGCATTCTTGCATGAGACCCCAGTCCCAGGCAGGGATCCCCACTCAGAGCTCCCCCGGCCACCCTGCCTGCGGTGATTCACCCCTTTCCTGAACCAGACGGTATACTCCTGAGGCCTCCATCCTGGTGTGGCCTAGCACAGGACCCCCATTAGAGGGCTCCACTCCCCACTGCCTGTCATGGTCGCCATGGTTACCTGTGGGCCTGATCCCCGGACAAGCAGGCCCCATGGCACCAGGTGCAGGCCCCAGACTGGTTACAAGCTTCAGGTGAGGACAGCAGGCGGCAGGGGTCAGGGGGCAGGGTCAGTGCCAGCAGGCGGCCCAGGGCCACTCCCCCGAAACCCCCAGAGATATACAGGCGGCTCCCGACTGCTGCCACAGCATGGGCCACAGACTCCTCCATTGGGGGCCCCACAGAGGCCGAGCCTGAGGAAAGATGGTGTATTCAGACAGATAGAGAGCAGGAGACTCCAGGAAGAGACCCACACCATGATGCCAGTCAGAGAAGGATGCAGGGAAAGAGGAGAAACACAGGGTCAAAGGACAGCAGAAACAAGGCCAAGGGCGGTGGCTCACACCTGTGATCCCAACACTTTGGGAGGCTGAGGCAGGAAGACTGCTTGAGCCCAGGAGTTTAAGACCAGCCTGGGCAACGTAGAAAGACCCCGTCTCTACAAACAATAAAAAATTAGCTGGGCATGGTGGTGCGCACCTGTGGCCCCAGCTACTTGGGAAGCTAAATTAGGAGGATCACTTGAGCCCAGGAGGTTGAGGTTGCAGTGAGCTGAGATTGCACCACTGCACTCCAGCCTGGGCAACAGAACAAGACCATGTCTCCAAAAAAAAAAAAAAAAACAGCAGAAGCAGAGAGGAAACACATGAGGATAGACAGCAAGCAAAAAAAAAGAGAGGGAGAGAGACACAAGCAGACAACAAAGGAACACAAAGAGGGAAATAAGAAGAGAGACAAATGTTTTCGAACCAGATAGATGTGGCGGCTGGACAACTCTCTGAAGGCACTAAATGCCAATGCTTTTTTTTTTTTTTTTTGAGAAAGAGTCTTGCTCTGTCACCCAGGCTGCAGCCAATGTATTTTTAAGATGGTTAATTTTATGTTATGTGACTTTCACCTCAATTTTTTTAAATCCTCAAAAAATAACTGAGAGACACAGACATGAAGTAGTCTCTGTCTACTGAATCTGAAAAGACAGATTAAGAGAAAAAGGGAATTAAATCCCAGCACTTTGGGAGGCTGAGGCAGGTGGACTGCTTGGGCCCAGGAGTTCAAGACCAGCGTGGGCAACATAGCAAAACCCTGTCTCTACAAAAAAAAAAAAAAAAAAAAAATTATCCAGGCGTGGTGGCATGCCTGTAGTCCCAGCTTCTTGGGAGGCTGAGGAGGGAGGATTGCTTGCTTGAGCCTTGGAGGCAGAGGCTACAGTGAGCCAAGATAGCATCACTGCACTCCAGCCTAGGCAACACAGTGAGACCCTGTTGCTAATAAAAATAGAAAAAGAGACAAAGGGTCAGAGAGAGAAGCAAAAAGAAAAGGAGACAGTCCCAGAAACACACTCACAACAGTCACTCACAACATTGAAATAAAAAGGCAAGTGACAGGCATGCTTCTACCTATGAACAGCAAAGACTGGTAGGAAACACCCCCATGTCTAATAGTGGTTGTCTCTAGAGAGAGGGATTATGGGTGTTTTTTTTTCTTTCCTATTTTACAAATTATATATAGTGAACATTGTTACTTTTACAGAGTAAAAAATAAACTTCTCTAAGAAAAAAAAAAGGAAGGAGGGCATGTCCTGGTGTTCAGATAATCCAGAAGAGCGGGAGCTCTGCCAGTGGGTCTGCAGGGGCCCAGTGACTCCTAAGGAGTGGGAGTCCCAGGATGGGGATGGGGCTCCTCCTGGATGTCCCTCAGCCTCCTGGGAGCCACAATGGGGACTTACGGGTGAGGTCGGGCAGAAGCCAGGCATTGCAGTTGACCTGGTAGAGCAGAACGTCGCTGCTGAACTCGTCAGGGTCCGAGCGCCCCCCAAGAACCACCATGGTGTCCCCTAACAGGGCTGAGGCGTGGAAAAGCCGGGGGCGGGGCTGTTGGGGAGACGGGGGGTGGGGGGACAGGACAGCCTGTCAGAGCTGTCCTCTGCTCCCTCTTAGCCCTCCAGCCACCCCTGTACTTCCCTACCTATCCCCCCCTACCAGCCCACCCAATCCTAACCCTCTTCAAATCTCACCTCCTTCAGGTGAGGTGAGATTTCCTCCAGGAAACCTCCTGTACCAGCAAGAGCAGCCCACAGAGCCATCTTCTTCCTGACTTCCCGGAACCCCCATGACCCAGGCTGCTCCCCAGGAACTTGGCCCAGACCCCGAGATGAGCCACGCACATTCCTCATACGATCTCGCTAGTGACAGTGGGGGCGTCCTGGGGTTGAGGCTCCTCGAGTCTCTTGCTTCTAGCCCCCTGCCTCCAAGACGGGCTTGGAAACGTGTGGACTGAAACCACCAGCCTCTCTAACCAGTGCAGACAGGGCTCCCTGCCCTCCCACACACATTCTCCTTGGCCTTGAAGGCAGAAAGAGCGGGGAGCCTCAGTCCTGGTTTATACGAGTGGAAAAACCCAGGACGGGGAAGGGGCCTGCCAGGGCCGCACCAAGACTCAGGGGAGAGCTGGGCAGAACTCATGCCTCTGACCTCCTGGCCTCGGGTTCTCTCCTCCAAATCAGGGATGGAAGCGGGGGAGATGTGGGGGTGTCGCTTAGTTAGGGAACATAGAAAGGAGGGGAAGCAGGAATCTGGGATGGAGCCAGTCCCTGGGGCACTGGGAAAGAGGACCCCTCCCTCCTGCCCCATACATCCTTGGGTCTGAGCCTCTTTTCCTGACCTTTGCCCCCTGAGAAGGGGCCAGCAGACTCCAGGTGCGGTCAGGACAGTGCAGGGAGTAGAGCTCGGGGGATGGGGCCGCCAGCTCCACATGGAATCGGAACCCCCCAAACACGTAGAGGGAGTCGGTGGCCTCGTGGTAGACAGCAGAGTGACCATAGAGACCTGGTGAGGGGCAGGGTGACAGGCTGGGGGAGGGGCTGACAACAGCACTGACCCCGCCGACCTCCCGGTCCCCTGTTCGGTGACCACTCCCTTCCCCGGCCCTGAGACTGGAGGCCTGGGAGCCCCTCTCCACCCGTCCCTCTCAGTTGGGTTCAAATGGACAATCATTAGAGACTCTGGGAAAGAGAAGGGAGTCCTCAACTGGCAGTAAGTTCTGCCAGGCTCTCGGGAGGGAGACAGGGCGTCCAGAATGTCTAGGGGACAGTGATCAAAGAAAGGAGGTGTGATCGAGGAAGAACCCTTGAGAAGCAGGGAGCTCAGACCCTGGGGGCAGGGGACGGTGGCCACATGTGGCCGGGAGTGGGCAGTTAGTTGTGGAGTCTGGGAAGGACAGTCAGAAAATCTGAACATTCAAGAGGGTGCCCTGAGAATCTGCATGGGGATGGGAAAGAGAGGGAGACAGGTGGCCACAGAGCACAGCAGTGGATGGAGAGCCCACAGGAAGCCCAGATGCCCGGGAGGTCCACGGGGGCTGTCCCCTCCCGGTCCCCAGCCCCACCTGTGGGGGGTGTCCCACTCTGGGCTCCTGACACCCAGGTGCCGGTTGCCAGCTGGTACTCCAGCAGCTGCTGGTTGAAGCCATTTTCCGGGGAGTAACCGCCCACCAGGAGCAGAGACAGGCCTCGGCGGGCAGTAAGGGTGTGACCAGCAACGGCTGGCAGCTCCACGGTCTGGGGGGCCTGAGGGATGGAGGGGCAAGGTCACCGATGGGGCTAGAGGTCAGGGGTCACCTTGTGGGTAGAAGCGAGCCTCAGCCCCCCACAGTCCTCCCTGAAGTACTAAGGAGGGAATGACCCCCCCAGGGCCAGTCGGACCAGCCTGGGTCCTGGCAGAGGCACAGTGGGCCCCTTGGCATTTCCACCTGCTCAAGCCTGGTGTGGCTTTGGGAAGCCCTTGCTCCCCTGGCCTCTCTCTGCTGCTGAGTGAAGCTGTGTCCCAGCCCAGGACTGGCTCAGGACAACAGTGTGACCCAGGATGGCCGAGGAAATTCAAGTTTGGGGCTTCTGTTTCCTCTGGGGATGGAGCTGGCAGGAGCTACCACAGCTGTCTCTGTCAGGGCCCAGTGTGAGGGCTGGGGAGTGGGCTGGGGAGAGATGCTCACCTTCTCCTGCCGCCATTGCAGGGTGGTGAGGTTGAGGACCCAGAAATCACGGGTGACGCCTCCAGCGGTAAGTCCCCCCAGCAGATACATGGCACCACGGCCAGCGGGCACATATGCGGCTGCATGGAAGGAGCGGGGCGATGGGCCTGGGCCCCCGTCCTCGGCTCCCGCCAGCATCTGTGTCCACCGCCGCTCACTCACTGAGTACCTGGGGCCAGGGTGCAAAAAAGCAGCCTCATTACAGTCATCCCAGCATCCTTCAAGGTGACCCTGCCTGACAGATGTCCCCGCATCCCCTGGGGTGACCTTCCTATGACAGTCCTCTTGCCATTCCCTGGAGTAGCACCACCCAAATAAGTACCCTGGTCCCCAAGTGTCCCCGGGTGAGCTTCCTGTGACAAGTGTCCCAGCATCCTTTGGGCTGTCCTTTACCTTAGAGGCTTTTCTGCACTCCTCTGAGGTGACTCTTAGCATCCCGAGGTGACCTTCTCTTATTTGCGAATCCCACCTGCCCAGGGCAGTCCTCACCTGTACAGGTTTCCCAGCAGCCCCTGGGGCAGGCCCAGGCCCCCAAACATCCACAAGGTGGCATCGGGTCCATCCACCATGGTGTGGCCCAGGCGGTGCAGGAAGCGGCTGGCAGTGTCCTAGGGGTGGGTGCGGACATTGGGGATCAGGCTAGGGTCAGGACAAAGTGCCAGGCCTGGGTGTAGGGGTGGTCCCAGGAATGGAGGTGGGAGAACGACCTGGGAGCAACCATCCCTAGACAGCGGGTACCCACAACTCACGGCTGAGAGGCGGCTGTCCATGAGGGTCTCCCAGACCAGCTGCCCGCCATCCAGCTTGGTGGCGCAGTCGGGGCCCCCGAAGCCCTCGGCACAGATGCACACACCCAGGCTCTGGGGGATGACAAGGGACTCAGGGGAGCCCTGATCACCAGCCCTGTCCCACCAGACTTGCCCTCTCCCACCTGTACCTGGTTACAAGTTCCTGCCCCAGTGTGGGCATTGCAGTTCTCAGGACACAGAGCCATGCGGCAGTGTGGGCCAGCCCAGCCCTGAGGACATCGGCAGAGCCCCGCACCTGCAGCACCGTCCTGGGGCACGCATTCCTGGGGGACGGGACAGCTCCCGGGGCCCCCTGACCCACAGCGGGCAGAGCCCACCGAAGCATTGAAGCCCCAGGATGAGGAGCCATTGGCCTCCCAGTGCAGCACGAGCAGCCCTGTGAAGAGAGAGGCCAGAGGCTGGTAGCAAAGTCACGTTCCTGGCCCCTTCCACCCCCAGATGCTAAGAAAACCCAGTGTGACTGGGCAGGGAAGGAAGGCACCATATTATTCATAATCATCGCCAGGATGAACCATTCTGCACCCCCTCCCTCAGCCAACCCATCAAGATTGATCTTCAAGCCTAAATCTCTCACCGACTGCTAGCTACCTCCTGAGCTGCTATCCAAGCCCAAGTCCTGTCCCACCTGGACACCGGCACCCATCCCCTACTGGTCATCCTGGCTGCCTACACTCCCCACTCATGGTGGCCCAGCGATCCTCAAAACGTGAATTGGGCCCTGTAATCAGCAAGCTCCAAACCTTCCACAACTCCTACTGCCCTTACATGAGACTGGATCTCTTTAGAAAAGATACTGATTTGGGGGTAGGTGTGACAGGAATTACTTGATATGTTAGTATATATAAAATATGCCTCAATAAAGTTATATATATATATATGCCGGGCGCAGCAGCTTATGTCTGTAATCCCAGCATTTTGGGAGGCCAAGGTGGGCGAATCACTTGAGGTCAGGAGTTCAAGACCAGACTGGCCAACATGGTGAAACCCTGTCTCTACTAAAAATACAAAAATTAGCCAGGCATGGTGGCATGCGCCTGTAATCCCAGCTACTCGGGAGGCTGAGGCAGGAGAATCGCTGGAGCCCAGGAGGCAGAAGTTGCAGTGAGCTGAGATTGCGCTACTACACTCCTGCCTAGCTGGAAAGAGTGAGTGGTGTGGGATCCTCACACCAACCACATTCTATATGCCCCAGAGACATGTCTCATTCAGCCCTTCTCTCTGCAGACGTAGCTCAGCCGGCGCAATCCTATTTTCCTCTCAACTAAGGACACTGAGGTCCAGAGATGGTGAGGGACTACATCACCCCATAAGCAGCGGCAGAGCTGGGTCCTGAGCCCACTTCAGGTGGTGAGTTCAGGGGCAAGGGATACATAGCCCAGGACTAAGAGGTCCCACTTCCCCTAGCCCCCGTACCAGACAGGGCCTGAACAGTGAGGGGCCTGTCCCGTCGCTGGCCGCAGAAGGCAGCTATGAGGCTGCGGTCCGACTGGACAACACCAGTGTCCAGGAAGCGTGGGAATCCATCAAACGCCAGGACGTAGCTCAGCTAGAGGGGTGCAGAATCGAGGATTAGGAGACAATGAGGATGAGAACGACACCTGGGGTCTGGGAGGAGGAGGGGTTCAAGAGGGGAGGGCAATCTGAGACTGGGAAATGGGCTGTTTGAACATCCAGGGGAGACTGTCAAACTATGGCATAAGGCCACCACTCCCCTTCCTGTGTCCAAAGTAGACACGGCTCATCTATCAGGCACTCTTGCATTGAGCCCCTTTCTCAACATGCAGCTCCTGGCAGTCAGTACCAATCAATCAGAGTTGGTGTACAAGGTGTAACAATTTACCATTCCTGCTCTAGGAATGGGGAGATTGAGAATCTGGAGAATTGGAGATGGGAGCTGAGGAAATAGGAAGCTATCTGGGAAATGGGGGGGTCTGTCTGTGGGCCTAGGAACAAAGTGCTGGGGATCTGAGGAGGAGTTTGGGTTTTGAAGGATTAAAAAAACAAAAAAAAAAAAACAGCAATACTAGGGTCAGGGTCTGAGGATGCAGGCTGGGTCAGGGGACACGGTTCTGGCTCATGCGCCTGAACCCTCGTTTCCTCAGTGCTCACCGTGCAGGGGGTGCTGCTGTCGGGGGAGAAGGTGAGGGTGAGTGGGGGACAGAGGGTCCCGGGAGCACAGGGCTGTAGCTCCTCAGTGGCCGAGACAACCCACACACAGTAGGACAGGCCAGGCCCGGCTCTTGCAGCCCCGCCACCTGGAGGCAGCAGCCCCCCGACCCGGCGTGAGCCCAGTGCCACTGAGGACACGTTGGTGAGGAGGGCGCGACCCCCACACTCCCGAAAGCAGGAACCACCGGCCCTGGGGAGATGGAGAAGAGCCAGTGTCAGACCAGTCCTGACCCTCCCCACTGTGTCCCCAAGCACACCCTACCCAGCCCTGGCTGGCCCGTTGGCTCACCGGGGATCCCCATAATAGCCTGGGGAGCAGAGCTGGCAGTGGGCACCCTCGGTGTGGTCCTGGCAGAAGCAGAGCCCACTGAGGTTGTCGCAGTGGCCACGGCGTGGGTCCCCGTGCCCGTTGCACTGGCAGGGCCGGCAGCCCCTAGAGCCTGTGGCGTTGCCGAAGCTGCCGGGCCGGCATCGTTCGCAGTGCTCCCCCCATGTCCAGTCTGTGGAGGCCCCAGCAGGTGGGACAGAGTCAAGTCAAGGGTGGAAACAGGCCCAGGCCTACTGGCTCAGCTAAACCCTGACCCCACCCAGCCGCTTCAAAGGTGAGAAACCAAGGCCCAGATCAGGGGAAACAGCAAGTCCCAAGAGGGGGAACTGAAGCCCAACCAGAGTGACGGGTGGCACTGAAACCTGTTTGAGTCAGGAACAGGAATGGGGCAGGGGACCTAGAGCTGCATGAGAGGACACTGAGGCCCCCTCCAAGAAGAGCAAACTGGAGCCCCAAGAAGGGAGGAGGCTCCCTGGGTCCAGGCTGGGCCCAGGACAAGGGCTGCTTACCCTGGCACTCGTCGCAGAAGCCAGGGCCCCGCTTGCGGCAGTGGCTGTGGAAGCTGCAGCCACAGTCCCGGGAGCAGCGGGGGGCTGGCGGACCCGGGGCGGGTGTGGGAGGGGGCAGGTCTGATGTCCAGCCTAGGTCACACACGCAGGTAAAGTCCGGGGGGCCACTGCACACACCATGGCCACAGTCCTCCAAGCACCTGAGGGGCCGTGTTGGGGGTGGGGAAAGCGCCAGGCAGGCCCAGAGCCCCTAAAGCACCCCATCATCTCCACCCACCATGACACCATCAAAGCCACTGGCTGTTTCCATGGTTTTGGGCTATGTGGGTGACCCTGTCTCCAAGGTAACTCCATGCATCACCAAGCCTGTCTCTATAGCAACCACATAGCACCACTGTGAAAACCTCTTTCAACTAGGTCCTCCTCCGCCTCCATGGCAACGCTGAAGACTATGGCCCACAGCCTATGGGTGCCCCATTTCCATGGTAACCAGGGTTACACTGGGGACCCTGTCACTCTAATAAGGACCTAGTGTGCAAGGTAAAAACCCCTGGCTAACTGGGGATGCTGGTTCCACAGGAGGGGACCCAGCGCCATGATGGCTTCCTCCCTCCACCTCCATGTGCCCCAGCCTGGGGCAACATCTCCATAGCAACCCCCGCCTCACTCACGTGCGGTTGCAGTGTGAGATGCCATCACCCTGGTAGCCCCGCTGGCAGTGACACTCGTAGCTGAGGGGCGTGTTCAGGCAGGTCGCCCGCGGGTGGCACCGGGCCAGGCCCAGGCGACACTCATCCACGTCAGGACAGCGGGCGTATGCCCAGCGGGCAGGGAGGGCCACGGGAAGCCCCAGGCCCTCCCCCACCCACAGGGAGCAGTTACCCCCACCGAGGGGCCCTGAGAAGTCCCCCTGTAGGCACCTGCAGGGTGGGAGAGTGAAGAAGCGGGGGACAACATAGAAACAGGAGCCATACATAGAAACAATGACAGGGAGAGAGGAGGCCAATTGGAAGGAGAGGGATGCAAATACAAATTTGGAAAGAGAGACAGAGAAACCAGGAGAAGTCGCAGACAAAAACAATTTTGGAAGACAGAAGAGAGACATAGACAGAGATGCAGTGAAAGGGAGAGCGGAGAGACAGAAACAGACAAGGAGAAAGAAAACGAATCGCAGAGAGCCGGAAAAGGAGGAAAAATGGAGAAAAAAGAGCGGGAGGGTAAAATAAACAACAGAAAAACAGTACGGAAAAGGGAAGGTGGCCATGGGATGGGCAAGAGGGCAGAGAAGCAAAGAGGCCATTAGAATGACCGGTCATGGAGGAAGGACACAGCCGGGCACCCTGCCCACCCACCTGCCCGGGCTCACCGTCCCAGTGTGGGGTTGTCCTCATTGCCACACCAGCCACACTCGTGGCTCTGCAGACACTCATGGCAGGTCAGGAAGCCATCGCAGCTCCGGCACCGTGGCTCCGAGTGTACACTGCAGGATGGCAGGGGTGGGGGTCAGAGCCCCAGCCCCTTGCCGGTGGGGAATCTTCCTCTGTTAGCCCTGCCCCAGGGACCATACCTGTCGTCCCAGCCTCGACAGCCCCCGTGTGGGTACCGGGCCAAGTAGGCAGCAAACAGGAAGCAGGTGTGGGTGGACTGGCACCAGGCGCACTGGCTAGAGTTGGCCAGGCAGTCCTCACAGGTCAGTCGCCTGGGGTGGGGAGCAGGGGGCCAGGTCACTCCACAGCCAGCACACATCCCCAGGCACATCCACCCACCCACTCCCTGCACCCAGCCTGACTCACTGGCTGCAGAGCGGGGGACACTCCTCTGGACTCTTCAGGGCACCCCGACCCCGGCCCCGCCGGCTGCATGCCGCGTCCCCTTTGCGGCTGGTGCTCTGATGCCACTCACAGAAGGGGTCCTGGGGGTCAGTTGGGCAGAGGAGTCAGAACCCCACTCAGCCCTTTCCTTTGGACTCCCAGTGCCCATCCCACCCCCTGCCCCACCCTGCAGACTGTCCCTGTAAGGCCATCTCCCTCCCCAGCTGCCTGCGTCTCTGGACCCCTCCCTTCGACCACAGACACCCATGGGTCGGCCCGCCCAGCACCCACTGTCTCCTTTAGGCAATAGCACCCCTTCTGTGTGGTCCGGGTGGGGCTTATTCAATCCTCAGGATCCAGAGGTGGGCAAGGGGCCACATTCCCTCCCCACAACTCCAGTCATTGGCCCAGGAGCCTGTACAAGGCCCAACCAGAGCCACAGAAGTGCAATTCTGGGACTTCTGTTGAGCTCCTGGATGGTGGTGGGGTGGGGGGAGAGAAATAGGAAGCCTCACTCTGTTTGAGACAGAGCAGGGACTTAGAGCCTGGACCCTTAACGGCTCCCTTGCCACTCACAAGGAAACAAACCCTCCCAGGGAACAAGAGGAAGCAGGGTGTCGAGGGCTGCCTGACATCACTTGGAGGTGGCAGGCCTGAAGGCCTACTCCTGGGCTCCAGTGCCTATGCTGAGAAACTCCCCGCTAGTGGAAAAGGATGGAGTTGCATTCTCTGGCCCCTACAACAGGGAGAGTCCTGACTCCCCAGGTGCCTCTCTCTACAGCTCCATCTCACCCTCCCCACCAGGCTCTGCAGATCAAGGCCAAAAGCCCTTGCTGTTTCCCCCACACCCCCCACCAGGGGTTCCCTTGACTGCCCATTGCCTGCTGTGGCTCCCTCCACCTTGTGACCTCCCCTGGTGGCCCCACAGGCACCTGGGTGCAGGCGTGGCAGTCCCGATGCTCCTCGCAGAGTGGGCAGAGGGTAGGCACCAGCACCAGCAGGGACCCACCAGCCCCGTCATCCCCGCAATGGGCTCCGCCCTGGCGCAGGTGGCAGGTGGCACTGGTCAGGCACCAGCCACAGCCCTGGTCTGCCAAGCAGCCCAGGCAGGAAGAATAGGAGGTGCAGGACGACGAGCGGTAGGGCTCCAGGAAGAAGAAGGAGATCTCCTGGGGAAGGGGTCACAGGAAGGCAGCAGTCAAGGTCTGGGGCAGGGGTCAGAGTCTGGCGCTAACTGAAAGTAAGGGTTTGGAGCCCAGGTTGAGAACTCAGGCACATAGGAAGTCAGGATTTAGGAAATCAGTAAAGAGGTCCAAGGTCTGGAGGAATCTGGAGATTATTATAGGTCAAAGTATGGAGGGCAGAGGTCAGGGTCAGCAGGGTCAAGGGTGAGGAGTCAGAAGATGGGGGTCAAAATATGGGATCAGGTTAGGGTCTATAGGCAGAGGTCAGGGGCCACAGGGTTCAAGAGGAGGTCCAGAGTTCAGAGGCCAAGAGTTAAGGAGTCCGAGGCCAGAATCTAGGGATTTCAGAGTTTGTGGCCTGGGGTTCAGAAAGCCCAGGTGATCTGAGGCTGGGGCCTGCGGCTAGGGTTGGAGGTAGGTCCTGGGTACTCACGCTGCCTCCTGGCACACCAGTCCGATCCCACAGCAGAGTTAGCTCGCTGTGCCCAGGGCCTGCCGAGCCATTGAGCTGGCCCTGGATCTCTACTGCATACTTGTGGTCCCGCCCAGGCAGAGGGAAGAGGCGAGCAGACCCAGGGCGCTGCAGCCGCCGCGTCTCCTTCTCCTGATGAGCCACCCAGCGCCCCACCTCCTCCTGGGGTAGGTGTGAGTGATAGGCAGGGGCCTCAGAACCCTTCCCATTCCTTCCTCAGACCCCTGATACCTCCAAACCCACCCTGTACCCCACCCCCTCCTAAGAAGAGGGCCTCAGAGCTCCTTAGATCCTGAGAACCTCAGAGGTGAGACCCCCAGGGACCCTCCTCCTCAGGGGCTTTTTTTTTTTTTTTTTTCTTGAGACAGGGTCTCATTCCATCACTCAGGCTGAAGTGCAGTGATGCGATCATGGCTCACTGCAGCCTCAACTTCCCAGGTTCAAGTGATCCTCCCACCTCAGCCTCCCAAATAGCTGGGACTACAGGTGCATGCTACCATGGCCAGCTAATTTTTGTATTTTTTGGAGAGATGATGTCTCGCCATGTTTCCCAGGCTAGTCCCAAACTTCTGGGTTCAGGCAATCCACCTGCCCCTACCTCCCAAAGGGCTGGGATTACAGGTGTACACCTCCATGCCCAGCCTTCAGGGGCCTTTCAAGTCTGACTCAGACCTTCCTCACCTGCTTCAAAGTTTCCCTCAAATTCTGCTCACAATTGAAAACCTCAGCACCCTCCCTCCTCTACGAAAGATCCATTCCCAGCCAGGCGCAGTGGCTTACGCCTGTAATCCCAGCACTTTGGGAGGCCAAGGTGGCGGATCATCTGAGGTCAGGAGTTCCAAACCAGCCTGGCCAACATGGTGAAAACCCATCTTTACTTAAAATGCAAAAAAATTAGCCAGGAGTGCTGATGCACATCTGTAATCCCAGCTACGTGGGAGGCTGAGGCAGAAGAATTGCTTGAACCTGGGAGGTGAAGGTAGCAGTGAGCCGAGATCGCGCCACTGCACTCCAGCCTGGACAACAGAGTGAGACTCTGTCTTACACACACACAAAAAATCCATCTCCTGCCTCTAATTTCTCCCCAGCCCTTCCCCAGAACCTTCAAATCACCACAGATGCTCTATACCACACCCCTAACTCCCTATTTACCATAAACAACCCCCTGAATGTCCCAGGCGGCCTCACCATGTTCTCCGTGTCAGGGCCACGGGCCATCCGGGCCAGGACGTGTAGGCGCTGGGCCCGCGTCCACACGGCCACGTCCTCAGCCCCTGGTCCACCTGGCCCTCCAGGCAGCATTGGGTAGATGAAGCCACGGTAGACCAGGGACACATCTGTCTCTGCGCTGGGTGTTAGGGTGATGGTCGTGCTGCGGACAATTGAGACCTGTGCCACCAGGGATGGGTGTATGTGTGAGTCCCTTTCTGGACTCACAGGCCACATCAGAGCCAGAAAAGACTGGTCAACCCAACCTTCTTCCCCATTTTACCAAATGAGAGACTGAGGCAGAGGGACAGGGGTTAGGTGGCTTGTCAAAGGTCACTCTGGGAAAAGAGGCAAGACCTAAATTCAGACAATAGACGACAGGGTCCCAGAGCCCACCTTTACCCCTGGCCTCTAGCCATTTCCATCTCACATTAAAACTCCAGGACTGGACACTTCAGTGTCTTCTTATCCAACTCCTCACCTTTCCAGCTAAGCACTTCAAAGCCCAGATCTAATATTCAAAGTGGCAGACAAAGTGCAAGATTTATTTTCCTGGTGTGTGATTTTGTAATAGCAGAAGAGTGGAACAGTCCAAGTGTTCACCAGTGGGAGGCTATTTAAATAAACTACAAATGTAAATGGAATATTATACAACTTAAAAAAAAAAAGAAGAATGAAGGCTGGGCACGGCGGGCACTTTGGGAGGCCGAGGTGGGCAGATCACTTGAGGTCAGGAGTTCAAGACCAGCCTGACCAACATGGTGAAACCCCATCTCTACTAAATACAAAAAATTAGCCGGGAGTGGTAGCGTGCACTTGTAATCCCAGCTACTTGGGAGCCTGAGGCAGGAGAATCGTTCAAACCCGGGAGGCAGAGGTTGCACTGAGCCGAGATTGCGCCATTGCACTCCAGCCTGTGCAACAAGAGCAAAACTCCGTCTCAAAACAAACAAAAAAAATACAAAAAACAGCCAGGCATGGTGGTGCATGTTTGTAATCCCAGCTACTTGGGAGGCTAAGGTGGGAAGATCACTTAAGCCCGGGAGGCAGGGTTGCAGTGAGCTGAAATCGCTTGCCACTGCACTCCAGCCTGGGCGATAGAGAGAGACTCCATCTCAAAAAAAAAAAAAAAAAAAGAATGAGAGTGTTTCTTAAGTTCTGTTATGGGAAGCTTGCCAGGAAGAAAAAAAGGAAGCAGTCGTATAATGTTCATAGTATATTAGTTTAGTGAGAAAGAAAAATGATATGATGTCATGCTTACTTGCATCTGAATAGGTAAATTCTGGAATAAGATCAAAGAAACCCAAATGGATCTTCCAGGGAGGTATGGTGGCCTTAAGTTGCAGCCATGCTGGAGCTAGATAATTTTGGACCACTTAAGGGGTAGGGAGTGGGGTAAATGAGAGAGACTGTCCATTTAGTGACTTTTTTTTCTTTTTCTTTTTCTTTTTTTTTTTTTTTTTTTTTGAGACAGAGTCTCTCTCTGTCACCCAGGCTGGAGTGCAGTGACATGATCTCAGCTGACTGCAAGCTCCACCTCTCGGGTTCACGCCATTCTCCTGCTTCAGACTCCTGAGTAGCTGGGACTACAGGTGCTCACCACCACACCCAGCTAATTTTTTTGTATTTTTATTAGAGACAGGGCTTCACTGTGTTAGCCAGGACGGTCTCGCTCTCCTGACCTTGTAATCCGCCTGCCTTGGCCTCACAAAGTGCTGGGATTACCGGCGTGAGCCACCGTGCCCAGCCTTTTATTTATTTATTTATTTTTAATTAAAATGGAGTCTCACTCTGTTGCCCAGGCTGCAATGCAGTGGCGTGATCTTGGGTCACTGTAACCTCTGCCTCCCAGGCTCAAGAGATACTCCTCCCTCAGCCTCCCAGGTAGCTGGGACTACAGGCACGCATCACCATGAGCAGCTAATTTTTGTATTTTTAGTAGAGATGGGATTTCGTAATGTTGGCCAGGCTGATCTCAAACTCCTGACCTCAAGTGATCCTCCCACCTTAGCCTCCCAAAGTGCTGGGATTACAGGCACCCGACATCACGCCCGGCTAATTTTTGTAGTTTTAGTAGAGACAGGGTTTCACCATGTTGGCCAGGCTGGTCTCAAACTCCTGACCTCAAGAGATCCGCCCACCTCGGCCGGAATTACAGGCGTGAGCCACCGTGCCCAGCCCCAATGACTTTTGATGTCACTGTGATTTTTGAACCATGTGAATATATGAGCTATTTTTAAAATCAATAAAGAGGCCGGGCATGGTGGCTCATGCCTGTAATCCCAGCACTTTGGGAGGCTGAGGCAGGCAGATCATGAGGTCAGGAGATCGAGACCATGCTGGCTAACACAGTGAAACCCCATCTCTACTAAAAATACAAAAAATTAGCCGAGTGTGGTGGCAAGTGCCTGTAGTTCCAGCTACTCAGCAGGCTGAGGCAGGAGAATCACTTGAACCCGGGAGCTGCAGGTTGCAGTGAGCCAAGATCGTGCCACTGCACTCCAGCCTGGGCGACAGAGAGAGAGACTCTGTCTCAACAACAACAACAAAAAATCAATAAAGAGGTACTGTGGAAAACAGTTTGGACATTCCTCAATAAGATGAATATGGAATTAACATATAACCCAGCAATTCTGCTCCTAGGTATACAGCCACAAGAATTGAAAACAGATGTTCAAACAAAAACGTGTACACAAGTGCTCATACCAGCATTATTCACAATAGTCAAAAGATGGAAACAGCCCAAACGTCCATCAGCTGATGAATGGATAAACAAAATGTGGTCCATCTATACAATGGAATATTACTCAACCATAAAAAGGAATAGAGTTCCTTTCCAAATGAAGTTATAAAATGAATGAGCCTTGAAAACATTACGCTGAGTGAAAGAAGCCAGACACAAAAGGCCACATAGTACAGGCCTCCATGTACATGAAATGTCCAGAACTGGCAAATCCAGAGATGGAAAACAGATTAGTAGCTGCCAGGGACCGGGGGGAAGAGTGGAATAGAGAGTGACTACTTAGTGAGTCCAGGGTTGTCCTCTGGGGTGATGAAAATGTTCTGTAACAAGATAGTGGTGATGATTGCACAATATTGTAAATGTGCTAAATGTCACTGATGAAAAATTTTATGTGTATTTTACCACAATGTAAAAATTCTTTTTAAAATCTATAAGGAGGCCAGGCACAGCGGCTCATGCCTGTAATCCCAGAGTTTTGGGAGGCCAAGGCAGGCGGATCATTTAAAGTCAAGAGCTCAAGACCAGCCTGACCAACATGGTGAAACTTCGTCTTCTACTAAAATACAAAAATTAGCTGGGCGCAGTGGCGGGCATCTGTAATCTCGGCTACTCAGGAGGCTGAGGCAGGAGAATCACTTGAACCCAGGAGGCAGAGGTTGCAGTGAGCTGAGACTGCGCCACTGCACTTCAGCCTGGGTGACAGAGCAAGACTCCCTCTCAAAAAAAATAAAAAATAAAGTCCATAAGGAAAATAAGACCCTTGAATGTAAAGAGTTTTGGAGTAAACATAAGAGTGATAAAGATGCATTTGAGAAAAAACAAACCCTAGGATCAGGATCATCAACACCCCACCCAGGGCCACGCCTCCTACCCACCTTGTCAGGCTGGGAGGTATTGGGCGGCTGCTGAAAGGTGAGCAAGTGCAGGCCAGGCAGGAAGCTCTGGGTGACGCAGGCCTCCAGGGACGTGACGAAGACAGGCGCAGGCCCCCACCAGCCCACAGTGCCTGAGATCTGCTCCCCTCGGCAGCGGGCCTGCTCTGAGAAGACAGGGGGTGGGGGCCGGTGGGTCAGTGTGGAGTGCTCTGGCCCCCTCCTGCCGGCCCACTGCTGCGGACACTCACCAGGCCTAGGGAGGCAGCTCTCATTGTGCACGCACCAGCCCAGGGTGCCAGGTCCCCGTGGAGGGGCTGTGGGGCTGCTGAAGGCCAGGCAGGCCTGGCAGTCACCCAGGAGGCGGCCCAGGCCCAGGCAGCTGGCGGCTGGACACTGCGAGGAGGAGAGGGGAAAGGGCTCACTGTCAACTGGAGCTCAAGAGATCTGGGAAGGAAGGGCTGTGGATACAGGGTCCTGCGATGGAAAGGGCGAAAAAACTGAAGAACGGGGAGTTGACTTGGAATGTGGGAGATCCAGAGGACGGGGGATGCGGGGATGGGGTCACGGGCTCAAAAGGGTCGGGCTGGGTGGGATAGGCAAAGGTTCAGGGCTCCGCAGTCAGGAATCAGGAAGGAGGATCTCCGGCATGAAAACAAGTCTCCCAGTTGAGGGAAAGTTCTTGTCCATCTGGTTAGGCAGAGGGAGACACTGAGGGCAGGTCTCTATGCTAGGGAACAGAGGGTCTAGGGCTGTCACTCACAGCCCCCAAGGGGGTCCCAGGAGGGGGTGCAGCTTGGCAGGCTCCTTGGCACCAACTGCATTCCGGGTCCCGGGAGCAGACGCTGTGGTCTGTGTACATGGAGCAGTAGTCCAAGTGGTACTGCAGGGAGGCAAGGGGACAGAGGGGGAGGCAAGGGGACGGAGGAGGAGGCCTCTCAGACCTGGGCCGGCCTCCCAAGTCCCCGCTTGCTTTAGCTATCCCAGAGGACCCTGAGTGCTCAGCATGCCCATCCATTCCTCCCCCAGGCCCAGGGACCTCTAGCTCCTCTTTCCTCTGCCCCAGGGACCTCCTTCCCTTCTCTCATGGTCCTAGGGATCCCCACTCCTTCTCCCAGGGATCCCCTCCTGCCTTTCCCCTCACCTGTGGAAACCCTGCTACCTCCTCCCCCCAGCCACCCTTTCCCTGTCACCCCAGTGCTCACGTCAGGGGCAGGTGCCTGGAACACAAAGGGGGGCACCTTGTACGCCATCAAGTCCCCACGGGGCCGGCCGCTGTACCCCCCAGCCACCAACAGGACGCTGCCACCAAGCACCGCAGCTACATGTGAGTACCGACCACTGGGAGGCGCTGCTCGGCCTAGGGGAATAGAGACCCCAATGACATTATTAGACCCCCAGCCCCTCCACCACCTCCATGGCTCCTGATTCTCCTGGGCCACAGCCCAGCCTTCTATTCCGGTGGCTGCTTCAACCTCACCTGCCCAAGGACACTCTCCCAGCCCACCTGGCCCTGAACAAGCTGAGCTCCCTCGCCCCTACCCAAATCATCTTTCTGATCTTTAGGGTCAGAAAGACTTGGGTTCAAATCCTGCATCTACCACTTACTTGGGTTCAAATCGTGGATCAACTACTGACTAGCTGTGTGACCCTGGACAGGAGACTGAACTTCTCTGAGTCTTGGTTTCCTCCTCTATAAAAAGAACCATCATCTCGTCCTCAGGGAGCTGGGAGGACTGAAGAATCTGCTGAGCCCCCAGTAGGCTGCCTCAGTCTCCCATTTTTGTCTGTCTAGCACCAGCCTCTCTTCTGGTGATAGCGCCTGATTTTCCTCTGGAAAACCAACCTTTCCCTTTCCCAATCTGTGAGACTTAGGTGGAGTTGTCCCTGGTTCTGGCAGAAGTGAGGCCTTAGCCCAGGCCCATCAGTCTCAGTGACTGGCTCAGGGAGGGGTACAGGGCCTGATTCTCAATTCTTGGGGCAAAGACACTCCCTTCTTTCTGGGCATTTTATGGCAGAAGATAATCCACGAGCTGCCTGTGACCATCTACACAAGGCAAGAGACTGAAGTGAACCCAGCTGAAAAATTGAGTGAGAAATGGCTGATGCCATTTTGTGAGCACCTAGATCCAGCCCAGCCTGAAGACAGCCCCTACAGTTTTCACTCAAGTGAGCCAGGAAATTCCTTTTTTTTTTTTTTGAGACAGAGTCTCGCTTTGTCACCCAGGCTGCAGTGCCGTGCCACGATCTCAGCTCACTGCAAGCTCTGTCTCCCGGGTTCACACCATTCTCCTGCCTCAGCCTCCCAAGTAGCTGAGACTACAGGCGCCCGCCACCAAGCCCGGCTAATTTTTTGTGTTTTAGTAAAAACGGGGTTTTACTGTGTTAGCCAGGACAGTCTCGATCTCCTGACCTCGTGATCCACTCGCCTCGGCCTCCCAAAGTGCTGGGATTACAGGCATGAGCCACCGTGCCCAGCCAGAAATTCTCCTTTTTGCTTAAGCCAGCTGGGTTGGGTTTCTGTCAGTTACAGCCAAGAATCCTGACTGACAGGTAAGTGGTCAGTGAATGGTGACTTCCCTACCCTCTTACTGACCTGCGTGCACTGTAAACGTGTGGGACTTGGCCCAGGTAATCACAAACTGCGAAGCAGGAAGAGGCCTCCAGAAACATCACACTCCTGACTCCTGCCCAGTGAAGGGGACCAAGGGATAGGCAGACGAGACCTAGAATGAGGGCCTCAGACACCAGGCCTGGACTTTATTCCTGATGGTCACACAGGGTTCCTCTGGGGCCTTTCCTCCTTCCCATCCCTTAAGTGCTAAGGTTCCTTCCTTACGCTTGTCCTCTCCTCTCTCTCCTTTTCAGGGAGGAGGAGTGAACAGATGCGACTCTGGGAAGCCCACACGTCCCCGAAGTGATACGCCCAACTTGCAGGTATAAGCATCTTCTGAAGAGAGGGCCTGTGGCTTTCATCCGATTTCAAAGCAGTGTCTGATTTAATGAGAGTGAAAGGTTTCTCCATATCTCCTCCCTGGTGACCCCTCTGGCCCTGAGACAGGACCCTAACTGCTATAAGAAAGACAATATGTCTGGGCGTGGTAGTTCACGTCTATAATCACAGCACGTTGGGAGGCTGGATCTCACAAGGCTCGCTTGAGGCCAGGAGTTCAACACTAGCCTGGACAACACAGCAAGACCCTATCTCTAAAAAACAAAAATATTTTATTTAATTAGCCAGGCGTGGTATTGTGTGCCTATGGTCACAGCTATTTGGGAGGCTGAGATGGAAGGATGACTTGAGCCTAGGAGCTCAAGACCACTCTGGGCAACATAGGGAGGCCTCATCTCTACAAAAAATTTTAAAAAATCTGTTTTTATGTGTGTTTTTTTTTTTTTTTTTTTTTGGAGATGGAGTATCCCTCTGTTACCCAGGCTGGAGTGCAGTGGCACGATCTTGGCTCACTGCAACCTCCGCCTCCTGGGTTCAAGCGATTCTCCTGCCTCAGCCTCCTGAGTAGCTGTGACCACAGGCATCTACCACCACGCCAGCTAATTTTTGTATTTTTAGTAGAGACAGGGTTTCACCATATTAACCAGGCTGGTCTCGAACTCCTGACCTCACGATTTTCCCGCCTTGGCCTCCCAAAGTGCTGGCATTACAGGAATGAGCCACAGTGCCTGGCCAAAAATTCTGTTTTTAATTAGCTGGGAAGGGTAGCATGGGCCTGTGGTCCCAACCACTTGGGAGGCAGAGGTGGGAGGACTGCTTGAGCCCGGGAGGTCAAGGCTGCAGTGGGCTATGACTGCACCACTGCACTCCAGGTTGGGCAACAGAACAAGACTCTGCCTCTAAAATAGTAACAATAGGCCGGGCGTGGTGGCTCATGCCTGTAATCCCAGAACTTTGGGAGGCCCAGGCAGGCAGATTACTTAAGGTCAGGACTTCAAGACCAGCCTGGCAAACATGGCAAAACTTCAACTCTACCAAAAATACAAAAATTAGCCAGGAGTGGTGGTGCACATCTATAATCCCAGCTACTCAGGAGGCTGAGGCAGGAGAATAGCTTGAACACGGGAGGTGGAGGTTGCAGTGAGTGGAGACTATGCTACCGCACTCCAGCCTGGGTGACAGAGCAAGACTCCATCTCAAGTAAAATAAAACAAAATAGTAACAACAATAATAATAATGCCTGGCCGGGCACGGTGGCTCATGCTTATAATCCTAGCACTTTGGGAGGCCCAGGCGGGCAGATCACAAGGTCAACACAGTGAAACCCCATCTCTACTAAAAAAATACAAAAATTAGGCCAGGCACGGTGGCTCACGCCTGTAATCCCAGCACTTTGGGAGGCCGAGGCAGATGGATCACTTGAGGCCAGGAGTTCGAGACCCACCTGGTCAACATGGCAAACCCCATCTCTACTAAAAATACAAAAATTAGCCGGGTGTGGTGGCACACGCTTCTAGTCCCAGCTACTCAGAAGGCTGAAGCATGAGAATTGCTTGAACCTCGGAGGCAGAGATTGGAGTGAGCCAAGATCACACCACTGCACTTCAGTCTGGGCAACAGAGCAAGACTCTGTCTCAAAAATAAATAATAAAAATTTTAAAAAAGAAAGGAAATGTGTGGAGCACTTCACTGGGCATCATTCTTGAAGGATCATCTCAATTTACTCTTACAGCTATCCAATGGCATTACGTGTTATAATTTTCATTTCACAGATGAGCAAACTGAGGCACAGAGATTAAGTAATAGTTTTTGTTTTTGTTTTTTTGGGGACGGAATCTCACTCTGTTGCCCAGGTGGGAGTGCAGTGGTGCGAACTCAGCTCACTGCAAGCTCTGCCTCCCAGGTTCAAGCAATTCTCCTGCCTCAGTCTCCTGAGTAGCTGGGACTACAGGCGCATGCCACCATGACTAGCTAATTTTTTGTATTTTTAGTAGAGATGGGGTTTTACCATGTTAACCAGGATGGTCTCAAACCCCTGACCTCATGATCTGCCCGCCATGGCGTCCTAAAGTGCTGGGATTACAGGTGTGAGCCACTGCACCCGGCCTTAAGTGATAGTTTTATACAGATTGTTGTTTGGGGATAGCCATGCTGGCTCTGTCACTTATCTACTGTGATCTTGAAAAAGTTACTGCTAAAGATACTATCAACAGAGTAAACAATGTACAGAATGTGAGAAAATATTTGCAAACTATGCATCCAACAAAGATCTAACATCCAGAACCTATAAGGAACTTAAATAAACTAACAAGCAAAAAACAACCCCATTAAAAAGTAGACAAAGGACATGAACAGACATTTTTCAAAAGAAGACATACACGTGGCCAATAAGCATATGAAAAAATGCTCAATATCACTAATCATGAGAGAAATGCAAATCAAAACCACAATGAGATACCATCTCACACCAGTCAGAATGGCTATTATCAAAAAGTCAAAAAATAACACATGCGAGTGAGGTTGCAGATGGGAATGTAAATTAGTTCAGGCATTGTGGAAAGCAGTTTGAAGATTTCTCAAATAACTTAAAACAGAATTACCATTTGACCCAGCAATCCCATTATCGGGTATATACCCCAAGGAATATAAATTGTTCTAACGTGTATGTTCAAAGCAGCACTGTTCACAATAGCAAAGACATGGAATCAACCTAAATGCCCATCAATGATAGACTGGATAAAGAAAATGGAGGCCAGGCGCATTGGCTCACGCCTGTAATCCCAGCAATTTGGGAGGCCGAGGCAGGTGGATCACCTGAGGTCAGGAGTTTGAGACCAGCCTAGCCAACATGGTGAAACCCCGTCTCTACTAAAAATACAAAAATTAGCCGGCTGTGGTGGTAGGCGCCTGTAATCCATCTACTCGGGAGGCTGAGGCAGGAGAATCGCTTGAACCTGGGAGGTGGAGGTTGCAGTGAGCCGAGATCCCGCCACTGCACTCCAGCCTGGGCGACAGAGCGAAACTCCGTCTCAAAAAAAAAAAAAAAAAAAAAAAAAAATACATAGAAAGAAAAAAAAAAAAAGAAAATGTGGTACGTATACATCATAGAATACTATGTGGCTATAAAAAAGAATGAGATCATGTTCTTTGCATCAGCATGGATGGAGCTAGAGGCCCTTATCCTCAGCAGACTAATACAGGAACAGAAAACCAAATACTGCATGTTCTCACAAGTGGGAACAAAACATCGAGTGTACAGGGACACAAAGAAGGGAACAACAGACACTTGAGGGGCCTACCTGAGGGTTGGAGGAGGGAGAGGATCAAAAAACTACCTACTGGGGCTGGGCACAGTGGCTCACGCCTGTAATCGCAGCACTTTGGGAGGCCGAGGTGGGCGGATCACCTGAGGTCAGGAGTTCCAGACCAGCCTTGCCAACATGGCAAAACCTCGTCTCTACTAAAAATACAAAAAGATTAGCCGGGTGTGGTGGCATGCGCCTATACTCCCAGCTACTTAGGAGGCTGAGGCGGGAGGATCACTTGAACCCAGGAGGTGGAAGTTGCAGTGAGCCAAGATTGCACCACTGCATTCCAGCCTGGGCAACACAGTAAGACTCCATCCCCAAAAAAAAAACAAAAAAAAAACCTACCTGTTGGGTACTAGGCTTAATACCTGGGTGATGAAATAATCAGTACACCAAATCCCCATGACACACAATTTACCTATATAATAAACCTGTACTTGTACCACTGAACCTAAATTGAAAGTTAAAAAGGCCAAGCATGGTGGCTCACACATGTGATCCCAGTACTTTGGGAGGCTGACGTGGGAGGATCACTTGAGGTCAGGAGTTTGAGACTGGCCTGGCCAACATGATGAAACACTGTCTCTACTAAAAACACAAAAAAATTAGCCAGGCATGGAGATGCATGCCTATAATCCCAGCTACTCAGGAGACTGAGACAGGAGAATCGCTTGAACCCGGGAGGTGGAGGTCGCAGTGAGCTGAGATCACGCTACTGCACTCTAGCCCGGGCGACGGAGCGAGACTCCCTCTCAAAAAAAAAGAAAAGAGGCCGGGCATGGTGGCTCACGCCTGTAATCCCAGCACTTTGGGAGGCCGAGGCGGGCAGATCATGAGGTCAGGAAATCGAGACCACCCTGGCTAACACGGTGAAACCCCGTCTCTACTAAAAATACAAAAAATTAGCCAGGTGAGGTGGCAGGCGCCTGTAGTCCCAGCGATGCAGGAGGCTGAGGCAGGAGAATGGCGTGAAACCCGGGGGGTGGAGCCTGCAGTGAGCTGAGATCACATCACTGCACTCCAGCCTGGGCAACAGCGAGACTCCGTCTCAAAAAAAAAAAAAAAAAAAGAAAAGAAAAGAAAGTTAAAAAGAAGGAAAAGTTGCTGCCTCTTAGGCATTTCCCTGGGGCAGCTGGAAACTGGCAAAACCTGGATTGGAACCCACATTGGATACTGCGGTAAGGGCCTCCCATCTCCATGGTGACGATGCCCTAGTCCCATCTCCATCCCAGGCTTGCCTCCTAAGGCTGGCACCAACTGGCCTGGATGTCAGGCTCACCCTTACGGACTGAGGTGGCTTGAGCCCAGAATCACTATGGAGAGAGGTGGGACCCTCAGGAGCCCCTAGGGAAGAACAGGGACCACTCACCCTCAGGGGTTCCTGGCGGGGCAAGCTCAGCTCCTGACACCCATTGATGGCAGCCAAGGTGGTAGAAGAAGATGCCATCTTCGTAGCACTTTTCCTCCTGGTAATGGGTGTGCACATTGCCCCCTGGGAATGGAGGAAAGGGGCATAGCTGGCAAGCCTAGGGGAGGTGGGGGGACTCCCCTGCAGGGAGCCTCAGCTCAGGGTTGGCTCAGGCCCTCAGCAGGCAGGCAGGCAGGATTGGGGAGCCTCCTCACCATAGACCACCATGTAATTGCCCAGAACACTGGCTGTGTGGAAGGCTCGCTCCCTTGGGCCCTGAAGCCCATCCCGCCCCTTCAGCGTCGTCCACACATGCCGATCCACGTGGAAAAGCTCAGTGGAGTTCACTCGCACAGAGAACCTACCGAAGGAGAAGCAGGGCAGGGGCTCAGGGCAGGAAGCGTCTCTCTCCCTCCTCCAGGCTCTTAGGAGCCATGTGATCACCCAGGGATGAGACTGGCCATGACTGACTCTATGTCCCCTCCAAACTAGAAGTTCCCTGTGGGCAGGACCCTGAGTCATCTCTGAGTTACCTGCATAAGCTAGCAAGGGCTGGACACCAAGCAGGGCTCTGTTGAATAGATACATGGGTGGGAGTGTGTGGAAGGCAATTCACCAAGAGATTGAATAAAACATCAGAGAATGTGTGAGTGGGTGAATGAATGAATGAGTGAACGAAGGAATAAGTAAATACATGAAGGAAGGAGTGACTGAGAGACCACAGGAGTCCGACAGTGGGCAAAGACCTCTAAAGACTAAAGGCCTATGGTGTTGAGCTGGGCCTGGCCTGTGGAGCATGGGTTATGGGACAGGTCACTTACCGGGCAGTGGAGGGCCGGTGTCCACCATGGACCAGCAGGGCACGGGAGGGGGCATGGAACACCATGGAGTGGCCAGTGGCAGCAGGGGGCCGTCCGCCTGCCGGAATCACCTGCTCCCAATAGCCCCCGCTGGTGCTGTCAAGGCGGAAACGGAAGAGGCCAGAGGAGAAGAGGTCGTGCGGGGTGCGGCCTCCAGACACATATAGCCAGACATCATCCACCAGGGCAGCCGCGTGACCTGCCAGGCCTGGGGGCCCCGAGGAGCTGGAGGCAGGTGGTGCCAGGAGCTCCCAGTGGCCCCTGCCCAGTGGACTGAAGGCCCACACGTCGTTGGTGAGCGAGCCGTCAGCCAGCTCACCACCCATCAGTACCAGGGAGCCGGCCCAGGCCACGGCCACATGGGAGTGACGGGCAGCCTGTGAGGAAGAGAAAAGAGACAGAGGTAGAGACACAGCAAGAGAGCCAGAGCCAGGCTTAGACAGAGAGATGCAGAGCCAGAGAAACATGGAGAGAAGGCGAGATAAAGACAGAGACAAAGAGAAAGGCAGAGACCGGCAGAGAGAGAAAAGAAGAGACAGACTCATAGAAACAGAGAAATACAATAAGAGAGAGAAAAGGCAAGGAGACAGAGTTAAAGGGACAAATGGCAGAGAGAAACAGATCCAGAGAGATGGAGACACAGAAACAGAGAACACAGAAGCCCAAAAGTCAGACAGACGAAAACAGAGACAGATTGAGCAACAGGAGACACATGGAAAAATAAGATGCACAAAGGCAGATAAAGGAAGAGGAAGAAGAAAAAAGAAAACCGGAGAGAAAAGGCAGAAACAGGGAGAAGTAGGTTCCTATATCAAGCTGCAGGAACTGTGGGAGCACTAGGTGATAGGGGATCATTCCGGGGGTCCCCGGCTGGGTCTGATTGAGTGGAAAGGCTCCTCCAGGGCAGAGGAGGGGTCCATACCGGGGCAGGACTCAGGTCCCAAGACTCCCAGGTGTTGGCGGAGAAGTTGTATAGGACGAGGTCACCCAGGGCATTGTTGAGGTCCTGGCCTGTGGAGGGGTGGATAGTCTCATGCCCTGGCCATAGGCTGCCGGGCCTCCAGATCCCAGATACTCGCCCCATCTGCTCACCTCCGAAAACTGCCAGCAGCCCTGGTGGGGACAGGAAGGCGCCAGCTGCCCCAATACGGGCAGAGAAGGCAGGGTCCCTGGCACTCACGTTGTGCCACCACCCAGCCCCCTGGTTCTCCCACAGGTGCAGGTCACAGGCACGTCCCAAGAAGCCAGGCTCACAGCGGCATGGTCCCAGGGGCTGCGGGAAAGGAGACATAAAGGCAGAGATAAGAGAGGGAGAGACAAGGACAGAGAGACAAAGGAGACACAGAGAGGAAAAGAGGCAGAATGAGACAGACAGGGCACAAAGGGAGAGAGAAAGAGACAGACAGGAAGGGAGAGGATGGAAAAGGAAAGAGAGAGAGAGAAAGGGAGACAGAGAGAGACAGGAAGAGGGGAAAGGCAAACTGTCAGACAGAAACAAGAGACAAAGAGAAACAATCAGAAGGAAGCAGACAGACGGAAAAAAGAAGACCAACAGAAAAAGGAAAAGATGCACAGAGAAAAAGGAGAAAAGACAGAAAGACGGCAGGCTGGGAGAATACAGACAGCGTAGTTGACATTCAGCCTGGACTGAAAGAGCTCAGATCTGGGGAGGTCAAGGCGGGGAGGGCTCAAAGCGCAATCCAGATTGAAAGCTGGATGTACACAGCTTCGGCGTAAGGTCAGTGGTGCGAGGCTGGAAGTCATGGCAGGGGTCCAAGGCCACACAGAGTGGCTGGATGGGAGGACAGATTTGGGCCTGGCTGGAGGAAGGAGGGTGGTGTTCACAGATGAGAGTGGGGTATAGATGAGAGTGGGATATCCTCAGCAGGGGAGGCCCTGCAGGTGAAGGTGGGGTGGGGTTGGAGTAACAGGTGAGGGGCAAGCTCTGGAAGGAGAGGGAAGTGGGTGTCACGGAGGAGGGTGGGGTGGTGGGGGGAGTTTCATGCAGGAGCAAGGTCAGACCTAGGAGATGGGCGTGGAGGCTGCGCTCACAGATCAGGGCCCCAGGGGAAACAGGGCTGGGGACCGGCTCACCGAGGCGCAGGTGCCGTGGCTGCCACAGTAGGCTGAGCACTCCTGCAGGCCACAGTCAGGACCCCCCCAGCCCGGCTCGCAGGCACACACACCCGGTGGCTGGCACTGCCCGTGGCTCTGGCAGCCACCCGGGCACAGGGAGAAGCGGAATGAGGCGTTAAAGCCCAGCAGGTTGTAGTTGGCATCACTGAAGAGGTGCAGCAGCATCTGCGGGCACAAGGTGTGCTGGGTAAGGTGGGCAGGGCCTGGGGATTGTCCTGGGAGGGTGGCCCACTCCTGCCCCCTTCCACCCTGGGGGACCCAGAGCCTCATCTCCTTCCTTTGCCTCTCTCCACCTTCCCTTGTCCCTGTGCTCTGCTCTTGGATGCCCTCTTACTGACTCTCTGTCCCTCCTTTCTTCTTCCATTTCCCTCGGTGTATCTGCCACGGCCCCATCCCCACTAACCTTGCCTGAGGAAGCTTCGATGGGCGGAGGTCGGGTGCTCCCACTTAGACTGGCAAGCAGCGGCCCTCGCGGGGAGTCACCGTCATACACGAACAGGTAGTCATACGTGCACTCTGTGTCCAGGAAAAGGAAGTCCAGCAGGATCCGGTGCTGGGGGCTTGGGGCTGGGAGGTGAGCACAGAGGGACCAAGCTCTAAAGCGGACCTTCTCCCCACACCTCCCTGCAGCCTCCCACAATTGTACACCAAACCCTGATCCAGGTGATGCTGGGGGCTCAAGAATGAGTCAGACCTGGGCCCCGCCTTGAAGGGGCCCCCAGTCTCATAACCTAGGGCAGTCAAGGGCTGTGACAGCCAGAGGGACAGGAGCCCAGAGAAAGAATCATAATATTCCAGACCTCTAGAAAGGTCACCTGAGATCAGAATGAACACTCCCACCATTCAGATGGGAAAATTAAGTACAGAGAAAACCCCATCCCAGTGGCCACACAGAGCAGAATCCAGTGTTCCTGATGCCTCTCTCTTCCTGTCCATGCCTGAGTTTCAGACATGTCCAGGCTGGAGGGTCAAGGTCATAATCCCAGTGAGAAGAGCACCTCCGTGACACCACCCCTGGCCCACGCTGAATAGAGCTGCAAGAGAAGAGTCCAGCTTCTTCCCCCAGAACAGAGGCCTAACCTTGGAGCGGCATAGTTCCCCTCTGTCCCCATCCAGAGTCTCACCTCTGCTTATTGTGATGGTTACAAGCACAAACTCTGGAACCAGACTGCCTGAGCTTATGTCTTGGCTCTGCCACCAAATAGCTACCAGCTGTGTGATCTTGGCCAAGTAACCCACCCCCTCTGGATCGGTCTCCTCATCTCTAAAGTGGGATATAGTGGTACTGTGGTGGAATCAAACTTATAGGCCACTCCTGCCATTGAAAGTTAATTCCCTGCCTCTCGTATCTGGGAAGAGCCTTAGTGACTTGCTTGACCAATAAAAAAACAGCAGAAATTCTGAAACTTCCAAGGCTAGATCATAAGAAGACTTGTACTTTTCACCTGGGCCTCGTAGAATGCTCCTTCTCAGAACACAGCTGTCATGATAGGAAAAGCCAAAGCCGGCTGGGCACGGTGGCTCACACCTGTAATCCCAGCACTTTGAGAGGCCAAGGCAGGCGGATCACGAGGACAGGAGTTTGAGACCAGCCTAGCCAACATGGCGAAACCCCGTCTCTACTAAAAATACAAAAATTAGCTGGGCATGGTGGCGGGTGCCTGTAATCCCAGCTACTTGGGAGGCTGAGGCAGGAGAATTGCTTGAACCTGGGAGGCAGAGGTTGCAGTGAGCCGAGATTGTGCCATTGCACTCTAGCCTGGGGGACAAGAGCGAGACTTCGTCTCAAAAAAAAAAACAAAGAAAAGCCAAAGCCACAAGAAAAGGCCACACACAGGCATTCCGGCTGACAGTCCCAACTGAGCTTCCAGCTGACAGCCAGCATCAACTGCCAGCCCTGGGAGGGACCTTCCTGGATGTCCAGCCAAGGTGAACATTCAGCTGACTGCAGCCCCAGCTGACATCTGACTGCAACCTCATGAGGAGCAATAATGCACACGAAATGGTGACAACAGAGTGGGGTGGGTGGCTCACGCCTGTAATCCCAGCACTTTTGAGAGGCCAGGGCAGGTGGATCACCTGAGGTCAGGAGTTCCAGAACAGCCTGGCCAACATGGTGAAACCCTGTCTCTTACTAAAAAAAAATACAAAAATTAGCCAGGCATGGTGGTGCAAGTCCCAGCTACTCAGGAGGCTGAGGCAGGAGAATTGCTTGAACCCGGGAGGCAGAGGTTGCAGTGAGCCAAGATTGCACCACTGCACTCCAGCCTGGGCGACAGAGGGGACTCAAAAAAAAAAAAGAGGCTGGGTGCCGTGGGTCACGCCTATAATCCCAGCACTTTGGGAGGCCAAGGTGGGTGGATCGCTTGAGGTCAAGAGTTCGAGACCAGCCTGGCCAACATGGTGAAACCCCGTCTCTACTAAAAATACAAAAAATTAGCTGGATATGGTGGCACATGCTTGTAATCCCAGCTATTTGGGAGGCTGAGGCAGGAGAATTCTTGAACCCGGGAGGCAGAGGTTACAGTGAGCTGAGATCATGCCATTGCACTCCAGCCTGGGCGACAAGAGTGAAACTCTGTTTCAAAAAAAAAAAAAAGAAATGTTGACAATGGGGCCCACATATCGTGGAGAGTGCCACTACCCCTAACACTGTCACTGTCTTATTCTCTGCCAGTCCTAGTTCAGGTAGCCTCTCTCATTCCACATCCCACATGAGAAGCCTTCTGAACAGGCAGCTCAGGGGAGTCCTCTGGGTGAGGGAAATTAGGAGGCCTAGGCTCTGGCTCTGGCTCTGGCTCTGCCCATGACCAGCTGGAGGACCCTGGGCCAGCCCTTTCCCCCATGACCCTCAGTGTGCCTATCTGGATCCTGGAGACACTCAGCCACCACTGCCAATGGCTGGGTGATCCTGGGCCAGTTCCATGGGCTCTCTGAGCCTTAGTTTCCATGACTGTAAAATGGGGATAATTCCCCCCACCCACAAAGGCTGGGGTGAACATTCAACGAGGTGATGACTCCAGCCTGCCAGCTTAGAGCCAGAGTGTGCCCTGGCTGCCCGGCCTCATCCTGTCTCACCAGAACCACTGATCCAACCTCCTTCTTCCCCTGACATGAGTCTCTGATCTTCCCAACTCAACATCTGGCCCCGTCCCTCCCCTGCCCCAAAGCCCTGCATGGCTCCCTACCACCCTAGGAGAAAGTCCAGGTCCCTAACCTGCTGTTCAGACCCTCGCTTTGTCTCAAATCACCCCACTGCTTACAGCTCTAATGGGAGCTGGGCCTTTGTACAAGCTTCTCCCTCTGTCTGCAACATATTATCCCTTCCCACCACCAGGCCTCTTCCTGATGCCCCCTAGCTGGGTTAGATGCCCCCTCTCCAGGGTTCTCACATCCCATTATAACCTTCATTCCTCTGGGCCAGGAACATCTATGTCCAGGTCTGTCTCCCTGCAGCCTACAAGGCCCATAGAGCAGGGCCTGGATGTGGACCTAATTCCCTCTGCAGCATTGCCCAGACCCGGGCTTGGCAAAGGCTCAGGAAATGCTGGATGATGAAATGAAGAAATACATAAAAGACAGAATACTAAAGCTGGAAGCTCTCCCTCAGGCTCTAACCAGAGCCCCCAAGACATCAGACACAGACCCCACCCATGCTTTGGGGAATGCAGAAGAACCATTCAGCACGGCCACACAACCAGACCTCCCAGAATCTTACCAGCCTCAACCAAACTATAAAGCTCTGTTTCTGGAATCACAAGTACATCTTTGTTAAGTGCCTGCTGGAGGCCAGCTCACCATCTGCCTCCCCAAGTTCTTCCCTAAGTTGAAGGTCTTCTGTTTCCACCCAACCCCCATACCACTCCAGACAGAAATCTGATCCCAAACTCCCTCCTGCTCAAAAGCAGGATGCCTCTTATCCATGAGGATGTTATAAGGACTAGGACTGGGCTGGGCGTGGTGGCTCACGTCTGTAATCCCAGGGCAGATCATTTGAGGCCAGGAGTTTGAGACCAGCCTGGCCAACATAGAGAAACACCATCTCTACTAAAAATACAAAAATTAGCCCGGCATGGTGGCACATGCCTGTAATCCCAGCTACTCAGGAAACCAAGGAACAAGAATCACTTGAACCTGGGAAGCAGAAGCTGCAGTGAGCCGAGATCAAGCCACTGCACTCCAGCCTGGGCAACAGAGCAAGATTCTCTCTCGGAAAAAAAAAGTCTAGGACTAGATAAAGTATGAACATAATACAAAAGTTAGTAGGTTGGTTGTTTATCTTTTTTTTTTTTTTTTCCCTGAGACAGGGTCTCGCTCTGCTGCCCAGGCTGGAGTATAGCAGCGCAATCTCGGCTCACTGAGACCTCAGCCTCCTAGGCTCAAGGGATCTGCCCACCTCAGCCTCGCCGGTAGCTGGAGCTATAGGCACATGCCACCACCCACCAAGCCCAGCTAATCTTTTGTAATTTTTTTGTAGAGACAGTGTCTTACCATGTTGTTCAGGCTAGTCTCTAACTCCTGGGCTCGAGTAATCCTTGCATCTCAGATTCCCAAAGTGCTGGGATTACAGGCATGTGCCACTGCCCCTGGCTGGTTGTTTATTTTATAATAGATAGAGGAAGATGTTGGTTCTTATAGGTAAGAAGTGACAGGCATTGGTAAGAACAGAAGATCATCAAGGGGGATCTGGAGGTCTCCCAGCCTCCTCCCTCACCCCAACATCTACCCAGTTGGTCCCCAAGTCTTATAGGTGAAACTCCACAAACATCGATTGCACTGTCTACACCTCTCCACCCCTCTAAGCCCCTGCCCTAGTTAGGAACTCATCCTCTCTTGCCAGATCAGCTCATCAAGTCTCCAGTCTGCCCCACACCCAACCTGAGGGCAATGCCCTACTCCTGCTCAAAACCTCCTGTGGCTGCCCATCAACCCCAAGGGGAAGGCCAGGCTGCTCAGTGTGACATTCAAGGCCCCTCTTCCCCTGCTTCTGGCTCTCATTACCTCCCAGTCAAAAGTGCCATAAGACCAGGCAAACCTAGATGGGGATCCTGAGACACTCCAGCCACCCTCACGTCTTCATAGAGGCTGTTTGCTCCCTTTTCCCACTCAATAAACTCCTATGCATGCTTCAGAACCCTATTTTAGTGGCTCCTGCTCTGTTATCTGCAGCACAGTCCTCTTTCCTCCCTAGGTACATCCACCCCACCCCTCCACTTTCCTTCTTAGCCCTGAGCACTGTCTCAGTGAACACACTGGGGGCTGAATATCTGTGTCCAGCCCCACCATTCCCAACCAGTCTGAGACGTTTTTTCTTTTTTTTTGAGGTAGAGTCTCGCTCTGTCACCCAGGCTGGAACCACAGATGTGCGCCACCACGCAGGGCTAATTTTTGTAGTTTTAGTAGAGAGGGGGTTTCTTCATGTCGGCCAGGCTGGTCTCTAAAGCCTGACGTCAGGTGATCCGCCCCACTTGGTCTCCCAAAGTGCTGGGATTACAGGCGTGAGCCACCGCACCTGGCCTAACCAGTCTGGGACTCTTTAAGGCCAGAGAGTGATTTATATCCAGCACACAGACCCCTTCGCCACACACACACACACACACACACTTCCTATTCTGTTCTCATCCCACTAGCTTGACAGGAATGGCCCCCAAGCTGGGAACAGGTAGACATGCTATCACTGAGAAACAGGCCTTCATCCATACCCCACACAGCAGCCAGAGAGATCTTCTAAAACATAAATCAGATCATGTCCTCTCCCTGCTCAAAACCCTTCCATAGCTCCCCAGAGCCCCCAGACAAAGACAAAGCTCCACAGCCTCCCAAGGGAGGCCCTGCATGATCCAGGCTCTGTCACACCTCTGGCCTTTGCCCAGGACCTCCCCTGTCTGGAGGCCAGCTTTTACATCCACTACTCTGTGAGGCCTTCCTGGGCTTCTGCAGGTACTGCCTTTCAACTTCTCTTTCACCCCTGTATTGCCCTCAGGATACAGCTCAAAATCACAGAGCCCTACACCTGCTGGCTCCTCCCACCCTGCAGCCTCTGGCTCATTCGTTGTCTTGTATTCTATGTTTTTGTTTTTGTTTCAGATGGAGTCTCGCTCTGCCGCCCAGACTGGAGCGTAGTGGCACAATATTGGCTCACTGCAACCTCCAGGTTCAAGTGATTCTTGTGCCTCAGCCTCCTGAGAAGCTGGGACTACAGGCGCGCGCCATCACACCCAGCTAATTTTTGTATTTTTAGTAGAGATGGGGTTTCACCATACTGCCCAGGCTGGTCTCAAACTCCTGACTTCAGGCGATCTGCCGGCCTCGGCCTCCCAAAGTGCTGGGATTACAGGCATGAGCCACCATACCCTGCCAGTATTCTATGTTTTAACACACTGGATTTCTAGTTCTTCAAAAGCATCACTCTCCCGCTTCCCCGCCTTTGCACAGCTATTCTTGCCTGGAATGCCCTTCTGCTCCCTCGTACAGATGCCTCTGATCTCAGCTATACCCCAGGTTAAGCCACATGTCTTCACAGAGAAAGAGCCACTGGGGCAGGGTTCTGAGGCATGCATAGGAGTTTATTGGGTGGAAAAGGAAAACAAACAGCCTCGGAGTGGGTTTGTCTCTCCCACTGACTGGGAGCCCAGAAGGGTAGGGCTGGGGCCTTTCCTCCCACTCCTGACAGATTCCTATTGGTCCTTTAAGTCTCAGCTTAGACATTTCCTCCTCCAGGAAGCCTCTCTGTTCTCCCCGGCCCCAGATCAGGCACTTTCTCTGGGCTCTCCCAGGCCTCTGGGGTTCCTCCATCAAAGACCACTCTTGTCTCTCACTATTAATGTGTTTGTCTCCCCAACTAGACTCCAAGACCTAAGTCACCAGGGATTGCTGGAGCTGTCTCAGTCTGGGCTATGTCCAATGGGAAACATAATGTCTGGCACATGAATGACTGAAGAAAAATGCTTTTATTGAAGTACTTCACAAATAACAACAACAATAATCCTAATGCCATTTATTGAACAGTTACTATATGCCACACATCAGGCATGTTAAATACCTGTTTTCATTTCATTCCAACAACTCTATGAGGTGAGTACTGTTGTTATCCCATTTGTGGGGGAAGGAAACAGAACCTCAGAGAAAGAAAACCACCTGCTCAAAGTCACAAAGCTAATAATAAGAAGCCAGGCACAGTGGCTCACACCTACAATCCCAACACTTTGGGAGGCTGAGGTGCGAGGATCGTTTGAGCCCAAGAGTTCAGGACTAGCCTGGGCGACATGGTGAGACTCTGTCTCTACACACTCAGTTACTTGGGAGGCTGAGGTGGGAGGATCACTTGAGCCCAGGAGGTCGAGGCTGCAGTAAGTAAATTGTGTTGGTACCATTGCACTCCAGCCTGGGTGACAGAGTGAGGCCCCCATCTCAAAAAAAAAAAAAAAAAAAAGTAGTAGTAGTAGAACCAAATTCAAAGCCAAATGATTGGACCCAGACCCTGAGTTCTTAACAGTTACTCAGAAGGCCCGGCACTGATGCTCCTGTCTTGTAATTGTAAATCTGGGTGTAGGTGCATCTCCCCCACCAGACTTGGAGGCCTTCCAGGGCAGGGCCCAGGTTGGCTGCAACCCTGGGTGTCAGGCATTTTAGAGCAAAAGGCCTGGACCAGAACCGAGCTCTGGGAATGTGGTGAGTGGATGAATGCACACATGAATGAACTACCAGCGAATTAGTGAGTGACCCACGCGGCCCCACTCACCCTCGATGAGCCACTCGCAGTTGCCATTGACGCTGTAGTTGCCCGCACCATCCGTCACGAAGCCTGGCGCCTCCCGCAGCACCTGCCGCTGCCCCTTGCAGTCCCCCGCCCGGGCCCCAGGGGACAGCGACCCCAGCACGGCCAAGGCCAAAACCAGTGCCATGGCCAGAACCTTGCCCAGGGCCATCGCCGCCTCCTGCACTGACCCTTAGAGCGGGGACAGGCCGTAAAAACCTGGAGAGGACCCTCTACCCGGGGTGAGGCCCTGCAAATGCGACCTCTATAGGCATAACATGACCTTGTAGATCGAAGAGGTCCCGGAGACCCGGCAGTCCCGGCGAAGGGTACGGCCACTGCTGACAGGCTCTGGAAGCCGAGGGCTGAGCCCTATAGAGCGATGGAAGGCCCTGTATATGGAGTCATTATGGACGGGGCCGAACCCTAGGGACCGTAGGAGTCCCCTATAGACACAGGGCTCCATAGGGGGCCGATCCCATGAACAGTGCCCAGCATTACGGACTCAGGCTGCTGCAGGCCAAACGGACCTTATAGACGGGTGGGTCCCCAGGGGGCGAAGGGCTCTACGGCCCGGCAGGAGCCTCCATAGAGGCTGCGGGCCGGGACAGGCTAGGTTCGGATGGTCCAGGAGAGACTCCTCCAGCCGGGGGCGGGGCGCGAGCGGGTGCCGGGGGCGGAGCCCGTCTTCAGGGGTTCGGGCCTGGACCCCACAGACCCAATCCCTTTGCTCACCCACCCTCGCCTCCCTCCGAAGCCGGATGGGCCAGATCAGAGAGACGAGGGGACGCTTGGGCCAGAGCGGCCGCGGGAAGACCCGCTGTGGGAGGGCGAGGGGGCGGGAGCCGAGCAGCCGCTGTGGGAGGGACGGCGAAGAGGAGGCGAGAAGTTACAGAGCGGCCGGTCAGAGCGGCCCTGGGAGGACTGCGGAGCGCCCAACCCCAACCCTCCATAAAGGGAGACTTCCGGGGAAATCCCCGCCCATTTGTTCCCAACCGCATGCGCAGCAGCGTCCTCCTGGAGGGAGAGAAATACACATATGCGCAGTGCTAAGATCGTAACCCAAACTCTGGGTGCCTGTGGTTCAGCAAAGCATGGGCCACTGGAGGGCGCCTCTACCTCTGAGTGAGGAAAGGAAGGCAAAAATAAAGGAGCGGTGCAAGACCCTGCTAGATGTTTGATCATCTTCAATGTTCCCACATTCTGGGGCAACATAAAGATCAGGTTATACAGGCCCCTGCCTCCGGTTCCAAATTCCCATTTCACAGATGGACACACTGAGGTCCCGAGCCTGACATAGTTCTGGCTCAGCCCCGCCGCTGAACACCATCAAGATGCAAAAGAAGCCATGTTATAGATAAAAACGAATCCTTTTTTATTTTGGCAAGAAGGGGTAAAATGTCTTTCTGCCAGGGACCCGAGGGAAGGCCCCCGGAATGGAGATGCGGCAGATGGAGTACGGGTCCGAGGTCACAGATCCGAGGGAGGGTTTCAGGGTCGAGACCAGCATCGCAATATCCATCCCGGGGTCGCAGAGTCCTGGAGAGTCACAGGCAGGGTCCCGGCGGTCACCACGGGTGTTCCGGAGTCCAGCGGGGTCAGAGGTCTCGAAGGGGGCCAGGGGGCCGGAGGTCACGGAACAGCGGGAGCCCAGAATCCGGCGCCGCTCGGGGCAGGGGCTGAGGGAGGGGACGGGGAGAGCGGCTCCCGCGGGACCGTTTGGCACAGAGGGGAGGGGGGCGGGACGCAGCGTACCCAACCTGGGCGCGCGGGGTGGGAAGGGTCGGGAAGGCCGGGGATGGGCGAGCTCTCGGGCCGGGATAAAGCAGGGGTCCGGAGCCCGGCCGGGGCCCGGTCATGGCCCATGGGGCAGGGGCGGGCAGGGGTGCTCAGACCGGGGGTGCAGTGCCCCCGGCCGTGTGCATGCTGAAGTATTCGGTGAAGCCGGTGTGCGGCGCTGCCGTCTGGGGCACGAGCGGCTGGTAGGGCGGCGTCGGGCCGTCCCAGCCCGAGTCGGCCGCCTTGGGGAACCGAGCGGGAAGTGGGGGGGAGGCTGCGCCCGGCTCGGCCATGGTCACCACGCGGCCCCTCGGGGCCACCGCCGCCGCCACCGCTGTCTCCTCCACCTGCTTCCCGGCCTGGGAGGGGGGTCAGGGTCAGAGGCCGTCCGGGACCCTCGGGGGGCAGATGCGGCCCCGAAGGCCCGTCCCCCTCCCCCGGAGAACCCTTCCACCCCAGGTGTGGACGCACGTTGTCAGTCAGGGAAGGACTGGGTGGCGGGGCGCCTGGGCAGCGGGGCCAGGTACTCAAAGGGCGGCGTCGGGGCGCGCGGGGCGAACTCCGGCGGCGGCCGGGGAGCTGGGGGAGAGCCGCGGAAGGCGGGCGGTGGGGGCACGGCGCAGGGAGTCTGCGGGGGTGTGCGCAACAGCGCCAGAACCCAGTCAGGCAGGGTGGGCGCGGGCGCCAGGGGACGGTCGCGGCGCGGTGTTGGGGCGCGGGGAGTGCGAAAGGCAGGAGGAGGGCTCAGGGGTCCGGGCGCTGGGGGCGGCGGCGGGGCCGGGAGCGGGGTCAGGTACTCCAGGGGCGGCGCCAGCAGCTCCTCGGGCGCTGGGGCCGCGGGGCTTACGGAGGTGGCGGGCGGGGGGATGGAGAAGAGCTCCGTGAAGTTGGGCACCGAGTCGCTGATAAACGTCACGTTCCCATAGACGTGCTGCGGGAAGGCCTTGTCAGCGGATTGGCTCCCTCCGGGTCCAGGGACTCCGGCTGAAGCGATCTGCGACGTGCGCACGTGGTACGGGAAGTTCTTGTTGGCCGCTGATGGGCGGGTCATGATCTGAGGCCAGGGCCAGGAGCAGGTGTGAGAGGCACTGTCAGGCCGGAGGCTGTCCCCATAAACTTGGGGTCCGAAGGATTCCCTTTCAGTTGACATCCACCACACTTCCCTGAAGCCATTCACACTGGATTAGGCGTCCCCTCTGGGCTCTCCAAATGCCCTGGACCCTCACCTTTTCCCTTCAACAAAACTCGGCCTGTGCTTCCTCCATCAGAGGCCTGATCACTGAGCTGTCACTGATTGCTTAGGGTCAGCGTCCTGCACTGTATGATAGCCACTGGCTGCATGTAGCTTAAATTTAATCAAAATAAAATTTAAATTTTGGTCACACTCCTCACTACACACTCACTATGCACTACCCACATTCAAGTGCTCAACAGCCACATGTGGTTAGTAGCTCCCATATTGGAAAGTGCAGGTAATAGGATATTTTCATAAATACAGAAAGTTCAATTGGACAGCAACTAATAGACTCTAAAATGTCTCGATGAGGCAGGAACCAGACTCTTCTGTTCCCTACTGAGTCCCTAGTACCTTCTAGAACCATGCCTGGCGCATATAAGCCTTCAGTAAATATTGGTGGGCAAGGCGCCATGGCTCACGCCTGTAATCCCAGCACTTGGGGAGGCCGAGGCGGGCGGATCACCTGAGGTCAGGAGTTTGAGACCAGCATGGCCAACATGGTGAAACTCCATCTCTACTAAAAATACAAAAATTAGCCAGGTGTGGTGGTGCGCCTGTAATCCCAGCTACTTGGGAGGCTAAGGCAGGAGAATTGCTTGAACCCAGGAGGCAGAGGTTGCAGTGAGCCGAGATCATGCCACTGCACTCCAACCTGGACGACAGAGGAAGATTCCATCTCAAAAAAAAAAAATTTAAAATAAATAAATAAATAAATAAATATTGGTGGAATGTAGGGATGTCTGGTACCAGTTAGTCTGATAGGCTGTGAAGGCAGGGACTGGGTGTGACTCCACCGCCATATCCCGGAAACCTAACACAGCTCTTCTAAGGTTGTGCTGAAAAAAATGAACAAGGAGCTGAAAGCAATGAGCGTTGAGATACCCAGGTGGAGCTGTGCTGAGCTAACGTGAGCATCCTTAGGAAGGAAGCTGGCTGAGATACAGCAGGAAGGGCGCTGTGCTTGCCGTTCTGAGCCTGCATCCCGCCTCTGGGATCTGTAGCTCACTGAGTATGGGATCTGGGGCATGTTGATTAAACTCCCTGAGCCTCGCTGTGGGGAAAAGGGACTGTAGCGCCTACTTGGAAAGATGAGAGGGTGGAAATGAAAACCACTGGTGCAGAGCCCAGCACATGATGGGTTCTCAGCATTTCTCCTCTTTCTGTCCCTTTCTGACTTCCTGCAGAGCTTCAGGATAGACCAGCCTGGGAAGGTGAGCGAGTCTGTACCTATGTCAGCCTCTGAGGCAAAGGATGGGGACCTGTCCCCTCCCTCGGTGGCTGGGCCCACTCCCTACACGGGGTACGTTGTAGATCCCTGGAGTCAGAAGCTGGGACACTGGGTCATGCCTGTTGCCCTTTCTGGTTCCCCTTCATTTCAGACCTTGTGGTCTGCTGGAGAAGGATAGGGTTCAAAGTATTTGCCTGCCGCCAAAGGCCACGGAGCCCTGGCACGTCACTTCTCCTCTCTGGGCCTTAGCTTCCCCGCTCTGTGTAGTGGGAACAATGTCAATTATCCACCCTCTCCTGGAGCTGCTCTGACAATTAAACAAGAGGGCAGGAGTAAATGCATATGGATGTTCCTAGAATGAAACAGACTGGTTCAAGACAGGTGCCCAGTGAACAATTGATGAATAAATTAATGAATATTAGAACTGTCACCAAGAATGTCAGATAGGATGTGAACCAGGGCAAAGAATAGACGTGGTGGGGGCCAGGCGCAGTGGCTCACTCCTGTAATCCCAGCACTTTGGGAGGCCGAGGCGGGCGGATCATGAGGTCAGGAGATCGAGACCATCCTGGCCAACATAGTGAAACCCCGTCTCTACTAAAAATACAAAAAAAATTTGCTAGGCGTGGTGGTGGGCGCCTGTAGTCCCAGCTACTAGGGAGGCTGAGGCAGGGGAATGGCATGAACTTGGGAGGCAGAAGTTGCAGTGAGCCGAGATCGCACCTCTGCACTCCAGCCTGGGCAACAGAGCAAGACTCCGTCTCAAAAAAAAAAAAAAAAAAAAACCACTTAACCGGGCATGGTGGCGTGCTCCTGTAGTCCCAGCTACTCCGGAGGCTGAGGCAGGAGAACCTGGGAGGTGGAGGTTGCAGTGAGCCAAGATCGCGCCACTGCACTCCAGCCTAGTGACAGAGTGAGACTCCGTCTCAAAAAAAAAAAAAAAAGATGTGGTGCTGTACCCTCCTGTTGCCGACCCAGGAGCCCAAAAGCTTCACCCTGTGCCACCCCAGATGCTTCTTCCTGAACAGTGGCCTGTGATGGCAGAATTTGGGCAGGGGCAGGGGGAGAGTGGAGAGATCAAGGAGGGTGGGGAAGGCAGTGGGGATACAAAAGAGAAATGGAAGAATCTGGGGACACAGGGTCAGGAATGGAAATGGGAAGGGAGGGCAAAGAGAGAGGATGGGGGTTGAGGAAAGAAGCCAGGACACAAAGTTGGAGAGGGGAACAGAAGAAAATGGGCATGGGCCCGGCGAGGTGGCCCATGCCTGTAATCCCAGCACTTTGGGAGGCTGAGACGGGTGGATCACCTGAGGTCAGGAGTTTGAGACTAGCCTGACCAACATGGTGAAACCCTGCCTTTACTAAAAATACAAAAAATTAGCTGCATGTGGTGGTGGGCACCTGTAATCCCAGCTACTCGGGAGGCTGAGGCAGAAGAATCACTTGAACCCGGGAGGCGGAGTTTGCAGGGAGCCGAGATCAAGCCATTGCACTCCAGCCTGGGAGACAGAGTGAGACTCTGTCTCGAAAAAAAAAAAGAGAAGAAAATGGACTCTGAGGAGCACAATAGAGGAGACTGCAGGAACCAAGCAGGCTCTCAATAAAGGGAGAATGACTAAAAGGAAAATGGATCAAGACCTCAGAACAGGAGGTCCAGCAGATCAGGTGTAGGAGCCTCACACATCTTCTGCCCTCGGGTCCTCCCCTCCACCCCCCACAGATGCCCATCCTCACCAGAAACACGCCATGGGCGTACAAGTGGATCCCCAGCTGGATGCCATTGACAATCTTCTCCCGGGCCCACTTGGGGATGCCGAAATTGGCAATCAGGGCCATGACAGGAACCGCAAAGAACCTGAAGGGGAAGTATTGGGTCAGTAGAGACACTGCTCCTGTCCTCCACCCCACCCTATAGCCCCACCTCGCCTGCCATGTACACACGCAGACCCCAGGCAGGTCCCAAACTGGAGGGAAGCCAGTGTGACCTTCAGAAGCCAGAGACTGAAATGGGGCAGGACTGGACTGGGAAATTCTGAGGGGCAAGAAGGAGGTTCAATTTAACTCAGTTCCACACCACCCCAAATCCTGGCATCTGATAAGAAATCAATAGACAGCCCGGGCACGGTGGCTCACGCCTATAATCCCAGCACTTTGGGAGGCCAAGGCAGGCAGATCACCTGAGGTTGGGAGTTCGAGACCAGCCTGACCAACATGGTGACACCCCGTCTCTATTAAAAATACAAAATTAGCTGGGTGTGGTGGCATGCACCTGTAATCCCAGCTATTTGGAAGGCTGAAGCAGGGGAATCACGTGAACCTGGGAGGCGGAGGCTGCAGTGAGCGGAGATTGTACCACTGCACTCCAGCCTGGGCAACAAGAGCGAAACTCCATCTCAAAAAAAAAAAAAAAAAAAGAAGAAATCAGGCCGGGCACAGTGGCTTATGCCTGTAATCCCAGTACTTTGGGAGGCCAAGGCAGGTGGATCACCTGAGGTCAGGAGTTCCAGACCAGCCTGGCCAATATGGTGGAAACCACATCTCTACTAAAAATACATAAATTAGCAGGGTGTGGTGGCATGCGCCTGTAGTCCCAGCTACTCGGGAGGCTGAGGCAGAAGAATCACTTGAATTTAGGAGGCGGAGGTTGCAGTGAGCTGAGATCGTGCCACTGCACTCCAGCCTGGGCGACAGAGCAAGACTCCGTCTCAAAAACAAAAAACAAACAAACAAAAAAAAATAGATATTTGACGAATGAATGAACAAATGATAATAAGAAGTAAGGACTTATTGCATGCCAGGCCTGTTTCTAAGCATTTGATGTATATAAACTCATTTAACTCTCACAGTGACTCTATGAAGCAGATAAAATTTCCATCCCCATTAAAAGGTGAGGAAACTGAGGCAGAGAGAAGTTAATGGGCTCGTCTGAGGTCACATCATCTATAAGCTTTAGAGCTGAGATCTGAACCCGGACAGTCTGGCTCAGAATCTGCCAACCTTATTGCTATGTTATGGTGAACGATAATAATTACAATAGTTTTGGGTGTTTTTTTGTTTTGTTTGTTGTTGTTGTTTTTTGTTTGTTTTTGAGATGGAGTCTCACTCTGTTGCCCAGGCTAGAGTACAGGGGCACGATCTCAACTCACTGCAACCTCAGTCTCCCAGGTTCAAGCTATTCTCCTGCTTCAGCTTCCCGAGTAACTGGCAGTACAGGCGTGCACCACCATGCCTGGCTAATTTTTTTGTATTTTTAGTAAAGACGGGGTTTTACCATGTTGGCCAGGCTGGTCTTGAACTCCTGATCTCAAATGATCCACCCACCTTGGCCTCCCAAAGTGCTGGGGGTACAGGCATGAGCCAGCGCACCCAGTCTACAATAGTTTTTTACTGAACATTTACTATGTGCCAGACACTCGGCCCTCATATAGTGGCCTATGCTTGCTCAAGATATCCCTTTGAGGAGATCCTGTTTTTTTTTTTTTTTGAAGATGAAGTCTTGCTCTGTTGCCCAGGTTGGAATGCAATGATGTGATCTCGGCTCACTGCAACCTCTGCCTCCCGGGTTCAAGCAATTCTCCTGCCTCAGCCTCCTGAGTAGCTGGGATTACAGGTGCCCACCAGCATGCCCGGCTAATTTTTTTATTTTTTGGTAGAGATGGGGTTTCACCATGTTGATCAGGCTGGTCTCGAACTCCTGACCTCAGGTGATCCACCCGCCTTGGCCTCCCAAAGTGATGGGATTACAGGTGTGAGCCACCACGCCCGGCCTGAGGAGATCCTGTTTGGTTTTTTTTTTTTTTTTTTGAGATGGAGTCTTGCTCTGTGGCCCAGGCTGGAGTGCAGTGGTGCGATCTTGGTTCACTGCAAGCTCCGCCTCCTGGGTTCACGCCATTTTCCTGCCTCAGCCTCCCCAGCAGCTGGGACTACAGGTGCATGCTGCCATGGCTGGCTAATTTTTTTGTATTTTTAGTAGAGACGGGGTTTCACCATGTTAGCCAGGATGGTCTCAATCTCCTGACCTTGTGATACGCCCACCTCGGCCTCCCAAAGGGCTGGGATTACAGGCGTGAGCCACCACGCCTGGCGAGATCCTGTTGTTTTATGGGTAAACCTGATGCACTTCTTGTGAAAGTAATTTTTCACAAAGTGAGTAAGTGGCAGATTCTGGGCAACAGCTGCCTGAGTGAAAAGTCCATCTCCCTCACTATGGAGGGTCTGAGATGGGGGGCAACCACTTCTGGGGAGCCCCGAGAGGGAGGCAGGGACAGGCTGGGGCCCACCAATTCTCACCAGAGGGTATAGGCAGCAAAGAAGGGCACATAAAAAGGCTGCTTCTCAGGAAAGTGTCGCAGTGAGACAAGCACAGCATAGCAGAACCACACGTAGGCCGCCACCTGCAGTCCAATGAGCCCGTAGCCGGCCGGCGACTCATACGTGTACAGTACCTGGCCTGGGTCAAAGAACTAGACCCGCAGGAGAGGGTCCATCACAGCCTGGCCTCCTCCCCTCTATTAGGGTCCCCGGACCCCACCCCTGGGCACTTGGGAACAGAGGTACTCGGTCAGAACACAAGCAACAGGAGAGCCAGGCACGGAGACAGAAGCATATTGAGGTAGAGAGAGAGGGTGAAAAAGACAGGAAGAGAATAAATCAGTTACTGTTTGCTCAACACAGGGCTAAACCCCTCTCATGTGTGAGTTTTTCCATCAGCATCTACTCAACGAGGTAGGTCTTATTACTGCTCCATCTCACAGAAGAGGAAACTAAGGCTAAGAGGGAAGCCCTTTGGCCAAAGCCATACAGACGATAGAAAGCCTTAGAGGGGCTCCATGGGGTAGGTAAGATCCTCCCAATTTTCCAAGAAGAAAATGGGCCCAGAGACAGGGGTCGTCACCCAAGGTCAGGCAGCTAGGAAGTGGGAGAGCTGGTGTGGAATCCAGGTCTGTGTGACTCCTGAACTCTTAGTCACGATATTGAGCACAAATGTGACAGACAGTGAGAGACAGAGGGAGGAGAAAGAAAGCTGCTGCGGGATGGTGAAGAGAGGAGGAATCACTTAGACAGATGGGAAAGCAGAAAATCGAAGAGTGGGAGAGAGAGCGAGCCAGCAGGAGCAGGATGTGGGCAAGGGCGAGCAGACAGGTCAAGGGGGAGGCGGCGCCAAAAGCAGGGGAAGGCAGGGCCCGGCCAGGGGCCAGTCGGACTCACTTCCGCCTCGTAGATGAGCAGCACCACATGGGTGAGCGTGTACAGGGTCATGTAGACAGACAACTTCACGGAGCCCGCGTGGCTGATGCGGCCCCTGGCAGCAGGCCATGAGGGGAGACAGCAGGGTGGGGGCCGTCAGGGAGGAGGATGCACCCAGCCCCCCAACCCTGCCCCTGCCCTGCTCCCCCACCAGCCGCCCCACGAGCACGCCCTGCCCGGGCACCGTGTCACCGTGAATCCCTTCCCCAGGAGGATAAGCATCAGCAGGAAGATGAGGAAGCTGGAGGAGAAGAGCAGCTTGGCTGGGAGAAGGGAGGAGGGGGCGGCTCAGAGCCAGGCTCAGACCTGATGCCCAACCTGAGCCCTGGGCTCCACCCTCTCCCCACCCAGCTTCATTCTCACCCAAGATCTTCACACTCTCGTTGCCAATGCCATCGGTGGCATATTGACCCCAGTAGATGCAGAAAAATAGGAGGCTCAGGACTGAGGGGAGGATGGGCAGATAAGAAAGGATAGAAAGCAGCTCTGGGGCATCACTGTTCTCTAGCACTACCATCCAGGCAGTCTGAATCCCGCCTCCTCCCTTAGGACTCCAGACCTTCTACCCCGACTCACCTGCTAGGAGAATCTGGAGTCCAGCCCCCAACCCTGCTCCCCAAGGACCCAGGGGCCCAGGCCCCCACCCCCTACCCCCTCAGACCCAGGGGTCCAGGCCCTCACCCCCTCCCCCCTCAGACCCAGGGGTCCAGGCCCCCACCCCCTCCTCCTTCAGACCCAGGGGCTCAGGCCCCCAGACCCTCCTCCTCCAGGACCCAGGGGTCCAGACCCCCAGCTCCTCCTCCCTCAGACCCAGGAGTCCAGGCTCCCAGCCCCTCCTCCCCCAGACTCAGGAGTTCAGGCCTTTATTGTTTTGTTTTGTTTTGTTTTGTTTTTTGAGACAGAGTCTCTCTCTGTCACCCAGGTTGGAATGCAGTGGCGTGATCTCGGCTCACTGCAATCTCCACCTCCCGGGTTCAAGCAATTCTCCTGCCTCAGCCTCCTGAGTAGCTGGGATTACACGCACACGCCACCATGTCCAGCTAATTTTTGTATTTTTAGTGGAGACAGGGTTTCACCATGTTGGTCAGGTTGGTCTTGAACTCCTGGCCTCGTGATCCGCCCACCTTGGCCTCCCCAAGTGCTAGGATTACAGGTGTGAGCCACCGTGTCCAGCCTAGTTCCGGCCTTTATACTCCCTCAAGGACCCAGGGGTGTCAGGTCCCACCCCCTCCTCCCCCAGGAACCAGGGGTCCAGGTCCCCAGCCCATCCTCCCCCAGGAACTAGGGCTCCAGCCCCTTCTCCCCCAGGACCCAGGAGTCGAAGCCCCCAGGCCCTTCTCCCTTGGACCCAGGAGTCCAGGCCCCCAGCCCCTCCTCCCCCAGGACCCAGGAGTCCAGGCCCCCAGGCATTCCTCTTAGGCCCAGGTGTCTGGCCCCAAGTGCCTTCTCTTTCAGAACCCAAAAGTTGGGACACGGAACCTCACCCTCTACTCCTGCTGCGGCCATGAACATTTTATAAGTTGTGTGGAGCAACTGACGACCTTTCAGCAAATCTAGGAAGCAAGGTAGGGAAAGGCTGTCCACAGGCAGAAAGGGAGAGCAGCTCACCTCCCCCAACCCTGCTCCCTCCTATCTCTTCCCCCACACCCCATGTGCCAGACTCACATCCAAAGTAACAAGAGAGGAAGAAGATGAGGATGAAGATGAGGAGGAAGGTCACATCTGTCTCCAGGATCCCTGCCGATTTGGTAGGAGGAGTAAGGTTCATTCAGGTGGATGTCCCCTCAGTGGGCACCCAGCTCTGGTGTCCCACAGAGAGCCTGGTTTCTAGGTCCCCACGTGCTCACCAAACTCATCAGCGGAGAAGTGTCGTGTCCAGAAGGACTTGCCATTGGTGAGGACCATCTCATACTCCAGCTGCAATCCATCACCCTGTGGGGGGTAGGGAGGCCTAAGGGGGGCCCTGGGCAAGTTGGGGGTTGGCAGGAAGGCAAAGAGAAGGTGGTCCAGGTGGCCACCCCAGCCCCTTACCCCACACTTGCTGAGCGCAATATACCACCACCGTTCACGCACTGAGCGGAAGCTGCGGCCACTGGAGCAGCTCAGGTAGCGGGTTCCCTCCTCTGATACCACCTGGGGACAAACGAGAAGGCTGAAGCCTGTCCTTGATGCCCCGAAGGCTTCATCCTTCAGCACCTGCCCACTCCCCCAGGCTGAGCCTGCACCTGACAGCCGGACCAGGCATACTGGGTGGTGAGGTTGATGACCTGGTTGTTCTCCGGCCGGATCACTGACTCCTTGGCCAGGCAGTCCTGGGGAAGGCAGGGACAGGGTCACTCCCCCGGCCAGCAACGACCTTCTCCCCTCTCCCCCTATGCCCTCTTCACAGCCCTCACCTTGTCCCCTGCCTTGTACACGGCTGGCCACTGGGATGGGTCATCAAAATAGAGGAGGATGTTCTGACAGCACTTGGCCTGCAGACCAGAGATGTTGGGGACCGGGAGCTGGGGCAGCCTGTGCCTTTGGAGGCCAAGGGAAGTACCCAGCCTCAGCATGGCGAGTGTTGGGGGAGACTCACCTCAGGGTAGCGGAAACGGAAGTCCAGTCGGCCGTAATCCGAGAGGAAACAAAATCTTGTCAGGAACACCCAGTCCTGAAAAAGGGGCCCAGTCTGACCCTCCGCTGAGTCCTTCAAGAACTCTTTACTCCATAGACCCCCAACTTTTCTTCCCTACCCCCCAGGTACCTGGCTTCCCAAGTACTAGAAGGAGACCAGGTCACCTCCAAACTCCTTCCCTGATCCCGTCACTGTGGGTCCAGGATTCCTGCCGCCCTGATTTTCTCCCTCCATTGCCCCCCCAAGTTTCCTCCCCTCCATTCAAACACTCCTCCCTGCATTTCCCGGGATCTTTCTGGGGAGAAAGACCTTAGGGGCCAGATGCTCATCCTGGCCACCTCATGTCCTGGCCAATATCTAACCCCGTTCCCCCAATATCCACACTCCCCTGCACCCCACCCCGTGCTCCCAAAGACCATCCCGCGCGGGGGAATCTTCCAAACGGCCCCCTCCCGGTCCTGAGCGGGAGTGTGGCGGCGAGCTCGGGGCTCTCTGCTGAGTGAAAAGTGCTGTCCCTTCAGCACCACCTCTGCACCACCCTTCCCAAACTCTGACTCTCCCAACCCGCTCCCCCTCCCCGCTCAGCTCTGACCTCAACGTCCCTCCTACAACCCCCAGGTCTGGCCGCGACCCTACGGCTCCCCTTAGCCTCGACTCTGGCCCAGTCCCCCATCGCCCTCGGCCCCACTCCCCCGAGGCTCCCGGAGTCCGCCAGGAGGGGCGGCAGGGGGCGAGGCGGTACCCGCTCCCCTCGCCTCCCTTGCGTCCCCCGGGGGCCGGCGGGCCGCAGAGGAGGGCTCGGCATGCTCACCTCCTTGGAACTGAGGTTGCCCCGCACGTACTTGGCCCGGGCGCGGGGGGGCAGTGACAGCAGCAGGAGCAGCAGCGGCGGCAGCAGGCGGCGCAGCGCGGGCGCGCGCAGGGGCTCCATTCCGCCCGCTCCGGCCCCGGCTCCGCTCCGGCTCCCGCACTGGCCCGGCAATGGAGGCGAGAGCGCGCGGGCTGGCCAGCGCGCGCCCCCGATTAAAGGGGCCGCCGGGCGCCGCGCTCCCTGCCCCCTCCTCCAAGAGGGCCCAACCTGACTCCTATCTTCTCCGCGTGGGAGGGGGACGTTCATCCTCTGTCACCCCGCCCCAGCCCTCCCCTCCTGGAGTCCCGTAGATACCTATGGTTTCCTGTGTCCTAAACTGAACTCACGTCTTCCAAAGCCATGCCTCCTCCAGACTGCCTTCTCCGGATCCCCAGACCCATGCTCTGTCCTGGCCTCCCCTCAATGTAGTCCCCAAACTAATTATTTTTTGAGACGAGTCTTGCTTTGTCACCCAGGCTGGAGTGCAGTGGCGCGACCTCGGCTCACTGCAACCTCCACCTCCCAGGTTCAAGCGATTCTCCTGCCTCAGCCTCCTGAGTAGCAGGGATTACAGGCACCCACCACCACGCCCGGATGATTTTTTCGTATTTTTAGTAGAGACAGGGTTTCACCATGTTGGCCAGGCTGGTTTCAAACTTCTAACCTAAAGTGATCTGCTCACCTCGGCCTCCCAGAGTGCTAGGATTACAGGCGTGAGCCACCGCGCCTGGCCAACAAGTCTTTGATTGCCCATCACCACCTCTATTGCAGCCATCCCCAGCTGTGTCCATCCTGGAGTTGCCAGCGTTCTAGATCTGATGCACCCTGCAAAGTGCCCATGGAGGCACAGAGAGGGGAAGCCACTTGTTACACCACATGGTGGTGGTGGAGGCTTCAGTATAACCACCGTACCCCTCTGCCTGACCATGACCTGTCACTGCTTACCATGCTGTGAAGCTGGGTTGCTGTGAGAGACAGAGGTGGTAGTGTGAGATAGCCAAAAGCATGTTTCAGATCCAAGTTAAAATAACTTGCTTGGGTTCATTCAAATCCCAGCCTGACCCCTACTTTTTCACTTGTCCACCATAAGACCTGGGCCAAGTCATTCAGCCCTATGATCTCCTAGCCCAGTCCCCTCTATGCAGATATCAACCCTATGGTTTCCCAGTGGACAACAGCAAGCCCTAGAAAGGCTTTTCCAGAGTAGAAGCCATGCCCTTCACCTTGATTTTCCTGATCAGACTCCAACAAACATTTCTAGCTTCATCCTTCTCCACTGCAGAAAACGGGGGCTGCTCAAAATACCATTTTTTACAAATTTTCTAAGCCAAGGGGCCAAGCTGGAAATATAAGTGAAACATTTTTAATGGAGAGCATGGATCCCACAAAGAGGGGGCCTCTGCTACTTGGCCAGTTGTTGCCAGGAAGGATTGTAGTGCTGCTGCCAGATCCTTTTTTATTTTTTCTTTCCTTCTGAAAGAAGCCAGAAATGCAATTTAAAAAAAAAAAGCAAACTGCCTGGTTTGTAACAGTAGGCAATTGATTCCAACATTTAAAACATATCGTGGGTGAAACTAAAAAAAGCCTGTGGGCCAGATTCAGCCCTGATCTGTCACTCCTGCCCTGAGCCTGCACATACACTGTTCCCTGTGTTCACAGACCAGGAGGCGCTCAAGGGCAGGCCCAGATGTGGCTTACTCTAGGTCCCAGCATGGCCTAGGGATTTGCTGAGTGAAAATGGCCCTGTATCTGCTATGCAGCCTCCTCCAGGACTTGCATATGCTGTTCCCCTTGCCTGAAATGTTCTTTTCCTCAAGTACCAAGTTTCCACCACCCTTGAAAAATAGAGGGTTCGCAGGGCACGGTGGCTCATGCCTGTAATTGCAGCTCTTTGGGAGGCCAAGGTAGGAGGATCACTTGAGACCAGGAGTTCGAGACCAGCCTGGCCAACATGGCGAAACCCCATCTCTGCTTAAAATACAAAAATTAGCCATGTATGGTGGCGCACACCTGTAATCTCAGCTCCTCGGGAGGCTGAGGCAGGAGAATCGCTTGAACCTGGGTGGCGGAGGTTGCAGTGAGCCAAGATTGTGCCATTGCACTCTAGCCTGGGCAAGAAAACAAGACTCTGTCTCCAAAAAAGAAAGAAAGAAAGAAAGAAGGAAAGAAAGGAAGGAAGGAAGGAAGGAAGGAAGGAAAAAGAAAGAAAGAAAAGAAAGAAAGAAAGAGAGAAAGAAAGAAAGAAAAACACAGCTCTTCTACGAAGAATTCCCTCCTCACTAGGGCAGCCATCACTCCCTCCTTGGACTGCCCCAGCCCCTGCACCTCTCTTGCTCTCCTAGACACAATCACTGGAGCTGGGGTTGTGTGTGCCGACCACCAAACTGGGAGCCTCATGAGGACAAGGCCTTTGTCTCACTCACTCTGGAGCCCCAGCATCACCAGAGCTCAGGGTCAGGTACACAGTTAGCCACAGTGGGCATATGTGTTGGACTAATTGAAGTCCCAATTTTCCCCACCATGCTGGCTCCTCAGGCCCTATGAAGGTAACAAGCAACAGTACCTTCCCCTCCATCTTGGACCTAGAACTCAGAGCTAAGAAAAGCTGCTCTTCTGAGTCAGCAACTCACTGAAAATCAAGAGGACCATGAAAAGTACTTTATTGAGGTCACTGGGAGTACAAGATATCTGTCCCCAGCCCTAGCCTCAGCCTCTCCTCAGTACAGTCTCATGGGTGGAAAAGACCAGGCTTCCGGACTGCTCTGGGCTACTACCCAGGAGAGGCTGGGCAGTGGGGAAGGGGGGCTGGGGCTCCAGTCCAGGACAGAGGTTCGGGGCAACAGGGGTGATGAAGGCTGAGGCAGGGGCTGAGGGAGGCCAACCCCCCAGGGCCGAGGAGGGGGTGGCGTGGCTACCAGCCAGATGCTTTTTAACAAGTCAAACGCTGTTGGGGGACCCCAGGCTGTTCCAGATGGCGAAGACAGTGAGGGAAAGTATGGTGGCCAGGGACCTCTTGGCGGTGCCAGACTCCCCCTGTGCGCAGTGGGCATGCTGGAGGTGTAGGGCATGGGGAAGGTGAACTCCTTTGTCCCTTGTTGCTTCCTTTGCCTCTCCTGCTCTGGGACTTGATCAGGGCTATTAATCCAGAAGGGTGTCATCTTTCTCTCAGAGACCCCAGGCTTGGCCCCTGGCACAGAGGAAAGAAGCATAGAGGCTAGCTGAGCTAGAGCCGACAAAGGAAAGGGGAGTACAGGGGCAGGAGGGACGCTCACCTGGCAAGGGTGGCTGGCAGCCCCGAAGCACCAGGGCAAGGTCAGGCACACAACCATGACAGGCCTGCAAGGTGTGCACGATGGCATCCCTGGCATCCTGAATCAGGTTCCTCCGGGGGAAGGCCTGTGGCAAACTCAGCTGACACTGCAGCTCTGCCAGCAGCTGCCCCACGCCAGACAACTCTGGGGAACTGGGTGGGCCTGGGCCCGAACCTCCAGGCACCTGGTTCTCTTTGTCCCTGGACCGTGGGGCTGGTTCCTGGGCCCTGCCTGGGCTTGGGGAGGGCTTGGCGGGGAGTGTGGGGCTGCCTGGCACCAGGGTCCCACTGCTAAGCAGCCTTGCAACATCTAGGGATTTCACCTCGTGGTTGAAGAGACCCCGGTGCTCCCGGCTCAGCCGGCCCTGGGTTATGACCACGAGCTTGGAGGCAGTAGGGACCACAGGTGGATCCCGAATGGCCACAGGAGGATCGTGGTGGGCTAATGGCCGGCGGCTGCCCACCAGGGCCTTGTTACGTTCCCGCCTAGTCTTCCGACGACGGACACGACCAGGTTTCTCAGGCTGCTGAAAAGGCTGGGAGACTGGTCCCTGGGTATCCATGGTGTCCTGGAATATAAAGATAGGGTGGCCATCAGCATGCAGATAAGTCAAGGGGAGTAGCAAAGTGAATAGGGAGGGCTGGGCGCGGTGGCTTATGCCTGTAATACCAACACTGGGGTAGGCCAAGGCAGGCCGATCACTTAGGCCAGGTCACTTTAGACCAGCCTAGCCAACATGGCAAAATGCTGTCTTTACTGAAAATACAAAAATTGGCCAGCCGCAGTGGCCCATACCTATAATCCTAGTACTTTGGGAGGCCAAGGCAGGCAGATTACCTGAGGTCAGGAGTTCGAGACCAGCCTGGCCAACATAGTGAAACCCCATCTCTACTAAAAATACAAAAATTAGCCAGACGTGGTGGCATGCACCTGTAATTCCAGCTACTCAAGAGGCTGAGGCAGGAGAATCACTTGAACCCAGGAGGTGGAGGTTGCGGTGAGCTGAGATCATGCCATTGCACTCCAGCCTGGGCAACAGAGCAAGACTCCATCTCAAAAAAAAAAAAAATTAGCTGGGCATGGTGGTGCACGCCTGTAATCCCAGCTACTCAGGAGGCTGAGGCAGGAGAATTGCTTGAACCCAGAAGGCAGAAGTTGCAGTGAGTCACGATTGTGCCACTGCACTTCAGTCTGGGCAATAGAGTGAGACTCCATCTCAAAAACAAAACAAAACAAAACAAGTGAATAGGGAGATGTTTTGGGGTGTGGTGGGAATACTATTTAGAATGACCAGATGAGGCCAGGCATGGTGGCTCAAATCTGTAATCCTAGCACTTTGGGAGGCTGAGGCGGGAGTATCGCTTGAGGCTAGGAATTCAAGACCAACCTGAGCAGCAAAGTGAGACCCTCATCTCTACAAAAAATAAAAATAAAAATTAGCTGGATGATGCCAGGTGTGGTGACTCATGCCTGTAATCCCAGCACTTTGGGAGGCCAAGGCGAGCAGATCACTTGAGGCCAGGAGTTCGAGACCAGCCTGGCCAACATGCCGAAATCCTGTCTCTACTAAAAATACAAAAATTAGCTGTATGTGATGGTGCGCGCCTGTAATCCCAGCTACTCTGGAGGCTGAGGCAGGAGAATCGCTTGAACCCAGGAGACGGAGGTTGCAGTAAGCCGAGATTGCGCCACTGCGCTTCAACCTGAGTGACAGAGTGAGACTCTATCTCAAAAAAAAAAAAAAAAAAAAAAAAAAGCTGGATTCGGTGGCCCACACCTGTAGTCCCAGCTGCTAGGGAAGCTGAGGTAGGAGGATCACTTGAGCCCAGGAGTTGGAGGTTACTCTGAGCTATGATTGCATCACTGTGCCCCAGCCTGGGCAAGAGAGTGAGACCTTGTCTCTTAAAAGAGAGAGAGAAGATGAGAGAAAATAAGTGAGCAGAGAGAGATTGGAAAAGGTTTGGTCAGATAAGGAATCACAGGGGTAAGATGAAGTCGAAGGAGTCACAGCTAATGGGAAGATAAGCCAGGAAACAGAGAGAGGCTATTAGGAACAGGGACATGGGGAAACAGTTAAAAGATGGAGGGTGAGCCGGGCGCGGTGACTCACACCTGTAATCCCAGCACTTTGGGAGGCCGAGGCGGGCGGATCACCAGGTCAGGAGATGGAGACCATCCTGGCTAACACGGTGAAACCCCATCTCTACTAAAAATACCAAAAATTAGCCGGGCGCGGTGGCGGGCGCCTGTAGTCCCAGCTACTCGGGAGGCTGAGGCAGGAGAATGGCGTGAACCCAGGAGGCGGAGCTTGCAGTGGGCCGAGATCGCGCCACTGCACTCCAGCCTGGATGACCGAGCGAGACTCCATCTCAAAAAAAAAAAAAAAAAAAAAAAAAAAAGATGGAGGGTGGGGGCCAGGCGCAGTGGCTCACGCCTGTAGTCCCAGCACTTTGGGAGGCCGAGGTGGGTAGATCATTTGAGGTCAGGAGTTCGAGACCAGCCTGGGCAACATGTGAAACCTCGCCTCTACTAAAAATACAAAAATTAGCCGGCGTGGTGGTGAATGACTGTAATCTCACCTACTCAAAGAGGCTGAGGCAGGAGAATCGCTTGAAATCGGGAGGCGGAGGTTGCAGTGAGCCGAGATCGCGCCACTGCACTCCAGCCTGGGGGACACAACGAGACTCTGTCTCAACAACAACAACAACAACAACAACAACAAAAGATGGAGGGTGGTGAAGGGGTCATGAGATTGGAGGGATTTGGGGGACCAGAAAGTGATTCTGGACGGAGAAATCCAGGGGTAGACGAGGTACAGGGGAATGCAGAAAGTGGAAAGAGATAGTAGAGAAAGAGAAGCAGGAGAGGGAGAGCAGCAAGAGAAGTCTGGAAAGCCTGAGAAAACCTCAAGAGAACAGGAAGGGAGACAGAGGCGCGATCAGGGACAGGGCCTGATCACAAAGGAAGGGCCTAGGGTAGGAGAGGAAGCATGGTGGCCAGCCGCGGTAGGGCAGGGTGGGCAGAGTGAAGGGAGTGGGGTACGGTTGGCAGGAGCAGGGTGTGGGAAGGGCACCTCTCTCGCCCCAACGAACCCCGGCCCTTCCCACTTCACGTAGCTGTGGGGCGCAATGGCTTCTTTTCCGCGGTGACCCCAGCTCTCGAAGTCACCTGGCGCTGTTCCGGGCCTCGGGCTCCCCCACACGCATGCGCGTGCCCTTTCCATGCCCTTTGGCTTCGTGGCTCTGAGAGGACGGAAACCTAGCGGCGCGTGCCAGGGAAGCGCCGGTTATAGCCCCTCCCCTCCCAGCCTCAATTTCAGAAATCTCCCTTTCTTGGTCTCAGCACCTCCCAGCCCTCAATTGGCTGTGAGGTTCACTAGGTCCGCCCCCTTCCTGAATGCTGATTGGTTCAGATAGCTATCAGCGGTCTTTCGAGGGCTAGTTGAGACCAGGCGTGCCAAAGGGAAGAAGGGTCATGGTAGCCCCCATGCACAGCTGTCCCCCAAGCAGCCACAGACATAATCCCTAGAAAACTTATACAGTTGGCCGGGCGTGGTGGCTCACGTCTGTAATCCCAGCACTTTGGGAGGCAGAGGCAGGAGGCTGGCTTGAGCCCAAGAGTTCAAGACCACCCTGGACAACATAGGGAGACCCTGACTACAAAAAATAAATTAGCTTTGGGCGTGGTGGCTCACGCCTGTAATCCCAGCACTTTGGGAGGCCGAGGTGGGCGGATCACGAGGTCAGGAGATCAAGACCATCCTGGCTAACACGGTGAAACCCCGTCTCTACTAAAAATACAAAAAATTAGCCGGGCGTGGTGGCGGGCGCCTGTAGTCCTAACTACTCGGGAGGCTGAGGCAGGAGAATGGCGTGAACCCGGGAGGCGGAGCTTGCAGTGAGCCGAGATGCATTTCAGCCTGGGCGACAGAGCGAGACTCCGTCTCTAAATAAATAAATAAGCTGGGCGCAGTGGCTCTTGCCTGTGGGCCCAGCTACTTGGGAGGCTGATGCAGGAGGATCACTTAAGCCTAGGAGGTGGAGGCAGCAGTGAGCCATGATCACGCCCGCCTGAGGGAGACGGCAAGACCCTGTAAAAGAACAAAAATTAGGCCACATGCATTGGCTCACGACTGTATATTCAGCGACTCAGCAGGCTGGGGCAGGAGAATTGCTTGAACCTGGGAAGTGGAGGATGCAGTGAGCCGAGATCACACCACTGCATTCCAGCCTGGGTGACAGAGAAAGACTCCATCTCAAAAAAAAGTTAGTGTAGTGTTGTGATTCATAGCTAGGCTTGGTTTAAATGCCCAAAATGGCACAACTGGGCTGTGTGACCTTGGAAATGTTTGTAACTGGTCAGACTTAGTTTTCTGACCTGTAAAATTGGGTTGGTAATAAAACTACCTTCCTCATTTGGTTGCTAGAAGGATAAACTAGACCAATATGTCTAACTTGAAATGGGCCTGGTGAATGAAGAATGCCTGGAAGCTTTGTTTCTCACTAAGCTTTGCTTCAGGAACTGCTCCAACTTATCCTCTAAGACTTTATTTTTAAAAATTTTTTTCTCGGTTGGGTATGGTGGCTCACGCCTGTAATCCCAGCACTTTGGGAGGCCAAGGCAGGTAGATCACGAGGTCAGGAGATCGAGACCATCCTGGCTAACACAGTGAAACCTCTTCTCTATTAAAAATACAAAAAATTAGCCGGGCGTGGTGGCACACGCCTGTAGTCCCAGCTACTCAGGAGGCTGAGGCAGGAGAATCGCTTGAACCTGGGAGGCAGAGGTTGCAGTGAGCCGAGATCGCGCCATTGCAGTCCAGCCTAGGCGACAGAGCGAGACTCTATCAAAAAAAAAAAAAATTCTCTCTTATATCACTGACTTGAAGGCATAATTAAGACTTTTTTCTTTTCTTTTCTTTTCTTTCCTTTTCTTTTTGAGATGGAATTTAAATCTGTCACTGAGGCTGGAGTGCAGTGGCACAGTCTGAACTCACTGCAACCTCCACCTCCCGGGTTCAAGCGATTCTCCTGCCTCAGCCTCCCAGGTAGCTGGGACTACAGGCGCAGACCACCTTGCCCAGCTAATCTTTGTATTTTTTAATAGAGATGGGGTTTTGCTATGTTGGTCAGACTGGTCTTGAACTCCTGACGCCAAGTGATCTGCCCACCTCAGCCTCCCAAAGTGCTGGGATTATAGGAGTGAGCCACCGTGCCTAGCTGATTATGACTTCTTTTTTGGAGACAGGGACTCACTCTGTCACCCAACCTGGAGTGCAGTGACACCATCATGGGCCACTGCCACCTCATCTCCCAGGCTCAAGCTATCCTCCTGCCTCAGCCTCCCAACTAACTGGGACTACAGGCACTTGCCCTTTTTTTTTTTTTTTTTTTTTTTGAGACGGCGTCTCGCTCTGTCTCCCAGGCTGAAGTGCACTGGTGCCATCTCGGCTCACTGCAAGCTCTGCCTCCCAGGTTCACGCTATTCTCCTGCCTCAGCCTCCCAAGTAGCTGGGACAACAGGCGCCTGCCACCACGCCCCGCTAATTTTTTGTATTTTTAGTAGAGACGGGGTTTCACCGTGTTAGCCAGGATGGTCTCGATCCTGACCTCGTGATCTGCCCACCTCGGCCTCCCAAAGTGCTGGGATTACAGGCGTGAGCCACCGCGCCCAGCCTTTTTTTTTTTTTTTTTTTAGACAGGGTCTCACTGTGTTACCCAGGCTGGTCTCAAACTTCTGGGTTCAAGCGATCCTCGCACCTCAGCCTCCCCAGTAGCTGGGACTACAGGCATGCATCACTGCACCTGGCTCCCTCAGACTTTATTTGTTTGTTTATTTTTGTAATTAAGACAGAGTCTCGCTGTGTCACCCAAGCTGGGCCACTGTTGCCCAGGCTGGGCTGCAGTGGCGCGATCTCAGCTCACTGCAACCTCTGCCTCCCAGACTCAAGCAATTGTCCTGCCTCAGCCTTCCCAAGTAGCTGGGACTACGGGCGTGTGCTGCCATGCCTAGCTAATTTTTTTTTTTTTTTTGTATATTTAGTAGACACGTGGTTTCGCCATGTTGGCCAGGCTGGTTGACCTCAAGTGATCCGACCATGTCAGCCTCCCAAAGTGCTGGGATTACAGGCATGAGCCTCCATGCTGGCCTCCCTCAGACTTTAAAATCAAGCTATTCCACGATATTCCCCAAACCTAATAAGAAAGTGATTACCTGTGTCTTTTCTTTCTGCTTGCCCATTCTTCATTATCTTTCAGACCCAGCTGAGATACTACTCCTAGGAAACCCATAGTCCTCAGAGTCCTTCTCCTCTTCCTCCCCAGAGGTCCCTGTCTCTCCCTCAAACACAACTTTGACACCCCTACACCTCTGTGTCTGGATCTGTCTCCCTAAACACATTGGGACAAGGTCAGGAGCTGACCCACTCATTTACTACTCATTCAGCAAGCACTTGTGGAATAACCACTGTGTGCCCGGCCCAGTTCCAGGAAAGTGGATTGAAAACATAAACACAATGAATAACACTCATCTCTGTCTCAGTATCAATCCACCTCGAAGGAATGAATACATGGGAAGGTCCCACCTGGAGTGAGGCTACAAGAACATGACCAGGACGTTTAGCAGGGAGTGAGCCCCCCACCTGGTCCCAGAGAAGAGGGAGATCTGAGAAGACACTGAGGTCTGAGATTAATTTGGGGCAGCGTTGGGGGAGAGGCGCGACCCTAGGTGGCCTTGGCTATGGATGTAGGTTTCAGAGCTCAGACATACCCAGTTGGCCTGTGGGTTTAGAGAGAGTGTAGAGGCTGCAGATCTGCAAGATGATCTGCCGGAGGGACGCCAGACTGGACCTGAGCCCTGGAGGCGTCTCTAATTTCCTTTCTCTTTCTGCACCTTCTTCTACCCTCCAAGCAGGTCCTATGGTGTCTTGAATGCAAAGATATGTAGTTTATATGTTATGCCACGCGCGCGCACACACACACGGTGTTTTGAGTAGGGGTCCTGTGATGTCTTGAATGCAAAGATATGTACTTTAGATTTCAACACACACACACACACACACACACACACACACACACACACACCCACGGTGTTTTGAGTAGGGGAAGCCCACGAGTAGATAGGCTCACTAAAGCCCTGGCGCGGCCTTAGAGTGGCTCCTTAGAAGGGAGCCTCGAATTTTCACATTTTGTCATCTTCCTTTTCTGTCCCCCACATCAGTAGAAAATAGGAGCGTCCCCCCCAGCCAGGTGCATTCGAGCCACCCCTTCAAGGGAATATAAGAATGGACTCGTCCACTCGCTCCCCTCCCCCCACCACGTGAATGGGTCACCCCCCCCCCCGCAACAGTAGGTGGTCCCTTCCGCACATTTCACTCTGTACAGCAAATGGTTTCTTCCCATTTGCTAGACAGAGGGCTAGATTTTCCCCGCCCACTCTCGACTCTTCAGGTAGTTCGCCCCTCCCCGTGACCGGTGGGTGGTTTCTCCCTCCTCCCCGCCTCGGGAGCTGGATGGTCTCGCCTCTCCCTCCCCCCACCCCGTGCCGGGTGCGCGGCCTGGGAGTCAGCGGCCCGAGCGGGAAGCGCCGGGCGAGCCCACTGTGCGGCCGTCGTGGGGGAAGCGAAGGTTCCTGATTCCACCTACCTCCTAAGTGAAGGCTTCCGTCCCTGGAGAGGAGGCGGCGCCCTGTATCGGCCTTCGTCCTCCGCGGGTGTGCTAGCGTTGGGACGGTCCTTTGTTGCCGCGAGGGGTAGGAGTGGGCGTGGCGGAGCCAGCTCCGTTCGGAACACTCCCGGGCCGACCCGACTCGCTCATCCTGCAGGAGCTGCGGCGCCAAGATGAGTGGAGAGGAGAACCCAGCCAGCAAGCCCACGCCGGTGCAGGACGTACAGGGCGACGGGCGCTGGATGTCCCTGGTGAGCGTTCCCACCTGGGATATTGAGGAGTCCGGGGGCGCGGGGGGTGGCTCAGGAGAACGGCTGGTTCGTGCCACTCTCACTACCTGATTGGGAAACTGAGGGCAGTTGAGGAGGCGCTGCCTAAGGGAGCAGGGCGGGGCGGGCCCTGGAGCGTGCATGCCATTGACTCCCTCTCGCGCGCTCCCGCAGCACCATCGGTTCGTGGCTGACAGCAAAGATAAGGAACCCGAAGTCGTCTTCATCGGGGACTCCTTGGTCCAGCTCATGCACCAGTGCGAGGTGAGGGCAGTCCCTCTCCCCCTGCCCCATCCAGCCCTGTGTCCATGCTGACACATCTGGACCAGAACCCAGGCCAGGTGAGGTATTATGAGAGTACCCAGATTGGCCTCAGGCAGCCCGAGGCTCTGAGAATCTTGGTGTAAGGTGCAACATTCTATTGAGAAAGAAATGTATGCCTTGGTTTTATCAGATTGGATTTGTGTATAATGTACTAAGACCTAAAATGAGGCTTTCCTGCCATAGGCTTGCCTAAAGTGAGGCTCTTTCTTGTTTGCTTTAAGTAGTGCGCAGCCCTGTTGGGTTTACACAAAGCTATAGTCACTTTACAGGAAGCGAAGGGCAACTCTAATGGCACTCCACAAAGAGGACTCAATCATAATAATATCTTTCCACAAAGCATGTCCAACTGTAATGGGTTTCATCAAAATAAGTTTCAACTGTAATGCCATTGATTCAATGCATGGCTCAAGCAGACTGGATTTTCATGAAGTGAGTCTTGCTTCTATGGGGCTTGGTTTGTTTTGTTGGTTGGTTGGTTGGTTGGTTGGTTTTTGAGACAGGGTCTTGCTCTGTCACCCAGGCTGGCGTGCAGTGGTATGATCTCTGTTCACTGCAACCTCTGCCTCCTGGGCTCAAGTGATCCTCCCACCTTAGTCTCCGAGTAGCTGGGACTACAGGTGCACATCACCATGCACCTGGCTAATTTTTGTAATTTTTGTAGAGATGGGGTTTTGCCCTGTTGCGCAGGTTGGTCTTGAACTCCTGGGCTCAAGCAGTCCGCCCACCTCAGCATGAGCAACAGAGCCTGGGGCTTGGTTTAAAGTGAGAGACTCTAGGCAGGGTGTGGTGGCTTACGCCTGTAATCCCAGCACTTTGGGAGGCCAAGGCAGGCGGATGACCTGAGGCCAGGAGTTCGAGACCACCCTGGCCAACATGGCGAAATCCTGTCTCTACTAAAAATACAAAAATTAGCTGGGCATGGTGGCACATGCCTATAGTCCCAGCTACTTGGCAGGCTGAGGCAGGAGAATCGCCAGAACCTGGGAAGCAGAGATTGCAATGAGCCGAGATCGCACTACTGCACTCCAGCCTGGGCAACAAGAGCAAAACTCCGTCTCAAAAAATAAATAGGCTGGGCACCATGGGCTCACGCCTGTAATCCCACCACTTTGGGAGGCCGAGGCAGGTGGATCACCTGAGGTCAGGAGTTCGAGACCAGTCTGGCCCACATGGTGAAACCCCATCTCTACTAAAAATACAAAAAATTAGCTGGACGTGGTGGCGTACACCTGTAGTCCCAGCTACTCAGGAGGCTGAGACATGAGAATCACTTGAACTAGGGAGGCGGAGGTTGCAGTGAGCCGAGATAGTGCCAGTGCACTCCAGCCTGGGTGACAGAGTGAGACTCTGTCTCAAAAATAAAATAACTCTGTCTCAAAAATATAAAATAAAATAAAATAAGTGAGAGACTCTAATAGATTTCTATAAAGTGAGGTTCAGCCATGCTGGAGTTTGCTCCAGGTAAAATTTTAAGACTGCTTCCATGAAGTAAGGTTCTTCCATAATGGCATTTGGTTAACACCTGGACAGAGGGGGATGGTCCATGCGGACAGTGCCCTTGTGCCCCTACCACTTCTTGCCCACACCACTTCTTGCCCACAGATCTGGCGCGAGCTCTTCTCTCCTCTGCATGCACTTAACTTTGGCATTGGTGGTGACGGCACACAGCATGTACTGTGGCGGCTGGAGAATGGGGAGCTGGAACACATCCGGCCCAAGGTGAGCGGGGCTTGGGTGGGGCTCTAAAACATCTTTTGGCTGCCCCCTCACCGCTGCTTCATGTCTCTTTTTCCACAGATTGTGGTGGTCTGGGTGGGCACCAACAACCACGGACACACAGCAGAGCAGGTGACTGGTGGCATCAAGGCCATTGTGCAACTGGTGAATGAGCGACAGCCCCAGGCCCGGGTTGTGGTGCTGGTGAGAGGCTGGGAGAGTGGGAAAGGAAGAATGGCAGTGGTCTGGGACCCCCTCAGATATAGCCACAGTTGGCACAGTTCTAGGCAGCTTGACATAGAGCAGTGGCTTTTAGGCAGAATCTCACGTTGGAGCTTGCTATACCCTTCAGAGTGGCTGTGGTTGAGAATATGCTCCGAGACCAATTAGCCTTTTTTGCCCAGGGATGGCTTAAGACTTTGGGGGTATTGAAAAACTAAAAAACGGGCCAGGCACGGTGGCTCACGCCTGTAATCCCAGCACTTTGGGAGACCGAGGCAGGTGGATCACGAGGTCAGGAGATCAAGACCATCCTGGCTAACACGGTGAAACCCCATTTCTACTAAAAATACAAAAAAAAATTAGCCGGGCGTGGTGGCGGGCACCTGTAGTCCCAGCTAACTTGGCAGGCTGAGGCAGGAGAATGGCATGAACCTGGGAGGCGGAGCTTGCAGTAAGCTGATACTGTGCCACTGCACTCCAGCCTGGGCGACAGAGCGAGACTCCGTCTCAAAAAAAAAAAAATTAGTTGGGCATGGGCTGGGCGCAGTGGCTCATGCCTGTAATCCCAGCACTTTGGGAGGCCGAGGCAAGCAGATCACCTGAGGTCGGGAGTTCAAGACCAGCCTGACCACACGTGGAGAAACTCCATCTCTACTAAAAATACAAAATTAGCTGGGCGTGGTGGCACATGCCTATAATCCCAGCTACTTGGGAGGCTAAGGCAGGAGAATCGCTTGAACCCAGGAGGTGGAGGTTGGGGTGAGCCAAGATTGCACCATTGCACTCCAGCCTGGGCAACAGGAGCGAAACTCTGTCTCAAAAAAAAAAAAAAGCCGGGTGCGGTGGCTCACGCCTGTAAACTTGTAATCCCAGCACTTTGGGAGGCTGAAGAGGGTGGATCACAAAGTCAGGAGATCGAGACCATCCTGGCTAACAAGGTGAAACCCCGTTTCTACTAAAAATACAAAAAATTAGCCGGGCGTGGTGGCAGGCGTCTGTAGTCCCAGCTACTTGGGAGGCTGAGGCAGGAGAATGGCATGAACCCGGGGGGCGGAGCTTGCAGTGAGCCGAGATTGTGCCACTGCACTCCAGCCTGGGCAACAGAGCAAGACTCCATCTCAAAAAAAAAAAGAATTAGCTGGGTATGATGGTGCGCAAAACCTGTAACCCCAGCTACTTGGGAGGCTAAAGGAGAAGGATCACTTGAGCCCAGGAATTCAAGGTAACAGTGAGCTGTGATCATGCTACTGCACTCTCGCCCGGGTGACAGAGACCCTGTCTCACCAGAAAACAAAAGAAAAACCCTCAAAAAACCTTGAATAGGCCAAAAGTTGTCAGGCATTCCTGGGGTAAATCTAGGCTCCATCACTTGTAGGTAGCTAGGATATTTCCTCTTCTGAAAACGGATTGATCCCTTGGCATGAGCCATGATGTTGATATCTTTTATTTATTTATTTATTTTGGGACAGAGTCTTGCTCTGTTGCCAGGCCAGAGTGCAGTGACGCAATCTGGCCTCACTGCAACCTCCTCCTCCTGGGTTCAAGTGATTCTCCTGCCTCAGCCTTCACAGTAGCTGAGACTGCAGGCGCGTGCCACCACACCTGGCTAATTTTTGTATTTTTAGTAGAGATGGCATTTCACCATGTTGGCCGGGCTGGCCTCAAACTCCTGACCTCAAGTGATCCACCCGTCTCAGCCTCCCAAAGTGCTGGGATTACAGGCGTGAGCAACCTCCCTTGGCCTATTTATTTTTTGAGACAGGATCTGGCTCTGTTGCCCAGGCTGGAGTGCGGTGGCATGATCTCAGCTCACTGCAACTTCTGCTTCCAGGGCTCAAGTGATTCTCCCACGTCAGCCTCCCGAGTAGCTGGGACTACAGGCACACGCCATCATGTCCCACTAATTTTTGTGTATTTTTGTTAGAGATGGGGTTTCACCATGTTGCCCAGGTTGGTCTCGAACTCCTGGGCTCAAGCGACCTATCCAGCTCTGCCTCCCATCATGCTGGGATTACAGGCGTGAGCCACTGAACCTAGCCAATGTCAACATTTTTCTAAGTGATACTTGGAAAGAGGCTAGGCCGCGCATGGTGGCTCACGCCTGTAATCCCAGCACTTTGGGAGGCCGAGGCGGGCGGATCATGAAGTCAGGAGATCGAGACCATCCTGGCTAACACGGTGAAACCCCGTCTCTAATAAAAATACAAAAAATTAGCCGGGCATGATGGTGGGTGCCCGTAGTCCCAGCTACTTGGGAGGCTGAGGCAGGAGAATGGCGTGAACCTGGGAGGCGGAGCTTGCAGTGAGTCGAGATCGCGCCACTGCACTCCAGTCTGGGCGACAGAGCAAGACTCTGTCTCAAAAAAAAAAAAAAAAGAAAACGAAAGAGGGTAAAACCCAGAAGTCTCTTGCTAAATGAGGGCTAGGATGTGATATTTAGGAACTACCCTCCCACCCTCCCCACTTGCCCATCCCTAGTGTTTTCTGCAGCTGGAAACTTCATGGTGGTGGGTGGAGGACAGGTTGGCACAGAGAACAAGATACTCAAATGCTTGTTTCCTTACTACGCCTCGTGTTCCTGCTCAGGGCCTGCTTCCGCGAGGCCAACATCCCAACCCACTTCGGGAGAAGAACCGACAGGTGAACGAGCTGGTACGGGCGGCACTGGCTGGCCACCCTCGGGCCCACTTCCTAGATGCCGACCCTGGCTTTGTGCACTCAGATGGCACCATCAGCCATCATGACATGTATGATTACCTGCATCTGAGCCGCCTGGGCTACACACCTGTTTGCCGGGCTCTGCACTCCCTGCTTCTGCGTCTGCTGGCCCAAGACCAGGGCCAAGGTGCTCCCCTGCTGGAGCCCGCACCCTAAGCATCCTGCTGCCTTCCCACAACATTAAACTCTCCTTCCTCAGTGTGCTGTTTCCTGCTTTATGGTCGAACCTGTCTGGGTATCTGGGTACCACCATTAGTCCTTATCCTGATCTGTGACCCTGCAGTTCTGCAAGGTGTTTTTTGTGTGAGACAGGGTCTCTCTCCGTCACCCAGGCTAGAGTACAGTGGTGAGACCACAGCCCACTGCAACTTCAACCTCCCAGGCTCAAGTGATCCACCCACCTCAGCCTCCTGAATAGCTGCTACTATAAGCATGTGCCACTAGGTCCAGCTTATTGTATTTTTTGTAGAGAAGTGGTTTTGCCATGTTGCCCAGGCTGATCTGACTCCTGAGCTCAAGCAATCCACCTGCCTCGGCCTCCCAGGGTGCTGGCATTACAGACATGAGCCACCATGCCTGGCTGTGGTTCTATTTCTGCCCAGGGCAGGTATCACTGATCCATTAAGGCACTGTGATTCTTGTGGTTAGGTTAATTTCCACTATCACAATAGTGTGCTTCAGGCAGGCGTTACCAATCAGTAAACACTAGTTAAGACCAGCTTTCCAGCACTATCCTACAGGACCAAGCTCAGGCAAGAATTCTGGGAACATAGTGACCCAGTGCATATGCGGTTGCCCTGGCTGGAACTTCCTGGTGCTCCATCTCTAGCTTAGATGCCACTTCTGTGGAGGTGTCCTGACCCTCCCACTCCTAGTTGTCATCCCTCCACACAGGGTGTAGGTATCTTGTCACCTCAGGTGGGCACTGTGTCCACATGCTGAGCAGGAGGGGTGTCACCCAGGGGAGGTTCCTTCAAGCCCAGTTGCAGTGCAGGCCCAGGCCACATGGGGGCAGCAGGGGTCACACTGAGGACCAAGGGTATTCCAGGTAGACTAGGCTCCCTCCCACCCACTGCCACCTCTGGGCTAGGACCTCTTGGGACCTGTTTCCTGAGTACGAATGACCCCAGAGCCAGTGAGGGTAAACCATCCAGTGGCATCTTGCCTCAGGCCTTCCCCAAACTCACGCAGTCCAATGGCTGAGAACAGGGCCAGCAGGCATTGAGGCTCCCGGAGCGCACAGGCTCCTAAACTGGAGAGGGGCCATCTGGTCCACAGCAAGTCAGGGACCTGGCCTATGGGGTTCCTCTGAAGTTGGGGGCAGTGGTACTGGAATTGTTGCCCCCACCTCATGGAAAGCCTACCGCTCCATGACAACTCAGGACAGGACTGGTACAACCAACAGCCCTCCCTGTTAAGAGCCTACAGCCACACAGGTGTGTTAAACAGCTTTAATCTCGCTCATTGCGGCTTCTCGGCACAGTAAGAAATATTGCACATGATCAACATGTTTTGTTCTGGGGAAGGGGGCAAGGGCAGGGGGAATCACCTTCTTAGAAAGTACAACCCAAGTTGGGAGGGCAGAGGGGGTGAGGAGAAAACCCTCCCCGTGCCTGTGGCAAAGTGCAGGAGCCCCCACCCCCAAACTAACCTGAGTCCAGCCCCTCTGGGGAAAAAAGGGGTGCATGAACTCCCCCTATTCCACAGGCGCCTCCCTGTGGCCCAAGGCCTGCACCACCCTCCAGCTTGCAGCCCTCACAGGAGCCATTTTGCATAAAGTGAAAAGCTCTGAAGGTCACACGCTCCAGGTTATGTACAGGGGCTTGGAGGAGGGAGACTGCCCCTGCAGCCCCTCAGCTGCCCCCCAGCACCGGGAGGGAGCTTCGAGGGAAGGGGGTATTTACAAGAGGAGCAGGCCTCATTCCGCCCCAAACTGGAGAGGACGAAATGGCTTTACCCGGGAGGAGATAACCTTCCTGCCCCCACATACTGTCCATGTCCTGAGGGGGTACTATAAGTCCTGGCATCTTCTCAGGGGTCCCTCACCTGCCTGTGGCAGCTGTGGAGGGACCTGGGGGTGGGGGGGAGGGCTGGGGAGCCCCCTCCCAGCCAGGCTGTCCAGGCCCCGACTCTGGGGGTGGAGGCAGTGGCGGGGCAGCCTGGGCCGTGCCAGAGTCCGAGCTGGGTGAGGTGGGGTCAGGGCCCCCTGCGGGGCTGGGAGTGGGGGCAGGGGCAGCAGCGGTGCCAGTGGGGGGCGGTACAGGGAGAGGAGCCTCAGCTCCAGGGGGCTGCTCCGTGGGAGTGGCAGCCTGCATGATCTTCTGGCGCACCTCACGGATCTTCAACTGCAGACAAACCTTGGAGGGAAAGATGTCTGCATAGCGGGCCTGGAAGGCGGCTGTGGCCTGGGCTGGAGATAGAAAAACGGTGGGGAGCACAGGATGAGATGTACAGATAAGTCCCACCCGAGTGACCCCAAGACTCCGAGACAGGCTCACCTGACGGGAAGAAGCCATGGTCCTGAAAGAGCTGCATGACCAGGGCCCGGCGCTGGTCCAGGGTGCGCCGCAGGGAGGAGTATGGCACCTTGTCATACTCTAGCTCCCCAAGCACGTCCTCGGCTTCTGTACCTGTGCAGGGCACAGGCAGCATGGCAAGGCTGCAGCAGCGGCAGGGCCTTCCTGCCACCGTCTGAGTGCCCACCCAAGCCCTCACTGCATTCTATTTCACAGGGGAGTCAGAGAGGGGTCCTGCCCACAGTCACAGGGCAACCTAGGGGCCTGCCAGACTCCAGAACCCACCACTGACAGGCTGTGCTTCCTCCCAGCCTGGATGGACCCACCCTACCTCTCTCACTCTCTAACCGCCTTCCAGAGACCCACTCCTCTTGCAGGTCCCCAGGCCCCCAAAGTTCTGCCCACCACGGCACCTGTACGGTCAAAGGTGAAGATGTCCCCCTCGCACTTGGCACTCTTGGGGGTGTTGGGCTCCGAGCTGCAGCTGGAGCGTCTTCTCATCTTGCGCTTGGGCGAGGTGGGGTCCTCGGGTGCTGAATCCAGGTCTGGCCAAACAGAAGCAGACTCAGTGCAGGTGGCCCCAGTCTGCCCTCCACCTAAGGACCCTGGGTGCCCAATGCTCGCCTACCCGTGGAGTTCTTCCTCTTCTTGCGGTAAGAGCCCAGGATGGCCCGGGGTGAGGTGGCCAGAGACTGCAGGGTGGGGGAGGGCAGCACCTCCTCAGGCCGAAACTCAGGCAACTCAGCAAAGCGCTCTTCGAAGTCCACTTCTGACAGGACCCTGCTGGAGGGCCGGCAGGGTCACCTCCCCCGCCTCAGCCTGCAGCTGCTCCCACTCCCGCCACCCTAACACGCTCCACCAAGGCCCCAGCCCATGCTCACTTGTCCACAGAGTCAAAGGTCTTCTTCAGGGGCGGGGGCCGCACCTTCACCTTCTTGCCAGTACCAGCCGCCTCCTTGCGCTCCGGGGTGTCCCCGGCTGCCCGCCCACTGCTGCTCTCGCTGCTGCCACCAGGGGCTACAGCTGGAGCTGGGGCCGGGCTGGGAGGAGTGGGAGGCTCCCCACGATTCTCCAGGCCCTGCCCAGGGACGCGCCAGTCTGAAGATGAGCTGGGGAATTTGCTGGCCTGGGGTGGAGATGGGCAGGGAGATGGCGAACACTGAGCTCAGACTCTGGGGCAAAGGCCAGAAACAAAGAGTTGGATCTGAGCCCGCCCAGCAGACCCCTTGAGAAGGCTGTCACACGGCCTCAGGAAGGCCAAGACAGGGGCCTCAGATGGGAGAGGAGACAACACAGGCAGGCAGAAGGGACAGAGGGGACCCTTTAACCTGAGAGACACACAGGCATGGAAAGAAGAGTAGGACAGAAAAGCAAAGACGTCAATGGAGAGGCACAGCCAAGTGGCAGTGGGAGCCCCACGGCCTGCAGGCGCTCACCATGGTCTCAGGGCCCTTGGCGCTGGTCCGCTCCTCAGCAGGTGGGGGCAGTGGGGGGCTGCTCCGGGCCGTGGGAGTCCAGGTCTCTGGCAGGGGTGGAGGGGCTGGTGGTGTGGGCTGCCCCTCAAGCTCAGACTCTGGGGCAGTTGGCTCTCGGACTGGGCCAGGCTCCAGAGGCTGCCGGGGTGCAGGGCCAGGCCGCCCAGAGGCACCTGCCTCAAAGGACCCCACGGGAATGCTGGCGATGGCTGCCTTCACTTTCTGGGGGGCCTTCGGGCTGGGCCGCTGGGCCTTGGGGGCCACTAAGCTGTAGGTCATGGAACCTGCTAGTGGGGAGAAAATTGTTTGCTGAGCCAGGCCTGACTGGAGCCCATCCCCTGGGTCCCCCAACTCACTCTGCTCTGGGTTGATCTGACACCTACCTGTGGCGCTGGGGAAAGGGCTAGTCGGGGCTGGGGTGGCAGTGGCAGGGGCTGGCGGGCCCTTGGGCAGAATGGTGGCTGCAGGTGGGGTTGTGCTGGTGGCCACAGTGTAGACCAGGCTTGGGGGGGCCTGGGATGGCTGGGCCAGGGGTGCTGAGGAGGTGGGTGCAGGGCTGCCAGAGTAAAATGCTGTTATGACAGGACCTCCGGGGGCTGCACAGGCAGGCGGCAGCTGGGGACTGGGCACAGGTGACACGCCCACCTGACCGGGAGCCAGCAGTGGGGCTTGGCCTGCTGAAAGACAGAGAAGAAGAAGCAGGAGACCAAGTTAGGGCCCGGACTGCCTCAGCCCCACCCTGGGTCCCCAGCACTGCCTGCCAGGCCGCCCCTCACCTGAGAGCAGGGGCTGCACGAAGGCGGGGCCGCTGGGCCCCAGCGAGGTGAAGCCTAGAGCTACAGAGCTCGTGGGCCCGTACGAGGTGACTGTTCCAGCCTGGCTGGACGCAGGGCTGGTACCCAGGGGCAGCGCGTGCCCGCCCGCTGACTGCACATAGGTGATTCTGCCGCAGGAGAGGAAATGGGGAGGAGTGAGGTAAGCCGGCCCCGCCCCACCCCTTCCCTGGCCTCTGAGTATGGGCTCAGCTGCAATTACCTGGTGGAGGAGGGCAACAGGACCTTCTGAGGCTGAGAGGTGGGTCCAGGGAGTGTGGCTGGGCTCAGGGGCGGCACCAGGCCGCTGGGTGTGCTCACAGGCACCGGGGTCAGCTGGATGATCTGTGGAGAAGGGCACCCATAGGCCAGGGTGAGCTGTGGCCCCAGACTGGGGCAGGGGAAGACCAAGACCTCAAGTGGGACTCTAAGCAAAAGCAAGGAACACAGAACTTGGGGTGAGAACAGGATGGGCAAGATGACAGTGAGAGGTGGGGACACAGAGAAGGAGGAGGGTACAGACACTGAGGACTTGAGAGAGTCAGGATGCACAGAGACATCACGGAAGATGGCAAGACAGAGAACCAGATACATGGAGAAGGAGAAAAGACTGAAAAAAAAGACAAAGAAATGATGGGGTACAGGGGCCAACATCCAGCAGGTAGAGAGAAAGGCAGGCCCTCACCTTGCTGGGGGGCTGGGCACCATTCTGCACAGGTACTGAGAAGGGCGGGCTCACCAGTGGCAGTGGCTGGCCGGCCCCTCCACCCCGCACTGACATGCTAGGGGCGGCCAGAGGCACTAGGACCTTCCCAGGCAGCAGCTGGGCTGAGCCACCCGGGGGCGGGGCCTGCACGGGAGAAACTGACTGGGCTGGAAGTTAAGAGGCAAGAAAGGAAAAGGTTACAAGGGAGCCAAACAGGACTATGGCCCCTCCCCTAGTGCTGCCCGGCCCAGGTCTCACCTTTGGGGGGTGGGGCGGAGGGTACAGACTGCAGGATGGGGATGCCAGGAGTGGGTGCAGTGGCAGCCAGGACTTTGCCGTTGGTGGAAGTGCCCGGTGGGAGGGTGAAACGGATGCTGGTGGTGGGTGCAGGGCCGCTGGGAGCCGCTGCCTTGGTCCCAGGGGCTGGTGCTGGGGCAGGTGCCACCTGAAGCTGCTGGGGCAGCGTGGGCAGGATGTACTGTACCTGGGTGATTCCCCCAGCCTTGCCCAGGGCACCTGGTTGCAGGATGCCCAGGGGTACTGGCCCATTGGGGCCACTCCCAGCACCTGCTCCTGAGCCCGCAGTGGTCCCACCACCAGGGGCCCCCTGGGCAATGAACTGGACAGCAGGGGGCGCAGGGGCCCCATACCCCGGGGTGCCCACCAGTAGGTTAGTGACAGTGGCAGGCGCCTTCCCCACAGTGCCCAGCAGGGGTCCAGCCACCAAGTGTGGGGCTGGTGAGGTGGCTGCTGCCGACTTCTTGTCCGAATACACTAAGCTGACACCCAGCGGGGAGCCCCCAGGCACCCGAGACCCAGTGCCCATTTCAGTCCTGGCACCTGCTGTGTCATTTGGAGACGCCTCAGCCCGGCCAGAGGTGGGGAAGGGCTTAGAGGCGATGGGCACAGGAGTGCTGCTGACAGGCCGCACCACATTGGTGACCATGGTGGCGGCAGGACGGGACAGGGGAGCTGCTGGGGCCCCATAGGCCAGTGATGGGGCGGGGGCGGAGGGCACTCTGGCTCCGCCGCCCTCTTGCTCCTCCTTGTTTGGGGGCAGCACCAGTGTCTGCAGGATGTTTCCTCCTCCGCTGGGAGGGGCCGCGATGACTGAGGGGCCTGGTGGCTCCAGGCCACCCACACTTTCGGGTCTCTTGCGCCGGAAGGTGGCAGGATCCATTGGGAGGAACCGGGTTGCCTTGGAAGGTGTCGCTGGACCCCCAGCCCCAGGGGGTGGGGGCCGTAGGGGGCCCGCTGTGCTGCCCTGACCAGACTCCTGGGCCTTGAAGGTTCCTGAGCCCAGTGAGAAGGAGGTGGCTGCCGAGGCTGAGGAGGAAGCAGGCGAGGACGCAGAGGAGGATGGGGCGGAACCATAGCCTTTGCCAAAGGCTACAGGAGGATCCGGGGGCCCTGGGGGCTCAGGGTCCAGTGGGGGGCGGCAGTGGGTAAAGGAGGAACGGATCACAGGTGAAAACACCTTCCGACCAAAGCCCTGCATGAAAGGAAGGGAGACACCCCAGGTCAGGACACTCCGACACCTCGATAGCAGCCCCCTAGCCATGCCCATCCAGCCTGTCAGCCAGGCCAGCCTAGGGCTGCACCCCTGCCAGCTGAAGGCCTCAATTCATCCTGACTATGACCCAACTCCCCACGGGGCAAGCAGCTTGCCCTCTCTGGACCTTAATCTCCCCCTCTCTCAAGCCCGGGAGAAACAGACATTCCCATGGCTTAGGAGGGAGTGTGATGGGACAGCACCGTGACCCAAGCCCTCACCTTGTTGCCCTCTGGGTCCTCCCCAGAGCTGTCCCCACTCTCGCTGTCGGTCACCCGCTCCTTGCACTTGAGATCAATGTCAGTGGTGCCGAAGCCATCGTCAGCTGAGGGAGTGGAGGGAACAGTATGGGGAGGGGGCTAGATGCAGGGGGACCCAGGAGAAACAGTCTGGAGCCTGGATCTCAGCTCTGCTCCAAACCGGCAGGGAGTGCTGTCCAGGAAGGCTACTCCTCAGCCCAGGGCTGTGCCCACATGCCCAGTGCCCACTGCCCAGTGCAGGAGCCTATGAGCCTGCAGGACAGAGCCCCTAACACTGCACCTGAAGATCTGGTCATGCCCCCTGTCCTCCAGATTTCCTGCAGGGCTGGGGGCTTCCTGAGGGCAGGGCTGGATTTACTCGGCAGGGCCTGAACTGGCCACATGCAACCATAAACCAAGTGGAAAAGAAAACAAAGGGGCCTAGGGGCCTGGATCCAAGTTCTGCCCACCCTCTGAGCCTTGGCCTGCTGGGTCCTGGGCAAGATTCTGGGCCCTGCAATGCTCACCAATGACATCATCATCCCCTTCCTCCTCACAGATGACCATGCGCTCCTCATCACTCGTCATGTCCTCACTGGCCGCACGCTGAGAACGAGAAGCTCGGGTGGGCAGCAGCGGGGGCCGCCCAGTGGCCGCCAAGGCACCTCCCTCACCAGGGGCTGCAAAGGGTCCTGGAGCTCCATACTGGGTAGAAGGCTTTGGGCCAGAGTACGATGCAGGGCCAGACACCATCTGCAGGATAGGTGGCAGAGAGGGTTCAGCGGGGCTGCTGCCCTGGACAGGTTCCCTGCCCACCCCCACTAGGGGGCCTGCACCCTAGACCTGCGTCAGTTCCTGTAGCGCCTGACTGTCTACTTCTCCGCCGTCCAGGCTGTGTACCCCGCTGTGGGAGAAAGCTCGGGGCCGGGCTGAGCCAGGTCCCCCAACTGTGTGTAGCCGTTCTGCCCCACAGGAGCTGCTCCCCGGAGCCTTGGTGTCTGAGCTCAGGAGTGTCTGGGCTGCAACGGACAGGAGCTCAGAGGACACTGTAAAGTAGAGAGTGGCGCTATGACAGTCAGTAAGCCTGTCACCAGCACCTAGACTGGCCCAACAACCCATAGATATTTCTAGGTACTAGGCAGAAGCAGGCTGGAATTTCTGGGCCACTTGGTGAAAAAAAAAAACCACCACCCACCACCAGTCCAGCATCTCATTCCTGCTGATTCCTGCCCTCTGGGGTTGCAGCAGGCCCATTCCCTGGGGGGCAGCCCTCCTGAAAGTAAGGAGGCCTGGAGAGAGGTTCATGTGGTGCTGGCTAGCCAACCGCTGGCCTGAGCCTCGGTTCCCTCATCTCAAAGAGGAAGTAACTAGTGTCCCCACTCTCATAGAAGTGCATATCCATAGCAACTATCCATCTAACCTCACAGAACTGCCATACCCATAGGCTCACTCCAAAAATGTGCCCCAGAACACCGCCAGGCACACCAGACAACCTCAATAAGTGGAAGCAGCCCATCAGGGGTGTTTGCGAGCTGCAGTGGCCCCAACTATGGTGCTGGGGGCCCGCCGAACTGGGGTTTACATTCTGGCTCTGTCATTTGCTTGTTTATGACTTTAAGCAAGTGATTTTGCCTCTCTGAACCTCAGTTTCTTCTTCTAGAAATAGAATGGGGTTTTGCAGACTACAGCTTATATTCCCTGTAGTGCCAGGCACATAGTAAACACTCGTTAAACAACAGTTGATAACGAGATTGCTGTTTGGGAATCTTAGTATCTGTGTGGATCTCCCTGGCTCCGTCACATGAATCAACTGCCGGTTCCTTTACGGATAAGGGTCGCCAAATTAAAGCGATAGAGCAGAGAGGAGCTGCTGGGGCAGGGGAGGAGCAAGCAAGGGGGTAGCTGGTGGCTCTCGGGGAGGGAGGTGGCAGGGTGGGAGAGCCAAGGGGCTGACTAACCCCCAGGGGCAGCAGCAGTGCCCGTCTCCGACATGCTCCGCTCCCGCGTCTCCTTGTGCCCTCCTGCCAGCCCCAGGCTCGTGGGCTTGGCCTCTGAGCTGGACTTCTTTCGGTCCTTGTTGCACCACTTCCAATCTGGGTGGGCCTTGAAGTGGGCCTCCTTCACCTGGCAGGAGAGGGCAGGGCAACCCTTCACTCACCCACCCCACCAGAAGAAGCTGGGAGGAGCCAAGAGGCAACAGCGTTACCTGGAAGGCCAGGTCGTGGTACTTCTGCTTCTCCTTGGGCCCCAGGGCATACCACCACTCGCCCAGGATCTTGCTGACGGTCCGGTTGTCCTGGTTGGGATGACGCTGGTGGACCAGGGCCCGGTGCCGCTTGCTGAAGATCATGAAGGCATTCATGGGCCGCCGGATGTGGTCCTTCTCCCGCTGCATTAAACACAGCCCAGAGCGGGACAGTTAGGACCTGGCAGACAGGTGTGGGTGGCCACGGGGTGAGCACAGGACAGGCAGGGATAAAGTACCTTGTTGGGGCTGCGTCCATCCTTCTCAGAAGATGAGTCCCGTTCCTTGGGTAGGGCACTGAGGGACTGGGTCCGACGTTTTCCGGGCGGTAGAGGCAACTGGATCTCAGGAGACATGATGGAGAGGAAGCTGCGGCGGGGCAGCAGGGACAGTGAGGGCCATGTCTCTGGCCATCCCACCCCCAAGTCCCAGGCCTCAGGGAACTCACGCATCATCATGGTCACTCTCTGTCTCACTGTCCAGCCGGGGCTCTCCTGGGGGGCCGGAGGCCTCCTCCTCCGTGGTGGGAGGCGGACCCTTACCAGATTCCACCACCCCCAAAGGGTGTGGGGGTCCGGGTCCTGGGCTCTCAGGGCATGTGGCTCCAGGGGGCCGCTCAGGGTCAGCACTCCCTGTCCCACCTGGTGGCCGTTCATGAGCAACAGCTGCCGACTCAGCAGGTTCTGGGGACACAGAGGTAGATCAGAGGGCTCCTAGGCCACCTGGACCCCACACCCTTGCCTCCCCCCAGTCCCCACCAGCCCTCACCTTTGCTCTGGTTGGAGGCCACTGGGTGGCTGGCAGGTTGCTGGGCCTCGCTCGGCTGCACGGAGGGGTCAGGCTGGCTGGGTGCCAGGAAGGGGACTAAGGAGTGCCAAGGGAACACAGCCACAGAGCGAGGTTCCACATTCGTCCACACTGTGGAAAGGAGCCAGGTGAGCTGTGCAGCAGGAGAGCCTGGCCCCAACCCCAACTCAAGCTCTTCCCCACCCTAGATGAGGTAGCCCCACCCCTTTTGTCTACCCCCCACCCCCAACACCAGAGCCTCTTGGACTCGTCCATGCAACGTCACTCAGGAAAAACTCCTCCCTGAAAGGTTTCTAGATTTATAAAAAAGAAAACAGAAGCAGGGAAGGGAAATAGTACTCACGCCCCACTCCTCCCCCCACCAATCTCCACCAGCCCTGCCACCAGGGACCAGGCCAGAGGAACGATTTGCTCCTGCCACAAACCAGGTCATGCTTGGCTGCCATCCCACACTCCCAAGGCCCCAGACCTCTACGGGCTGGGACCCCCACCCCCGTCATGCCACATTCCCAGCAGCCCAGTCGCCGCCCAACACAGCGTCTCACCTTGGCCTCATGCTCTCTTTCCCTTTCCTGAGGCATACGGCCCCACGTCCCCTCCCCTCCAACTCTCCGTTCACTATGCACAGGCTGTGGGGTCTCTTACAACTGTGGTGTGGGAGAGGTCCTGCTCCTTGCCTTCCTCCCCCACCACAAACACAGAGTGCCAGACCTGCCCTTCCTGGCTGGGCACAGGTGGCTCCAGCAGCTCTCTCCTTTGCCCCCACAAAGACAATGCACCATCCAGAAATCGGCCTCCCAGCCTCCCTTCCCCATCAGCCCCTCGGCTTATCTGTAGTCCAGGGTCCAGCCCCCTTGCCCAAAACAGGGGAGGGTGTGGTAAACTCCTTGGAAGAAAAACCACGGACAATGGGCCAGAAGAGAGAATTGTAACAAGTCTCTACCCAGAGAGGGCACAAGTGCCAGGTGTTTCCTTGAGGATATGCACAGGAAGATGCTTCCTCACCAAGAGGCTGGTCCCAGGGGTCCAACCTTCAGCCCCAAGAGGTGGGTGGTGGAAGAGCAAGCCCTAGGCTGGGACCTACCCCTGGCTGGACTTTTGGGGCGGGCCTAGGATACCAGTGGGCTTCCCCTCACACTGCCTGGCTCCCTGGGGGAAGTGGAACCAGCAGAGGAGAGAGGCCCCTGCTCGGGGAAGATGAAGAAGGGAGGAGGGAACCGCCCTAGCCCTGCTCTCCATCATTCCAGGCCTTCCCTTGATCCGGATCAACCTGACCTGAGGTGACCTCCCCATGCCTTCAGAAGCCTGGACAGGGGGGAGCTCTGTGCGAGGCACTGGCCTCGAGACCTGATTCTGAGAGGGGCTGACAAAGGAAAAAGTAGACCTCAGGAAACAAGGGACTGGGATCACGAAGACAGCACTGAAGAGCACTCAAGACTACGATGACCCTGTCCCTTACCCCTGAAAACCCGCTGGGCCCTCCAACCCCATATAAAAGCCTCCAGGGACTTAGACCTGTGCCTCTCTTTGCAAAGATCTTTCCCATCAAGGCCTCCTCTTTTCTGGGGGGTGGGGAAAAGGGACCCAGCAGACAATGGAGGGCAGTCCTTTGGTCCTGCTCCCTCCTGAACCCCTCCCCAGTGCACAACCCTCCAGGTTCTTAGGTGTCGCGCTCTCTGCAAACTACACCACACACTGCAGCCTGTCACTCTGATCTCAGCTAACAGTGCCTCACTCGCTTCCTGAGCCCTGTCCTTAGCCCCACTACCCAATCCAAGCCTCCTCCCCTAGGACCAGCAGGTCTCGTGCTGTTCCTATTCTACCCCATGCTCCAGAGCCAGTTACTCTGCACCCCTCACCTTTCTATTACAGCGGACCTGTGCCATCCCATCACTTTAACATCACAGCTGTCCCCAGATACGCCCCACTCCGCTACACTCCCACCTGCCATCACTAACCACTCGGCCCGGCCGAGCTCCGTAACTTTCCCCGTCATCCCTTTACTCTGCCTCTACTGTTCTCTCCCCTACTATACCCCCACCACCGTTACTCCGCACTTAGCACCCCGACACCTTGACCCCTGCAGTCCCAGGGCCCAGGCGCTACTGACCGAACATGCCGAGGCCACGGGAGGCCGCGCTGGACGCGGGCATCAGGGGCCTGTGGGCCGAATACATGGTCCGGCGCAGGGGGGACCCGGCAGGGGCTCGCACCTCCTCAGCGGCCGACGCCGCTCCGCCCGCAGCCCGCTCCTCGGCCGTCGCCGCTTGGGCCCGGGGGGAGCGGGAGGCCGTCGCCGCATGCCCCCCCCCCCGCCGCCCCCCTCCGGCCGCCCCACGCGGGGGTCTCTGCCGGGCGCGCCTGCGCACAGCGCCGCCTGCCTCCCGCCGCCCGGGGGGCGGGGGAGGTCAGCGCGCACCGGCCCCGCCCCGCCCCCCGGCGCGCGCGGGGGCCGTCACGGGGCGCGCGGCACGGGGGCCATCGGCACCGCCCCCTCCCTCTCCCTCCTCCCTCGCGGAGTCCGGCGGGCGGGGCAGGCGGGGCAGGCGGGGCGGGGCGCGACGCGCGTGCGCGGGGGCGGCCCCCTCCCTTCCCCGCTCGCTGGCTCGCTCGTTCCCTCCCTCCCTCGCAGCTCCGGCGGGTAACGGCTCTGGCCCCGCGCGTCCCGGCTGCCGGCGCCGCCGCCCCGCCTTTCCGGGCCCCGGGCCCGAGGCTCAGCGCCGGGTCGACCTCCGGCCCCGGGCGGGCAGACGGACCAGCGTGCGTGCGTCCGTGCGCTCCGAGCGAGCCCCGCGCCGAACCACCACCGCCTCCCCGCCCCGCCACTACTACGCGCTCCCCTCCCCCCGCCGCGCCTCCCCCCGCCCCTTCCCCGCTTCCCCCGCGGCCTTCCGCGCAAGCCCGGCCCCCCGCGCGTGAGCCCATTGGCTGCCGCCGCCGCGCGCGGGTCAGGCCCCGCCGCGCCCGCCCCCATTGGCCGCCCCGGGGGAACGTCAGTCATATGCAAATAAGGGCAGGGCGGGGCGGGCTCCGGTTGGCCCCGAGCCGGCCGGGGGCGGGGCCGCGGTAGGAGGGTGGCAGGGAGGGCGCACTGCAGTAAAGGCACCGAGCCAGGGGGGCGGTTCGGGGCGCCGCGCTGCGGAGGTCTCTGGGTTGTGCGTGGTGCTGTTGTGTGTCCAGTCCGCGCGAGGAACACGCTCACGCGCGGCTCGGCCCGCCTCCCGCACACCCGCCTGGGCGCGCCTGGCCCCGCTGGGCAGACAAACTGCGCGTAGGGCTGGGCGAGGCATCCTGAGCCCTCACCTACTCACACTCACACTCCTCACAGACATACAGACACACTTTCGTGCCACACCCATTATCTCCTACACACCCCACGGGCACATATGCCCTCTGTCTTACACCCACGCTGTCACACCTCACATACCTGCTCACACAGATGTACAACCTCACACGCTCACGGTCCATCGCTCCCCACCCACCATCGTGCATTCACCCATCCTGTTCACATCACCCATCTCATCCATGCCCTGTCACACATGCTTCGCCAACCCGCATCCTCATCACACCCCCACCAGCCCACATGAATCATGCAAACAGACAACATGTCAAACAGGAGGAACTCAGCATAGCCCTGCTTGTCCACTACACACACTCCACACCCCTCCCACACAACCACACACTCCTCCGTCACACACACAGCCTTCCTAGCACTCACAAAGCGCCTCCTATCCCCAGTGCACACTCAGCTCTCACAGACACCATCATACCGACCCCACCCTCTATATAATCCTACCCTAATGGGTGCTACCTGCTTCAGTACCCAGGCCCATCAGGTATACAGAGCTCAGTGGCCACCGCCATCATTCAGCCACCCACCCTGACACTCATTGGCCACTCTGGACCCTCTGTCTAGCAGTATAAGGCAGGGAACCACAGAGCACACCATGGCTGGCCCCACCACACTGCTCTGCCAGCCACCCACTAACCCCGCCCCCCCTCCCAGAAAAAAAGGGCCAGGAAGAAAGGAAACTAACACTTACTGGGGCTGCTGTGTGCTGGGAGCTTGTATGTATTATCTGGTTCATTGAATCCTCACAGCCACCTAGGGAGGTATGCTTTATTACACCCATTGTTCAGGTGAAAAAATGAGCCTCAGAGATTGAATAAACTGTGGCAAGATCATGCAGTCAAGATGTACCAGCCCAGAGCTCTAACTCAAGTGCTGTTTCCATTACTCAAGGCTTAACCTCAGGGTGGACCCAGGGAGGGAACTCCAAACAGAGGCTGGGGAATATAGTTAGACAATGATACAGAGCCACGTGGACCACAGAAAGGCGAGGGGGGCTCACACAAAGACACAGGCAAGGATGTGGAGCCCATCTGGCAGAGACCCAGAGGCCCTGGATCACCCAAGAGGGGCCCTGGAGCCATACCCAGTAAAGGCACAGGACTGGGGTCACACACTTGGGCACGTAAAGGTTGCACAGGCTCAGATGGACCAAGACTGGGCTCTTACACAGGTTGGATGGTCAACAGGAGCAGACGAGCCCTTTCCCCAACCTGCCTCATCCACTGACAGAGCTGAAGGAATGGAGAGGGGGCAAAAACTGGGTAACCTGAGCCCAAAAGGGAAGGGAAGGTCTGTAGCCCTCTGACCTCCAGAGACTGCAGGGCCAGACACTTGGCTGTGAGCCTGGAGGGGCAACCAGAGGGACTATTAGGTGACTGCCCCCTCCTTCCTATGCAGCCCCAGACTCAGACCCTCCATTACTTCACTGCCCCAGGGACTGCAATGTGAGGCACGAATTGAGGCTGAAATCAATGTGGCCTGCTATCTCCCCACCACTGCCCCTACCACTGCCCCCTCCTCTCCCCACCGGTGAGTGAGTCACCTACTGGCAAGTTAACCCCTTCTCTACTGCAATGCAGTCCAAGGACAGAGCTCAGAGGAGCTCTGCCCCCCAGATCCCCGACTTCTGTTGGTTGAGAAAAAGAGCCAGGCATGGCACAGGAGGGAAAGAGGGCCCCACACATCTGGGAGGGGTGCACATCTGGTAGAATACACAGTGCCCACGGAGGAGAGATGGGAAGAGGCCCCGTCCGGGGCAGGGTACAACCAAGTGGGGGCCTAGCCTGGCAGGGAGGGGCGGGAATCCGGGCGGGAAGGGCCCCCCTGCCCTGGGCGCTGGGCCAGCCCTATACTTAGCTTCTATTGTTCAGGGTGGAGGAACCCTGGGTGGGGGTGGATTAGGAGCAGAGGGGAGGGAGCAGGTCCTATCCCTAGACAGCTCCCACTCTCTTGCCATCCCCAACCCTAATTGGGGCCTCCCTAGTTGGAAAAAGGTACTGAGCAGGACTGTGATGGCAGCCACCCCCTGCACCAACCCCTAACCAACTCCACAGAAGGACTGCCCCTAAACAGCCCCCACTGTGCCACCACACCCAGGCCTGGGGACAGGGAACCCAGACGAAGACATCAACAGCCACCCGGGCGGGCGGTACAGGCTGAGGCCTGCCCAGAGGCCTGGGGCGAGCAGCCAGGGATGCTGACAGACCGAGGGACAGGCAGACGCGCACTCTAAACTCATGGGGCCCATTTATTGAGCCCGCGAGGCACCGCACCCCTGCCGGCCGCCTGCGGCTCCCCACCCTGCTCTCCAGGCCCGGGTCCCCGCCTCAGCTCACCACCCCGGTGTCCCCAGCTCCCCTCACCCGCTTTCCACATACACACCCACCCACCCACCCCGGGCGGCGTCGGCGACGGCCAGGGTTGCCTGGGGAACGAGCCCAGGATTGGGCTGGCGCGGCTCGGCAAGGATGGGGGGCTAAAAATAGCGCCGGGGTGAGTCAGTGTGAGTGGGGCTGGGGTAGGCAGGGGGACCAGGAGGAAAAGAGAGACTGGGGAGAGTGTGTGGGGGATGGTCCCCAGGGATTGGGAGATGGGTGGGATGCGGGGGTGGGGGGGTTGAGAGACGTGGGTTTGGGGAAGGGAAGGTGCGGGGGCGGGAAAGGGGTGTACAGGCGCTTGGGCTGGGAGGGTTGGTCGGCGCGGGCTGAGGGAGGCGCCAAGGCCCGAGCAGAGGAGGGGGCGCCGCCCTGCGTTCCCCTCCCCTCCCCGCGCTCACGAGATTTTCCACTCGCCGCCTGGCCCCCAGCCAACCCCCGGCAGGCTCCACAAAGCCGCTTTGTGCAGGGAGGGCGGACGGGTGCCCGGCCGGCCTGACACCCACGCGGGCCGCGGCGGGGCGCCGGCCAGCTGGCACCCGAGCTGTCTGCGGTGGGAGGGAGGGTACCCCACCCAGCCCGAGGACGCGGCAGCGCAGGGGTTAATCGCTCAGGGGCGGAGAAGCAGGTCTCGGCCAATCAGCGGTCAGCGGGCGAGACGGCAGCCAATGAGAAGGACGGAGGCCCGACACAGGAGGTCTGCACCCAGGGGCGCGCGGGAACCCACACCCCTAGGTGCCAGCGGGGGCTGGGCGCGGCCCTCGCTGGGTGCCAGTCCGCTTCTACACAGCCCCCGGAGCACCCGGTTTCCCCGACTACTTCGCAAGAAACAGGCTCAGAGGGGGGATAGCATCTTGCAGCCGCGAGGTGGCACGGCCGGGATTTGAACCCAAATCTATCTGGCTTCACAATCAGCTTTTCCGCTGAAATAGGGGGACGGGAGTTCCCTGCCCGGGCCCTCGTGGGGAGCGGGAACAGGGGATAGGGTGGGGGTGGAGGAGGCGGCGCGGCGGGCTAGGGTCCAGCCGCCTGCGGTGCAGCCGCTGCCGCCGGTGGTAATGGGAGCCAGACGCCGTCGCCGCCGCTAATGCGCCTCCCTCCCGGCCACTAATGGAGCCATTAATACCCGGGCACCGGGGGCTCCGGGACGTACCCCCCAACCCCCTCTGCCGCGCATGCGCGCGCCTGCTGTCCCGCCGCCGCCTGCCGCCAGGAGGCAGCCTGACGCCTCGCAGCTCCTGGTGCTGGGGGCTGCTAAGCTGGGGGAGCTGGGGTCTCTTCTACAGTTACCAAGACTCACTCCTGCACCTTCACAAGCTCTTCCTCCTCTCCTCCTCTTCCCCAAGCCATCTTCTTCCCAACTCCTGCCTTTCCAGGGCGGTCTCCAGGGGTCTCTGACACCTAGATCCAACATTTTCCCTCCCCTGCTCTAAATGCCTTCTTGACTCTTTACTGGCCCGCGTAGAGCCCCAGCTTCTCAGCCTGGCATTCAAGCTGGGCCTGTCGTCCACGGCACCCTTCTGCTAAGCCTGGACTCTGGTGTCAGCTCCAGCCTCAACTAGCCACTCGGAGTTCATGCACTTTCACTCTTCCTGGTCTTTGCTCATGCAGCTGTTTCAGGTGGAATTGCCTTTTCCTTTCTTTGACTATTCTGAAATCTACTCATTCCTCATACTTCAGCTCAAATGTCACCTCCAGTGAGAAACCTACCTGATCCTCCCTTATCAGCCCCCATGAACCACTGAGTTGTCCCTGCCCCTTGGCTTCCCCAGACTCAGTACCTCCCTGGGCTCATCCTTGCCTGTGCCTGCATCCACATCTGCCTTCCTCACCCACCTGCCCCAGGACTGCTCAGCCCTGGGCCTGGCAGAGGGATGAGGAGGGAGCTGGCTTCTGCTGGTGGAGATAGGGTTCACTGTTTGAAACAAAATGGAAATTATGGTGGGCAGTATCTGGATCTGGGGAGTCAGGAGACCCAGGCTTAACCCCTTTGGCCCCTCTTTTTCCCCACCTGCCCAAGCATAGTTGGTGGGTACTGCCTCGTCTCTGAGGCCCTACCCATTGGGGTGCACTATATCTGGGACTCCTTTCAATGAAGCTGGCATCAAATGAAAGGCAAGGGGTAAAGGGGGAGGTAGGATGACCTGGGTCATGCCCTCTGGCAGGTGGGTGGGCACTGAAGCTTCTTTCCTGCCGCCCCCTACAGCCGGATCTCCTAGCTTGGTCCATACAGCCCCCGCTTTCCTGCCTGTCTTGGGAACAGGTGCTTGGATGGTGGATGGGTCTGCAGGATGGATCTCAGCACTTCTCAGCAGATTTCAGGGACAGTAGTAGGCAGTTAATTTGTCAAAGAGCATGAGGGGGCTCCCTGGCCTGGACAACCTCCCAACACTCCCCAAGAAGGAAGTAGGAGACCTGGTGCTTGGCAACTGCCCACTGTCTTAAAAGAACAGAACACCTGATATGCACAGGGTGGGGCTGGGAGGCTGGCATGGGGGCAGCAAGTCCATCTAAAGAGTGGGAGTAGGAGGGCCAAAGAGAGGCCAAGGCTGGCTCAGAGACACAGGATGCCAGCTGGCAGCCAAAACAGAAAGAGGGTGGGCTGAAAGCTCAGACGAGGACTGAAGTCCAGAGAGGGACAAACCCAGGAAGGCACAGGGAGCCCCCAGACTCAAAGAAGAGTCAGACAGACAGAGGTCCAAAGAGAGACACACGTATAGACCTAGAAATAGGAGACCAGAGAGATATAGGAAGCCAAGGATAAGACAGACAGAGCCAGACCGCCAGACAGAGGCCCAGGAGAAGGAGCAACGCCTGTCAACAAGGGGAAGCCAGGCAGGAAGCTGGGAGCTGGGAGGGAGGCCATACCAGGAATGGGGCTGAGACATCTGGCCTCCTGGACTGGGGCTGCAGGCCCTGGGGCGGGATCCTCTCCTGGGGAGCAGGCGGGAAGATTCAGAGGGAGGTGGCAACGGCAGCTGGCTGGCCATGCCATGCACAGAATGTGGAGAATGCCAGCCGCCTGCCCCAGCAAGTCCCCCAGCGGAAGCAAATGCCTGGCTGGGGGCAGGAGCAGGCAGGCTGCCCTGGGCCGCCCCCTCACACCTGCTGCCCTCTGATGGAGGGTCAGGCCCTGGCATGGGCCAGCAGAAGGGACCAGGCCTGCAACCTCACTATACCACTGAACACGGTCTGCCCTATCTGGGCCCCATGGGGAGAAGGCTCCAAGCTGCCTACCTCCCAAGGGCTTAGGGAGGCCTCTGGGAGAAGAATGAAAGGGCAGGCTGTTCAGGAACCTGAAGGCAGCCTGGATACCTCAGCATGGGTGTTGTTAGGGAGGCGCTCCTCAGAACTGCCAGGATAGGCACTGGACAAGTTATGACAACCAGGTGGCCCCCAGCAAGGGGCCTCCCTTCTCTGATCCTCAGTCTACCCCTGGACAACAGGCCTGGCAATCTACTTCACAGCATCAGGCGGAGCTGATGAAACGGCCCCAAGCCCGGGGTTAGGCACACAGTCTTCGCTCAGTAGAGTAGGTATTATTGTTATCATTGTTATTATTGAAAGTGCTTAAGGGCCTGGGATCTGGAGCCGCACAGTCTGAGTTCAAATCCTGGCTCTTGACAGCTCGGTGTGGTGACCCAAGCCTGTAATCCCAGCACTTTGGGAGGCCAAGGTAGGAGGACCACCTGAGGTCAGGAGTTGAAGACCAGCCTGGCCAACATGGTGAAACCTCGGCTCTACTAAAAATACAAAAATTAGCCGGGCGTGGTGGCACACTCCTGTAATCCCAGCTATTCGGGAGGCTGAGGCGGGAGAATCGCTTGAACCCAGGAGGCAGAGGTTGCAATGAACCAAGATTGCGCTACTGCACTGCAGCCTGGGTGACAGAGCCAGACTCTGTCTCAAAATCCTGGCTCTCTCTCTTCCTAGCTGGAGGACCCGGGCAAGTCACTTAGCCTTTCAGGCTACGGTTTCCTCCTCTGTCCAATGGAACTAATAATCATGGTACTAGCCTGGGGCATTGTGAGGATTCAGGGAGTAAAGGCTCAGCAGGACTCATTGAAGTGTGCCAGGCACGTGCATCACCAGTGCTGCTCGGTGAGTTATTATTACTGCCACTTTTGGTAGTGAGAGTCCCACAGTCTAGAGGTTGGGAGATGACTCAAAGCTCTCATCCTGCCCCTCACTGGCTGGCTGGCCTCAATCAAGACTCTCCATTTGTCAGGGCCTCACTTTTCCTCATCTGGAAAATGGTAACAAGAGCCCTGCTGGGCCTACTCTGGTAAGCCTCAGCATCCCCTGCACCAGAGCCATTCCTCCCCACACAGCAGGAGTGGCCACATGAGACAATGCTGTAGGGGCCATGTTGGGGGTTGTGGGCATATGGGGGGGTGAAGGGTAGGGGAGTGGTTAGAGACCCTCTGATTTAGTTTCTTCATTACCTAAGGACAGAAATCCCTGCTGTGAAATTTTGCTTGTACCACCTATAACAACAAATGTAAAAAATGTTGGTGTCAGGGTGAAACACACAGCTCACAGCCTCAGTTCTGTATATGAACATCAGGGGCAGGCATAACCCGTGTCCCTGTGCCCTGTCCCTCGGGACTGGCCTGGGCTGGAGCCCCAAAAGGGAAGGGCCAGGCCAGTGCTCCTTCCTGAAAGGGCTCTTGCCCCAAGCCCAAGCCACAGCGGCTCCTACCCACATCCACACCCAGCCTCCTTCCTCCCTGGTCTCCCTGCTTCTGGCCTCAGAGACTCAAACACACCCTCTATGGTGCAGCAGTGGTTGAATCTGCTCAAAACCTTCCATGACTCCCTAGTACCCTCAGGATACAGTTCATAATGATCTTACTTAAGGGTCCTCTCTGATCTGACCCTTGCTCACCAATCCAGCCACACATCCCCAACACTCACCTGCCATTTAGAGTCTTTGACTTTCCAGATTCAACATCTTACAAATATCTGCTTTTGCCTTAAGGCCTTTGCACAAACTCTTTCCTCTGCCTGAAGATCCTTCCTGCCTACCCTGCCGGGCTCACATCTGCACACCCTTCAGGTTTCAGTTCATAGGCATCTGGCCCTTCTTCCAAGAAGCCTTCTCTGACTTCTCAGGCTGGACAGGCATCTTCTCTGGGCTCCCACGGCCTCCTGGCTTCCTCCACCCCATCCCTGACCACCCCAGACTGTTACTGTCTAGGGAGGGGTCTGTCTTTTCCAGAGGCTGTGAGCCCTGTGTAAGTAGGGCTGTGTCCTCAGCACCATCCAGCACAGGGCCAGGCACAGCACAGGGCCAGGCCCTGAATCAACAGTAGATTAATAAATAAATAAAAATAAATAAGGCCAGGTGCAGTGGCTCACACCTGTAATCCCAGCATTTTGGGAGGCCAAGACAGGAAGACTGCTTGAGCCCAGGAATTCGAGACCAGCCTGGGCAATACAGCAAGACCCCATCTCTATAAAAATAAAAAAATATATACATAAATAAACAAATAAGAAAGAAATGCTAGGAAGGAGCTTCCGACAGGTCTGTCACCCTCTCTGTGTTGCTCCTACAAGGCCCAGCCTAGCCTGGGTCCGTGGCTGTTCAGCACCATCTCAGAAATGCCACTCTTCCACCCCCAGCCTCAGCTCTCCAGCCACCCTGGCCTTCCCTCTTCCCCTCCTAGGCTGTGCTCCTTCTGGCCTTGGGGCTGTCCCATCGCCCTCCTCCCAGGAGGCTCTTCCACCCCACGGTTGCAGGTTCCCACTCATCCTTCAACTCCTGGCTTACACGCCCTGTCCTCAGTGTAGCCAGGCTAGATTCACACCTGGAGAAGTGCCCAGCACACCCCCGCTGCCTTCCATGGCCGTGCCTGTGATGTTTACTGGACACAGTGGTAAAGATGAGGGCTCCAGTCCTGGTCCTGCCACCTCCTGGGAAGGACCTGTTAGAGCCTCCATCTGCCCATCTGTAATCCAGCACTATGACCACGTGGTCACGGGCCAGCCTGCCTGGGTTTGAGGGCTGCTCCAGGATTGACTAGCCATGTAACCCTGGACAAATTATGACCCTGGCCTTAGTTTCCTCTAAAGAAGCATAATCATAGCACTTTCCTGTTAGGGTGGTTGTGAAGATAAAATGAGCTAATATTTGAAAAGGGTCTTTAGAACAGGTGGTAAGTGCTCTATGAGGTGGATGTGAAAATTTGGCAAGCTCACCTACACGCAGTGCTTACCATGGCAATGCCCTCGCCCAGTCCCCCAAGATGTGGAAGCTGTTGCCACAATTATCATTCTCTTATCCCATCAGCTCCATGGAGACCTGACTCAGTCTGCACTCAAGAAAGGTTTGCTGACTGATAGACCTCTTGAGACCACGTTCTCTGACAGGAGGCCTCTGGAAACGGTGCCTTGAGCCTTAAAAGTCCAATCCCTTTCCTGACATGTGAATTCCAACAGCAACATCTGTGCAGAGAGGAGGCCGGCCTCCCCTTGAAGCCCTCCCAAGGTGAGGAGCTCACCTCTCAAGAGTTCAGCTTGCAAGAGGCCCTCTACGAGGTGAGCCTGGCGCAGCCCATCCACTTCCACCTCTTACCTGTTCCAGGCCGGCCCATGATGACTTCCTTCTTGGGGGCAGGGTGGCTGGTATAGCTGCTGGGCACCAAAACGGGCAACAGGGCAGCAGGTGAGGGGTGGAAGGCCACAGGCTGAAAGGGTGAAGAAGCCAGGCCAAAGGCGGGCATCGGCTGGGCCACGGCAGTTGGTGCAGCTGGAGGCACGGTGATGGGCACGGGGGCTGGCAGAGGTGGGGGCAGGCCAGGCTTCCCACTGGCCACCCCAGGGGGCACTGGGGTTTCACGGCAGCCCCGCCCAGGTCCCCCAGCCCGCACCTCACCAGCAGTGCCCACCTCCCCAGGGAATTTGGAGGGCAGTGGCACATCAGGGTTGCGGACAATAACAGGTGAGTCCCGCTGCACAGCAGGCACCCTGCGCACAGAGGGCCCTGGATCCGAGGTCAGGCCGGCAGGGGGTGGCAACAGCAGCAATGGTGAGGGCTGGCGGGAGCGAGAGAAGGGCACAGCAGGGGACACGGCCCGGAAGCCAGCCGGCGTGGAGGGTGTAGGTGTGTGGGACACTGAGTCCACACCAGAGTCTAAGCTGTCACTCTTGGGAAAGTCTGGGGCGGCTCCTCCACCCCCTGCGCCAGGGGCCCCCAAGGCCCCTGGATGCGGCAACAGCTCTGTCTTCCGTCGCCCAGGGCTGATGGGCACGGTGAAGGTCAGGTTGGTCTGGAAGGTGGGTAGGATTCCAGAGGAGTGGCGCTCTCGGGGGGCAGGTGGCGGTGGGTGGGGGCCCAGGTCTGGTGGCGTCAGCACGCCTGCCTTAGGGGTGCTGGCGCTCAGGTGGCGACTGCGGACTGCAGTGCGCTGGATGACTGGTGAGGCATTGATGGGGCTAAAGTTGGCAGGGCGGAAGCCGAAGAGTGGTGAGGGTGAGGGTGATGGGGCTGGCGAGAAGGGCGATTGAGTGGAGACGGGTGAGAAGGAGGGCGTGCCTGAGCGCGAGCTGCCCAGCGACACCAGCATCACGGCCGCCTCACACTCGTCGAACTCAAAGCGTGACAAGTCAGCAGGGGCCACCAGGCGTGGCCGTGAGTCTCCACGAGCCGCCACACTGCTGGCCTCACTGTCCCTCGACGTCTCATCACCCCAGTCAAACTCCGTGCTGCCCTCACGGGCTGCCACGGCCGCGGGCCGGCCCGCCCCGCCAGGCCCACTGTCTGCCAGGCCTTCCATCTCTTTGGTTCGCATGGACAGGTGGCGTGAGCAGTAGCCTCGCCGCTGTGACTCCTTCATGCAGCCATCTCGTGAGCACAGCCGGCGCCACTGCTTGCCGTTGAACTTCTTTCGTATTCCGCTGGGTGTGCAGACCACATCGCCCTTCTTGTACTTCTGCTGGGCGGCTGTCAGTGGCGTGCGGGCCCGGGCTGCCGGTGCTGTCCCCTTTTCCAGGGAGGCCACGCTGCTGCTGCGGCTGCCGCCCTGGCTCCCCTCCTGGCAGGGCGAGGGCTGCTCGCCAGGGCGGCCGGGGCCCACAAAGGCTGGAGACTTGGGTGGTGGTGACAGGAGCTGGGGTGGGGGCAGTGGGAGCAGGGCTGGGGTACCCAGGGCTGGAGGGTGCTTCTCCTCGCCCTCCTCACAGTGAGTACCCAGGTTGCCACCAAAGCTGATCTTAGAGACCTCAGCATCCTCGGGCTGTTTGGGGTCCAGGGCAGCAGGGCAGGGTGGCAGGGTGGCCCCAGGCTCTGCCTGCTCTTCCTCAGGGCCTGTAGGGGGCTTCCTCAGCATGGTCTCAGGTTCCCAGGGGGGGCGCAGCAGGCGTAGGCTGGAGCGGGCCACCCACACAGCCTCCTCTGGCTCACGGTGCAGTGGCTGTGGGGGCTGCGGGAGGCTGCCTGGTAGGCCTGGCTGGGAGCTGGGGCCAGGGCTGAGACGGACCTTGTAGGCAGCTGGCTTGGTGGCCACCTCCACCACCACACCTTCCCGGTAGGCAGCCACGCCGGGCTCCACACAGGTACAGACAGCTGTGCCCACCACCAGGGCACCTGGTGGGGGTGTGGCATCCAAAACTACATCCACACCAGCGCCTGGCACCCCCTCATAGAAAGTCAGGGCTCGGTCACCAGGGAACTGCACGCCCAGGTCCTGGCTTCGGCGCACCTGGCGCACCACAGCCGGCAGGAAAAGGCCATCACCACGCCGAGCCAGCACCCGCTGGGACCGCAGCTGCCGCAGGTCATAGCTGCCACTGGTGCTGCCAGGGGGCCAAGGGCCTGGACCACAAGCCTCAGCCGGCTCATCCTCCAGGTCCGCCGAGTGCTCGCTGGCTGTGTCAGTGGAGGAGGAACGAGTGGAGGTGGGTGGCCGTGGAGGCACCCCCAGGCCACTGGCCTCCTCAGGGGTCCGCACCCGCTCTTCAGGGGCCCCAGCCACCCCACTGCTGCCAGCTCCGTGCTCCTCCACATACTTCTTCTTGGGCGCTCGAGACTTGAACGTGGCTGTCTTGCGGCTGAGTGAGGGCTCCCAGCGGCCTGCCTCCCCATCCCCTTTGGGGTCCTCTGCTGGGCCTGGAGCCGGGTCGCCAGGGTGCAGCTCCAGTGGAGGACCTTCAGCCCCAGGGCCCCGCTCAGCCTCCTCCTCCTCCCCTTCCTCAGCCTCTTCGGGCCCGGACTGTGGTTGCGGCTGCTGTGCCTCGTCATCCTCCTCCTCTGGCTTGTCACCCTCCCCAGCCCCTCGCCGCCTCAGAGCCTTGGCCCTGGTGGCTGGGGGGGACTTGCTGCCACTGCCAGGACCTGAAAGGCCAGTGCATGCCTTCTTCATTGGCTTCATTTTTGTCCACCTGCAGGGTGGGAGAGCGGAGGATTACGCGGAGCAACTCAGGAACCTCTCCAGAGCCAGTGTACCCTAAGATTTCCCACTTGCTGAGTCTACTGTCTCCATCCCACCATCCCCAAGGCCTCCTCTCTGGCTGCTGTCAACTCATGTGATACCTCAGTCAGCACCAGGCACAGGTGAGCACCTGAGTCCCCTGAGTATACACACTCTGGCTCCTTGGGGAACAGACACCTGCTGGCTCTGCAAAGGACACAGAGCACATGCTCTGAATGCCCCAAGGGGACATCAAAAGCACTAACAGTTCACACCTATGGAGCACTCCCTGTGTCCTGAACTCCATGCTAAGCTTGCCTTTATTAACCTGTTTCATCCTCACAACAGCCCTAAAAGCAGGTGCTACTATCGGCCTCATTTCACACCTGAGGAAACTGAGCCACAAAAAGATGAGACAACTTGTCCAAGATCATCCAGGTGGGAAACAGCAGTGCTAGGGTCTGAACCCAGGCTCTCTGGCTCCAGAGTCCGTGCTCCTGACCATTTCAGTGTGCTGCCTGTCACATGATCCAGAGGGCACATTTACTCGCACTGTCACCATGCAGAGAGTACATGCACTCAGACACACACACACATGCACAAGTACCAAGTCACAAAAAGGGTGGTGACTGGGCTGTGATATGAGCCTTTCTCCACCCCCCCACCCTCCCTCTGCCCCTCTGGGCAGCCTGGCATGGCCAGGCACTGTGGGAAGAAGTGGGCAGCTGAGAGTCCCGAGGGACGGCTGCCCACTCTGCTCTGCACCCTAGGGCTGCCAGGTACAGCCATCTCCCCAGATCCTGGCAGGGAGCAGGCAGGGGCATGTCTGGGGCAAGAGCTCATACCCAGCACTGCCACGGGGCCGTGCATGAGCACACGCACGCGCACAAACACACACACACGCACAGAAGCACGCACACGTCATCACACAGTGGGACACAGAGCTACACCCCAGGGTTTCTCTGTCCCACTGGATGGGAGCCTGCTCCTCCCCCCACAGCACCCAGCGTGATACCCGCAAGCCCAGCCCCCCTCTTCTTGCCTGCATGCATCCCCGCCCTGGCTGGGCTGGCTCTGGCAGGGTGGCTGAGTCGGCTAGCCCCCCGCAGGCCCCCAAATATGCCCTCCAACTCCAAGTGGGGATAGGTGGGATAAGGTCAAAGAAAGCAGGACAAGCCCAACAGGCCAACCTCACCCACTTCCTGAACAGTCATTACTGCCCGCCCCCTTTCGAGCTGCCCTGAGAAAAGAAAAGGGGAAAAAACTTTACTCTGAAGTGACTAAGAGAACCTGAGAGGCCAAAACAGAGGCCTCTAGGAGGGTTGGGGGACCCAGAACCATAAGCCAAACACAATGAGAGGCAACCCCGACTCAGTCTTCCAGCTACTGGGGGACCCTTGACCTCATGCTCTCTCACTAGGGGCCTGCTCCTCCTGTGGACCCTGGAGTCCCAGGCCTGCCCTTTCTTGGGCCAATCCTGGGGTCCTCACAGGCAGAGCCTGGAGGGCGTCCCGGGGCTGGCACCCAAATGCCCAGAAGTTGGGCAGCCATCACCACCTAATACCCGCTGACCCACTAGACTACCATGTTGGGGACTGAGATCTGGCTCCAGTTTTTTCCAAGCACAAACCTTTGCATACCCCACCCAGGGCCTACAACTATGCCGCCTGGACCCCTAGACCTTGCTGCCTGGCCCAGCCTCTCTTCGCCCCAGAGCTGCTTTCTTTCCCCTAGGGCCTACTCTCTTCCTGTCCACCCTGTCTGAATAACTCCCACCCAAGCCCCGGGGGCCCTCACCTTCCTCAGATCTGAGTAGTAACTCCCGGAGCCCAGGCCAGCCCAGGCCCTGGCTCTTTGGGGTCTCATACCCTCTGTTCCCATTAGCCCTCCTGGCACCAGCTTCTCTGACACTCTCTCTCTCATCCTGTCACTACCTCTATCTCTACCTCTCGGTTAAAATGCCCTAGGCCCCCTCCTGTCACCCCCTCCTTGTCACCCCCATTTATCTCTGTCACCTATTCCTCCCAGTCACTGTCCTGTCAGCCATCTCCGGACCTGTCACCTTCTCTCCCCATCACCTCTCCTTGTCACACTCTCCAACTCTGTCCCCTCCCTCTCCCTGTCACCCTGATCTAGTCCTGTCACCCCTCCATTCCTGTTACCCTTCTTTGCCCACCACCCCCTCCCCCAGTTACCCTTTTTCTGTCAAACCCCCACCACTTCCTCCACTCCCTCCTCCCTTCCCACCATTCCGCCCACCCCTTTCCCCCTGTACCCCCTCCCCGTCCCTGCCACCTGTCCCCTCTCGGCCCCCAGCCCCCCGGACCCCCCTTTCCTGTGTCAGCCCTGGCCCCGCCCCTCACCTTGGGCTCGGCGGGGTTTCGGGGCGGGGGGCCGTGGCCCCGGCTCGGTCCGGTCCGGTCCCTCCCCGCCCCCCCTCCGGCTCTCCCTCTCGATTCTCCCTTTTTTTTTTACTCCAACACACAAAATGGTGAATGGACCTGCAACAGCTGGAGCAGCCAGCCAATCAGCGATCACAACCCCACTGACCGGCGCCAGCCTAGACCAATAGATATCCGCAGACTGGTCGGCTCCGCCTCTCGACGACGAGCGACGCTCGCGGCGACCAATTGGGCCCATCGGGCAGCGCTAGGGGGCGGGGCCAAAGTCCAAGACCGGCCTCCCTCCGGGACCGACACCAACCTGAGCCTACGACTGCCTGATCTGCCTAGGGCCCTACCCTACAACAAGTGAAGGACACCAGTCGTGTCCAATTGCAGGCCGTCTTAGTTCCAAATGACAAATACAGTACCCAGTCGCCATGCAGCCTAGGCCGGAACCCAGCCTCTGTGAGGGACAGTAGCCAATGAAATGAAAGGAGGAGGGGCTAAGGGACGGGTTGTCCAATGAACGGAGGTAGAAGGCGTGGCCCGAACGTTTGTTGACCGGCTAGTCGCAGTTCCTGCTGGGAACCGTAGTCTTCTCACGTCTTCGGCCCATAGCCGACAGTACAAGGCAGACTACAACTCCCATGTGACAGAGTGCTTGGAGCACCAAAGAAACCCGGCGAGGAGAAAAAGTCGAAAAGGGCAGTTCGTCGTGAGTCTCACTGGACGCCAGGAGTATCTTAGACCCAGGGCCCCGACTCACCCGTATTCCTGGCTCTGGCGTCGCCGGTGGCTCCTCTCAGTGGCAGCGGTAGCGGCACGAGGGGGAGGTGCAAGGAGCAGCCAACCGCCACCCGCGAGCCCCGCAGCCAATCAGCAGCGGCCGGGGCGGTGCAATGACCTCACCGGTTCTACTCTCTTACCCCTCCCCCACGTGGTTGTTGCTGCCGGTAGACGGAGTAGGGAAGTTTGGATTGGGGGAGGGGAGGAGAACCAGTGATGTCACCTTTCCCCTTGTTGATTGGCTGCCGGGTGGCCGGGACTACGACCAATTGACGGTCTCGAAAAGTCTGGCGCGGCCCCGCGGAAAGCCCTGTTGCCACCGGGAGGGGAGAGAACGCGCGCTTGTGGGGTGTCGCGCGCTGCAGTATAGGCAACGCGCGCGGCCTGGGGCCCGGGGGACAGGTCACCTCCTCCAAGAGTTTGACATTTAGGACAGCGCAGTTTGACAGCCCACTAGGCATTGGGGCAGGGGGCCGAGATGACGAAATGCAGCGCTTCTTGGGGCTTCGCACTGCATTACGTGGAGAGCTACACTTTGTGGGTGTACGCCCCTGACAGAGGCAGATTTTTAAAGATCCCAGGGGTAGGAGGGTATCACACTGGAGTGGAGGAGGACAGGGAGATGCCCTGTTTGTAGTAGATGCCTGCTGCCCAGATACGGGTTTACAACCAGATGGTGAACCTGTCTGCAATGCATCTATGCCCTCCACTTTGTATTCGCCCTGGTCCGAGGCTAATGGGAAGCAATATGGGTACGCTGGCCGCAGGGAGGCTTTCTTTTGCCTGTGACAGGTTCAGATTCCACACTGGAATTCACACCACTTGTGAGGAAACTGCATCCAGTCTATTGCAAGTCATACTGTCCATGAAACACTCAAACTACGTGTGAAAGAATGTGCTAGGGCATAGAGCTAGTTCATAGCATAGAAGAAATATTAGTTGTCCAATGGGGTTCATGGAATATGAAGGATATTCACATCTATGAGAAAGTCCCACTGTTCACAAATTATTTGTGTTGAGATTGGGGGAAATTCACTGTCCACGAGGAGTTCACACTCGGAAGGAATCTTATAACCTACACTGTTGTTATTATTATTATTATTTTTTTCCCCGAAACAGAGTCTTGCTCTGTCGCCCAGACTGGAGTGCAATGTCGCAACCTCGGCTCACTGCAACCTCCGCCTCCTGGGTTCAAGTGTTTCTCCTGTCTAAGCCTCCTGAGTAGCTGGGATTACAGGCACACACCACCACACCCGGCTAATTTTTGTATTTTTAGTACACACGGGGTTTCACCATGTTGGTCAGGATGGTCTTGAACTCCTGACCTCATGATCCACCCACTTCGGCCTCCCAAAGTACTGGGATTACAGGCGTGAGCCACTGCGCCCGGCCCTGTTACATTATTTATATAATCTTAAACTATCATACTACTAGTACTACTGCAATATAATTGTATTTATTTATTTATTTATTTATTTGAGATGGAGTCTCGCTCTGTTGCCCAGGCCGGAATGCAGTGGCATGATCTCGGCTCACTGCACACTCCGCCTCCCGGGTTCACGCCTCAGGCTCCCGAGTAGCTGGGACTACAGGCGCCCGCCACTGCGCCCGGCTAATTTTTTGTATTTTTAGTAGAGACGAGGTTTCACTGTGTTAGCCAGGATGGTCTCGATCCCCTGACCTCGTGATCTGCACGCCTCGGCCTCCCAGAGTGCTGGGATTACAGGTGTGAGCCACTGCACCCGGCCTATTTATTTATTTTTAATTAAATTTGTTTTTTTTTGAGACGGAGTCTTGCTCTGTCACCCAGGCTGGAGTGCAGTGGCGCGATCTCGGCTCACTGCAACCTGTGCCTCCTGGGTTCAAGCGATTCTCCTGCCTTAGCTTCCTAAGTAGCTGGGATTACAGGCGCATGCCACCATGCCTGGTTAATTTTTGTATTTTTAGTAGACACGGGGATTCACCATTTTGGTCAGGCTGGTCTCGAACTCCTGACCTCATGACCTGCCCACCTCGGCCTCTCAAAGTGCTGGGATTACAGGCATGAGCCACTGCTCCCGGCCTAATTTTATTTATTTTTATTTTATTATTATTTTTTTCAGACAGGGTCTCACTCTGTCGCCCAGGCTGGAGTGCAGTAGCAGCATCATAGCTCACTGCAACCTTGAGTGCCTGGGCTCAAGCAATCTTCCTGCCTCAGCCTCCTGAGTAGCTGGGACCACAGGCATGCACCACCATGCCCTGCTAATTTTTTTTTTTTTTTTGTAGAGATGGAGTCTCACTATGTTGTCCAGGCTGGTCTCCAATTTCTAGCCTCAAGCCATCCTTCCATCTTGGCCTCTCAAAGTGCTGGGATCATAAGCATAAGCCGCTGCATCTAGCCGTTAATGTAATCCTAAAAGACAATTCATCCTTCCATATTGGGTGGACCCGGAGTTGAGGGAGGTTTGACAAAGCAGTTTATATTGTGCACATTGGGTAGATGCTGAATCTGGGGGAAATTTACACTCAAGAGAGTGCACACTGCCTTTGTAGGTAGCCCCATGGGGAGTGCTTCATGCTATCACAAAAGGGGTTCACAGCAGCCACAGAGAGTTCTCCATGCATGGAGATGTGCCCTGTCTGTGTTAACTTTGTCATCGATATGAAAGAGATTACAATGTCTGTGGGGAGGCTCATAAGGGACAGAGGTTCACATTGCCCATGGGAGCTTACATTATGTTTGGGGGAGATTTTTATTGATCAGGGTAGGGTTTTGTGTTCCACAGTCCGTTTGCATCAGGAGTGAGGGAGAATTAGACTTTTAGCAGAGAGGTGTGTACTCTGCATGAGGGAATTCACTTGGCCTAGGGAGCCTGCTGCAGTGAAAGGAGGTCTCGACTGTCAGTTTAGGATGTTCTCTGGCTGTGGTGAATTTGTAATGTCCATGTAGGGATTCCCCCTGCTTACAAGAGTTATACCATGTTGGGATGCCAAGAAGGCAGATCACTTGAGGTCAGGAGTTCAAGACCAGCCTGGCCAACATGGTGAAACTCCATCTCTACTAAAAATACAAAAATTCGGCTGGGTGTGATGGCTCACGCCTGTACTCCCAGCACTTTGGGAGGCTGAGGTGGGTGGATCACCTGAGATCAGGAGTTTGAGACCAGCCTGGCCAATATGGTAAAACCCTGTCTCTACTAAAAATACCACAAAAATTAGCAAGGCATGGTGACGGGTGCCTGTAATCCCAACTACTCGGGAGGCAGAGGCAAGAGAATTGCTTGAGCCCAGGAGACAGAGGTGGCAGTGAGCTGAGATTGCGCCATTGCACTCCAGCCTGAGCAACGGAACAAGACTGTGTCTCCAAAAAATAAAAATACAGGCCAGGCGCGGTGGCTCATGCCTGTACTCCCAGCGTTTTGGGAGGCTAAGGCGGGCGGATCACGAGGTCAGGAGATCAAGACCATCCTGGCTAACACAGTGAAACCCCGTCTCTATTAAAAATACAAAAAATTAGCTGGGTGTGGTAGCACACGCCTGTAGTGGGCAACAGAGTGAGACTCCGTCTCAAAAAAAAGAAGAAATGGCCGGGTGCGGTGGCTCACACCTGTAATCCTAGCACTTTGGGAGGCCGAGGCGGGCGAATCACCTGAGGTCAGGAGTTTGAGACCAGCCTGGCCAACATGGAGAAACCTCATCTCTACAAAAATACAAAAATTAGCCGGGCGTGGCGGCAAGCGCCTATAATCCCAGCTACTTGGGAGGCTGAGGTGGGAGAATCACTTGAACCTGGAAGGTGGTGGTTGCAGTGAGCCAAGATCGTGCGACAGAGCGAGACTCTGCCTCATGATCTCAAAAAAAAAAAAAGAAATTATACTGCCTCGATAACACTCACAAGTAGATTGTGTGGGGCACAAATTGGTTTTTTGTTTGTTTGTTTGTTTGTTTGTTTTGAGACAGTCTTGCTCTGTTGGCCAGAGCTAGAGTGCAGTGGTAATACCTCACCTTACTGCAGCCTCCGCCTCCCGGGTTTAAGCGATTCTCATGCCTCAGCTTCCCAAGTAGTTGAGATTACAGGTGCACGTCACCACACCTGGCTAATTTTTTTGTATTTTTAGTAGAGACAGGGTTTCACCATGTTGGTGAGGCTGGTCTCGAACTCCTGACCTTAAGTGATCCAGTCACCTCAGCCTCCCAAAGTGCTGGGATTACAGGCATGAGCCACTGCGCGTGACCCACAAATTATTTATATGCTATCTTGCCATCTATATGAGAGACTCACAATGCATTTGAGGGTCTCACTTTCTACACTGGGGCTCACACTGTATGTGGGGGTTTATTAGTTATGGACATTGCACCATTTGTATGGGTTCATATTTTTTGTGGGTTGGACCAGGTGAATGTGCACTCAGTTCACTTACTTCAGCAAATACATATTATCAGCCTATTCTCTCTCTTTTTTTTTTTTTTTTTTTTTTTTGAGACAGAGTCTCGCTCTGTTGCCCAGACTGGAGTGCAGTGGCGTGATCTCAGTCCGCTGCAACATCTGTCTCCTGGGATCAATCAATTCTCCTGCCTTAGCCTCCCGAGTAGCTGGGACTACAGGTGCATACCACCATGCCCGGCTAATTTTTTGTATTTTTAGTAGAGATGGAGTTTCACTGTGTTAGCCAGGATGGTCTCCATCTTGGGACCTCATGATCCGCCTGCCTCGGCCTCCCAAAGTGCTGAGATTATAGACATGAGCCATCGTGCCCAGCCAATATTACAAACCTATTCTATGACACTCACTGGTCTAGGCGCTGGTGACAAGGCAGTGAAAAATATAGACTGAATCCAGTTCGGTTCAGTGGCTCAGGCCTGTAATTCCAACACTTTGGGAGGCCAAGGCAGGTGGATCATTTGAGGTCAGGAGTTTGAGACCACCCTGACCTGTAATCCCAGCTACTCAGGAGGCTGAGGCAGGAGAATTGCTTGAACCCGGGAGGCAGAGGTTGCAGTGAACCGAGATTGTGCCATTGCACTCCAGCCTGGGCAACACACAAGAACGAAACTCTGTCTCAGAAAAATATAAATAAATAAATAAATAAATAAAATAAGCTGGATACAATGCCTCCCGCTTGTAATCCCAGCACTTTGGGAGGCTGAGACAGGAGGATCACTTGAGTCCAGGAGTTTGAGACCAGCCTGAGCAACATAGTGAAACCCCATCTCAACAAAAAAATACACAAAAAAATTAGCCAGGAGTGGTTGGGCATGGTGACTCACGCCTGTAATCCCAGCACTTTGGGAGGCCGAGGTGGGCAGATCACAAGGTCAGGAGTTTGAGACCAGCCTGGCCAATATGGTGGAACCCCGTCTCTACTAAAATTACAAAAATTAGTCGGGCGTGGGGGCAGGCGCCTGTAGTCCCAGCTACTCAGGAGGCTGAGGCAGGAGAATCCCTTGAACCCGGGAGGCGGAGGTTGCAGGGAGCTGAGATCACGCCATTGCACTCCAGCCTGGCAACAGAGCGAGACTCCATCTCAAAAAAAAAAAAAAAAAAAAAAATTAGCCAGGAGTGGTGGCATATGACTTGGTCCCACTTACTTGGGAGGCTGAGGTAGGAGGATGGCTTGAGCCTGGCAGGCGGAGGTTGCAGTGAGCCGAGATGGTGTCACTGCACTCCACCCTGGGCAACAGAGCCAAACCCTATCTCGAAAAAAGGAAGAAAAAAGTAGCTGATTCTAGAATAGTCAAAGGTAGAGCTGGTGGAAATTCCCTTCAGATTGGATATCGGATGAGAGAAAGGGGGCAAGGATGACTCCAAGGTATTCAGCCTGAACAGCCAGCAAAATGGAATTGCAATTTCCTGAGATGGGGAAGCTTGTGGGGGCAGCAGTTTGGGGGAGTTCAGGAAGACCATTTTTGATTTGGCAAGCTTGAGAAATCCAGATAGACACACTGGTGAGGTAGTTGGATGTGCCAGATTGGAGTTCAGGGGAGAGTCGAGATTGAGATAGAATTGTGGGCGGAGGCTGGGCGCGGTGGTTCACAGCTGTAATCCCAACACTATTGGGAGGCTGAGGTGGGAGCATCACTTGAGCCCAGGAGTTCAAGACCAGTCTGGCCAACATAGTAAGATCCCCATCTCTCCAAAAAGATACAAAAATTAGCCAGGTGTGGTGGTGCACAGCTGTAGTCTCAGCTGCTCAGGAGGCTGAGGTGGGAGGATCACCTGAGCCTAAGGGTGTCAAGGCTGCTGTGAGCTGTGATCGCACCACTGCACTCCAGCCAGACAACAGAGTGAGACCCTGTCAAGAAGGAAAAAGAGGAAAGAAAGAAAGAGAGAGAGAGAGAGATCAGAGACGAGAGAGAGAGAGAGAGAGAGAGGGAGGGAGGGAGACAGAAGGAGAGGAGAGAGATAAATAAACCAATAAATAAATAAATAACTGTGGGTGTAATCAGCATAGAGATGGCATATCCACTGTGGGACTGGTGGAGGTTATCAAGGGAATGAGTCTAGACAGGAGAAAAGAGGGATCTGAGCCCTGGTGCCTTCAGCATCTTCAGTCAGGGAGATGAGAAAGAGTGATACTCTAAGGGGGTGACATTCTGTTTAGAGGTGGTCACACTGTGTATGGTGGCTATACCATATGAGATGAGTCATACTATTCATTTTTTAAATTTTTGTTTTGTTTTGATAGAGAACACTGCAACAGGGTTTTGCAGAGGGGGAGAGATTGGACTCAATCCCCCGCATCACACTATCTTTTTTTCTTAAGAAACAGGGTTAGGCCGGGTGCAGTGGCTCACGCCTGTAATCCCAGCACTTTTGGAGGCTGAGGCAGGCGGATCACGAGGTCAGGAGATCGAGACCATCCTAGCTAACATGGTGAAAGCCCATCTCTACAAAAAATACAAAAAATTAGCTGGGCGTGGTGGCGGGCCTCTGTAGTCCCAGCTACTTGGGAGGCTGAGGCAGGAGAATGGCGTGAACCCGGGAGGCTGAGTTGCAGTGAGCTGAGATTGCGCCACTGCACTCCAGCCTGGGCGACATGGTGAGACTCCGTCTCAAAAAAAAAAAAAGAAAGAAAGAAACAGGGCTCGGTGGCTCACGCCTGTAATCCCAGCACTTTGGGAGGCTGAGGCAGATCACGAGGTCAGGAGTTCAAGACCAGCCTGTCCAACATGTTGAAACCCCATCTCTACTAAAAATACAAAAATTAGCCGGGCATGGTGGTGGGCACCTGTAATCCCAGCTACTTGGGAGGCTGAGGCAGAAGAATAGGTTGAACCCGGGAGGCGGTGGTTGCAGTGAGCCAAGATTGTGCCACTGCACTCCAGCCTGGGTAATAGAGAAAGACTCTGTCTCGGGGGGGAAGAAAACAGGGTTTTCAGCCAGGCGTGGTGGCGGGTACTTGTAATCGCAGCTACTTGGGAGGCTGAGGCAGAATTGCTTGAACCCAAGAGGTGGAGGTGACAGTGAGCCGAGATCGTGCCAACGCACTCCAGCCTGGGTGACGAAGCGAAATTCCACCTCAAAAAAAAAATAATAAATAAAAAATAAAAAAGCTGGGTGTGGTGGCTCAGGCCTGTAATCTCAGCACTTCAGGAGGCCAAAGAGGGTGGTTACCTGAGGTCAGGAGTTTGAGACCAGCGTGGCAACATGGTGAAACCCTGCCTCTACTAAAAATACAAAAACAAATTAGCTGGGCATGGTGGCGTGCGCCTGTAATCCTAGCTACTCGGGAGTCTGAGGCAGGAGAATCACTTGAACCCAATCTCAGCTCACTGCAACATCTGTCTCCTGGGTTCAATCGATTCTCCTGCCTCAGCCTTCTGAGTAGCTGGGGTTACAGGCACCCGACACCATGTCCAGCTAATTTTTGTAGTTTTAGTAGAGACAGGGTTTCACCATGTTGGCCAGGCTGGACTTGAACTCCTGACCTCAGGTGATCCACCTGCCCACCTCAGCCTCCCAAAGTGCTGGGATTACGGGCATGAGCCACCGCACCTGGCCAATATTTCACCATCTCTACCATCTCTGGGGGTGGGTATCAGTGTTGATAAAGCAATTGGAGTCACATAGGCCACTGAAAGATTACAATATCCATGGACACGTTTGCACAAACCACCAAACTTAAGAGGCCCAGACGACATTTTCACGAGGGACTTTCACTCTCCGCGGATCGTTCAGATTCTCCCACGAGGCATGCCGATCATCCGTGATTGTGTTTCATAGAAACACTGAGTTTGAGCCAACCATCTGGGTCAGAGTGGGATTATGACATTAATACACAATTTCACACTGTCAGTGCAGTGTGCTTTATTTTTTTAAATTTTATTTTTAAGAAAAAATGTCCCTTAACACCTAGGTGATGGGTTGATAGGTGCAGTAAACCACCATGACACACGTTTACCTATGTAACAAACCTGTACGTCCTGCACATGTATCCCAGAACTTAAAATAAAAATTAAAAAAAAAAAAAAGAAGAAAAAGAAAACATAAGCCTGGGCTGCCCTTTGGACACCACGGACACAGATCTGCCAGTAAGAACCATCCTCCCGGCCAGGCTTGGTGGCTCACGCCTGTAATCCCAGCTCTTTGGGAGGCCGAGGTGGGCGGATCACCTGAGGTCAGGAGTTCGAGACCAGCCTGGCCAACATGGAGAAACCCCATCTCTACTAAAAACACAAAATTAGCCGGGCGTGGTGGCGCAAGCCTGTAATCTAGGCTACTCGGGAGGCTGAGGCAGGAGAATTGCTTGAACCTGGGAGGAAGAGGTTGCAGTGAGCTGAGATCCTGCCACTGCACTGCATCCTGGGTGACACAGGGAGACTCCATCTCAAATAAATAAAAAAAAAAATAAATAAATTTTTTGTAGAGAGAGTCTCACTCTGTTGCCCAGGCTGGTCTTGAACTCCTGGCCTCTTGAAATTCTCCTGCTTCGGCCTCCCAAAGTGCTGGGATTACATGTGTCAGACACAAACTGCAGCCAGCCTGTTTATTGCTGTTTACTCTAACTGTTGTTACAGTTGGAGTCTGTAGGGTAGAGTGCTCTTGTTATCCATGGGGCATAGAGTTCACTCTGCTAATAATTATTAACAGTATTTATTGCATACTTACTTTGCATCTCTGATTTTTCTTTTTTTCTTTTTTTTTTTTTTTTAAGACGGAGTATCGCCCTGTCACTCAGGCTGGAGTGCAATGGCATGATCTCGGCTCACTGCAACCTCCGCCTCCCGGGTTCAAATGATTCTCCTGCCTTAGCCTCCTGAGTAGCTAGGATTACAGGCGCCAGCCACCACGCCCAGCTAATTTTTGTATTTTTAATAGAGACGGGTTTTCACCATGTTGGCCAGGATGGTCTGGAACTCCTGACCTCAGGTGATCCACCTGCCTCGGCCTCACAAAGTGCTGGGATTACAGGTGTGAGCCACCTCGCCTGGCCACATCTCTGATTTTTCACAATAACTTGATCATGTAGGATCTATTAACACCTCCATTTTACAAATGAGGAAAATTGAGGCTCAAAGAGGTGAACTTGGCCAGGCGCAGTGGCTCACGCCTGTAATCCCAGCACTTTGGGAGGCCAAGGAGGGCGGATCACGAGGTCAGGAGATCGAGACCATTCTGGCTAACACGGTGAAATCCCGTCTCTACTAAAAATACACAAAATTAGCTGGGCGTGATGGCGGGTGCCTGTAGTCCCAGCTACTCGGGAGGCTGAGGCAGGAGAATGGCGTGAACCCGGGAGGCGGAGCTTACAGTGAGCCGAGATAGCGCCACTGCAGTCTGGCCTGGGCGAAAGAGCGAGACTCCATCTCAAAAAAAAAAAAAAAAAAAAAGAGGTGAACTTCGCTAGGCAGGGTGACTCACACCTGTAATTCCAGCACTCTGGGAGGCCAAGGTGGGCGGATCGTTTGAGCCCAGGAGTTGGAGACTATCCTGGTCAACACAGAGAGACCCCAACTCCACTAAAAATAAAAAAAAATTAGCTGGGTTGGCTGGGCATGGTGGCTCACGCCTGTAATCCCAGCACTTTGGGATGCTGAGGCGGGTGGATCATCTGAGGTCAGGAGTTCAAAACCAGCCTGACCAACATGGAAAAACCCCGTCTCTACTAAAAATACAAATTAGCTGGGCGTGGTGGCGCATGCCTGTAATCCTAGCTACTCGGGAGGCTGAGGCAGGAGAATTGCTTGAACCCAGGAGACGGAGGTTGCGATGTGCCAAGATGGTGTCACTGCACTCCAGCCTGGGCAAGGAGAGCAAAACTGCGTCTCAAAAAAAAAAAAAAAAAAAAAAAGCTGGGCATGGTGGTGGGCGCTTGTAATTCCAGCTACTCAGGAGGCTGAGACAGGAAAATTGCTTGAACCAGGGAGGCAGAGGTTGCAGTGGGCCAAGATCGTGCCATTGCACTTACAGCCTGGGTGACAAGAGCAAAATTCCATCTCAAAAAAAAAAAAAAGTAACTGGGCATGGTGGCATGTGTCTGTAGTCCCAGCTACTCAGGAGGCTGAAGTGGGAGAATTGCTTGAGGCAGGGAAGTCGAGGCTGTAGTGAGCCATTATTGTGCCACTGCAATCCAGCCTGGGCAACACAGTGAGACCCCCATCTCAAAAAAAAAAAAAAAAAAAAAAAGAGGTGAACTGAGTTCACTTGCCTTGTCAGAGACAAGAAGTAGCAAAGGTTGGGTGTAACAGCCAGGTGTGGTGGCTCACACATGTAATCCCAGCACTTTGGGAGGCTGAGGCTGGCGGATCACGAGGTCAGAAGATTGAGACCATCCTGGCTAACACGGTGAAACCCTGTCTCTACTAAAAATACAAAAGATTAGCCGGGCGTGGTGGGGGGCGCCTGTAGTCCCAGCTACTCAGTAGGCTGAGGCAGGAGAATGGCGTGAACCCGGGAGGCGGAGCTTGCAGTGAGCCGAGATGGGGCCACTGCACTCCACCCTGGACGACAGAGTGAGACTCCGTCTCAAAAAAAAAAAAAAAAGGTTGGGTGTAACTCATCTCTGTCTTGCTGGTGGGAGGGTAGGGGTCACTGGGTTTGTTACTGATGTGTTATCTTTTTGTTTGTTTGTTTGTTTTGAAACTGAGTTTCGCTCTTGTTGCCCAGGCTGGAGTGCAATGGCGCGATCTCAGCTCACCGCAACCAACCCCCTCCCGGGTTCAAGCGATTCTACCTTAGCCTCCCGAGCAGCTGGGATTACAGACATGCACCACCAAGCCCGGCTAATTTTTTGTATTTTTAGTAGGGACGGGGTTTCTCCATGTTGGTCAGGCTGGTCTCGAACTACAGACCTCAGGTGATCCACCTGCCTCGGCCTCCCAAAGTGCTGGGATTACAGGCGTGAGCTACCGCGCCCAGCCTTTTTATTTATTTATTTTTAGACGGAGTTTTGCTGTTACCCAGGGTGGAGTGCAGCGGAGCGATCTCGGCTCACTACAGCCTCCGCCTCCTGGATTCAAGCGATCCTCCTGGGTTCAAGCGATTCTCCTGCCTCAGCCTCCTGAGTAGCCGGGATTACAGGTGCGCCACCACGCCTGGCAAATTTCTGTACTTTTAGTAGAGATGGGGTTTCACCATGTTGGCCAGGCTGGTCTGGAACTTCTGACCTGAAGTGATCTCCCGCCTCGGCTCCCAAAGTGCTAGGTTTACAGGCGTGCGCCACTGCGCCGGGCCCTGATGTAGTATCTTTGAAAATCTGCATTTTTTTTTTTTTGGAGGGGGTAGTAAAAGAGGTAATAAAGCATAATGGTAAAGGGTAAATGTGGTGGTTTGGAATTGGTTAGATCTGGGTTCGAATCTTAGTTCCAATACTTCCTGGCTGTAAGATTTAGTGGACTGATTTTCCCTCAGAGAGCATCACTTTCTTTATCTGTAAATGGGGATAACAGCAGTAATTCCCCTCGTTGGGATTTTGTGAGGATTAAATGAGAAGATGCCCCTGACAATGCTTGGCCCGGTGCCTGGCACATCATGAACACTCGGAATTCGGGAGCTGTTATTCGAACAATGAAGATGATTATTATTGCTGGACCACACCGCTCCCAGAGGGTTACAATATCCGTGGGGGAGCTGTACTGTCCGTAGGCAAGGTTACATAATTCCCGGGGGTTGTGGGGGAAAGCTTCCCTGGAGCCCTTGGTCTCCCCAAGGAGGAGGCCTGAGACTTTTTTTTTTAGGCACTGGTGAGGAGCCTGTCTAAGGTGGACTAGGTACCCCGCAAGCGAGGAGGCTGGGATTGAAGCCCTGGGTACCGGGAGCCTGAGCTCCGCAGGCCTTCCCTATCTGTGACTTTTCTGTCTCCCCGCCCATCTTCTGGATTCGTCCCCCACCCAGCCCCCCCAACTCCCGCCCGCCACCCATACGCCCCTCCTTCGGAACCTCAGAGTCTTTTTTGAGACTCTGTTTCCAGGCTATGCCTGTGAATATTGCTTCTATTTGGCCTCTACCCTGCTGCCGGCTCCTGGGCTCCATCAGATCTGCGCTGTGATTTCCTGTTTCCCAGAGCCTCAGGCTTCATCCTTCCCTCCCGGCTGAGGCAGAGAACGGAGACTTAACACTTCTCTACGCTCTGGCTTTCGATCTTAAGCCCTGTCTTCCTCTCTCCTGGCGACCCTCAGTGCCCCTTGGGAGCACATTTGTTCAGACTTTGGTCGCCCCCTCGTATCCCGGCCCCGCCTCCGGAACCCCCGGTCCTAGTAGTGGACGTGGGGGGACCTCCGGCGCCAGCCCTATCCCCGGGACAGCTGCAGCCTGGGGACGGTGGTGGTGGGGGCTTCCAAATGCATTCTCTCTGGTCACTTCCTCCCCAGCTGGACGGGGGTTATCAGGGAAGCCAAGACCCCATCCCCACAGGAGCGGAGGGCACAGCCGCCTCCCCATTTCCGATGCTGGGAAATGCATCCCACCCATTCCACCCCACCCCTGGACAGCTGCCCCCATTCAGGCTCAGGGTTGGGGGGTTGGGTAAAACCAAGCTGGGAAATGCTGTGGTCTTCATCATCTTCTAAGGTCCTGACCCCGCCCCTCTGCAGAGAAGATTCTGCCCCCTCCCCACAAAAGTTTCTGACCCCCGCTTCCTCGGAAGGGCCCCCCGTTTTCCCATACAGGCTCCCAAAAGAAACTCTGGAGCCCGCAGTGGGCAGGAGAGGAGGAGGGGCAGCAGGTAGCGAGTGCCGAAGACTTAAGTTAGCTGCAGACTCGGAGCCTCTGACTAGGGTCATGACCCGCGGGACCCCATCCCACCCCCACCCCCTCCTTCCTCCCTCCCCCGCCGCGCGGCCCCTTTAAGCCCAGAGCCGGCCGGTCCTCAGTGGCTGCGCGCCGACGAGCGTGTGTGTGAGTGCGCGGGGAGGGGGCGGGCGCAGTGTCTCCATGGCGACGCGGCGGTGACGTCGCCGGCCGGGGGGCGTGGGCGTCCCGGCCCCGGAGTGCGATATTAACCCGGGAGGCGGCGGCGGGGAGGGGAGAGGCTCTGAGAGGCGAGGCCGGGTGAGGCGGCGAGGGCGGCCCGACGGGCGCGGGACGGGACGGGGCAGCGAGGGCGCCGGGAGCCGCGGCCCGGAATCGGGGCGCTTCGCCCCGGGCCCCCCAGCATGAAGACCCCGGCGGACACAGGTGGGGGCGGGGGCAGCACGTGTGGGGGAGACTTGTTGCCCCGGGAAACCGAACGGAGAAACTTTGGGGGGGCTGAAGGGGTCCGGGGGAGCCCGAGTGATCCCCAGTTCTGGGGGACCCCTCAAGCACTGGAGACCTGTTGCTTCTCGTGGCGCGAGCGGGGTTGCTGCCTGGGACCCCCGATTCCTGGCTCCGGGCGGAGTGGTGTGGGTGCTGCGGGTCTTGGTCCTGTATCCCTACCGGGACCCCGCAGGCCGGGCTCTCCCCCACTCCCGGGATCACGGGGGTGGCGGGGTCCTTCCCCTCCGCTCTTGTCACGTTGCACTCTGGGGGCCGGGACGTGTGCGGGGCGGGGGGGCTCGTCCACCGGGCCCGCTATCCCTGGTTCTGCGCTGCGCGGTCCTGCTGGTGACCTTCACGGCGGCGCGTGCCCTGCACCAGGTTAGCGGGGGATACGGGATGGCCTCTAGGAGGAGGGCGTGAGTGGGGAGCCCGGGACTCGGGGTCCTGGCTGCGCCGCCCCTCCCCCGCCCGCCTCTGTCGGCTCCTCGCTCCCCCGCCCTCGCCGAGTCGCAAAGTTCCAAAGCGCAGCCCGAACGTTCGAAAAAGGAACTTTTTGTTTCCGACCTTAGAACGCGCGGCTTTAAGGTGGCTCCGGGGAGACCTGGGTACCCTCCTCCCGCGCCACCGGTGGCCCGGGGTTGAGGAGGGTGGGGAAGGTGGGGGGAGACGCAGAGGCTCCCCCCTCGCCCCCCCTCCCGGATCCACCTCTTCTCTTTCAGCGGGCCGTCTCTTCCCTCCGCCCCTCTCTTCCCCGCCAACTTGCTCCTCCTTAAGGGGCCAAGGTTCCCCTCCCCCTCGGTCGGCGGGCGGGGGGCAGCGGGATTAACTCCCCCTCCCACTCGGACTTTTCCCCCTCCCCTCCCCCGCCGCCCCCGGGCTCGCGCGGGCTGGACTTTGCGCCCGAGCGCGCAGGGGGAGGGGTCCCAGCCGCCCCCTGCCCGTCTACCCCGTCGGAATCCGGCCCGGGGCGGGGACGGGGGAGGGGGAAGGGGGCCGGGCGCCGCTGTTCAAACTTGTTTCCTTCCCCCGGCGGCGGCGGCGGCGGCGGCGGCGGCTCGGGCTCCTGTGTGCGGGTGTGTGCCCCGACCGGCCCACCCACCCCACCCCATCCCCACCCCATTCCCACCCCATTCCCATCCCCATCCCCCTGCTCGGCGGGTGGGGGCGGCTTAATCTTAAAGGGCTCCGAGCTGGGATCCGGCGCCAGGGGATTGGGACCCGGACCGAGGAGGGGCCCTGGGGGTGGGGCCGGGGTGCGGAGTGCGGTAGGGTCAGTCACGTGCGTCCTACACACTCCCCCGGCTTCCACTCGCTCCCGGGTGGCTGGGCCCTGGGGGCAGCAGGAGCCTACCCTCGCCCAAGGAGGAGGCCGAGGCACCCAGACAACCTCGCTTCATCTTCTCTCCCTGCTACCGGCCTTGGCCTGATAGGATCCGCGGGTCGCTTCCCCAACCCTGTCGGGGGGCGGGACAGTGTGTGGGTTTTCCGGCTGGGGGAGGGGAGGGGAAGGAGGCCTGGAATGGCCTCCGATCGGTGCATCTTTCCCGTCTGCCTCCTGGCCTGCCGCTCCGCACCCCTCCATCCAGTTCTCCATCCCGGTCCCTCTCTCTGCCGTGGCTGTTTCCCACTTCCTGTTTTCTTCCCGGCTCTGGCGCCATAGAGGGCCGCCTGGAGTGGGGGAGGTGGTGGGGCCCCCCAGGAGGCCGGCGTGTTCTTCCTCTGCCACCACTCCTCCCTTCCGACCCTCATAGTCCCTTAAAAAAAGTTTGGGCCGTCACGTGAGGTTGGGGGGTGCCCAGGAGTTTTGTCCCCCCAGGCTTGCATAGTCTGTCTGGGAGAATCCCTACCCCGCCTCTGTGGGACCCAGGTGTGCTTCTGGGACCTCGCCATCCCAGCCCTTGCTGTCTGACTGCTGCCACTTCTGCACTCTGTCTCGCAGTCTCCTGAACCCCTCTCTCCATGTGCCTGCTCTCTCCCTGCCTCACTGGCCCCCATGTTCCCGAGGTCCCGCACCCCCAAGCTTCCTCCGTGCAGGTCTGGTGTTTCCCTGTTTTAAGCACGTGGACGCATACACAGCACACTCACACATGCTCCCCTTGCCCGTGCCTGGCTCCTGGCTCCAAGGCCTGGGGAACAGAGCCCCATTGAGACACCCTGACGTCACCCCCTCTTCATTCTCCCCCCCCCAAAGCCGGGAACAGGCCTTCATGTATGCTGTGTCCGATGAGGAAAGCCGCCGTTGTGGTGGGCTTGGGAGTGGGGAAGGGTCCCTGCCAGAAGTGGGAGCCAGGGTCCAGGCCCTGGAGGAGGGGTTGCTCAGGGAAGGGGTTTAACAAGGGGGCCTGGGACAGCTCCCAGAATGCGGCTTGAGGCCTTTCCAGAGCCCCCCCACCTCCTTTCCGAGTTCCCTTTGTGTTGCATGTAGTCTCTCTCACTCCCTCTCTTCTGCAAAGTTTATTTTTAGCCTCCTGCTCCCCCGCTCCCAGGACTGTCGCTGCACACACGTTGCCTGGTTACCGGGACACGGAGGCTGGGGCGGGTGGGCTGGGAAGGGTGGCTTTAATTTTGGGGGGAGGGTGGAAGTCAGTACATCCCCCACCCCCAGATTGATGTCTCAGGGGCTTTGGCCCCCCTTCTAGGTCTAGAGCCAGATTGGGGCTGAGGTGGAAGTAACATGGAGCTTGGTTCCCTGAGAGGGGCTGGGAGCTTTTTGGAGGGGATATGAGGGTCCATGAAGCTGGTGGCTGGGTCACCTGGGTTCCAAAGGACCCTGGGCCTTGCAGGAGACCTTGTGATCTGGATTCTCTAGAAGGGTGAGGATAATGGGTTGAACACCTAGATTCCCAAGAGAGCGATGGTGCTCTGGGGTCTCTGGAAGGGGTTGTCAAAGGCTGTCACTTTTAAATGGAACAGGGGCTGTTGGTGCTGGTCTGTGAACAGCTGGAGGTCATATCCCTGGCACCCTGAGGGGCTGGTGGAAGGCTGGGATATATCTGAATGGGGCAGGGACTCCGGGGGCTATGTGGTACTGCAGCCCAGTCTGGGCAGGAGTTGGGGGCCTACAGTGAGCTCTGGATTTGGAGGGGGTGGTCCCTGTGGGAGCAGGAACTACTGATTCCCTGGATTCCCAAGGGGAAGGATCCCTTGTTGGATTCCAGACTTGGGTGGAGTCTTTGAGGGTGGATGTGTTGCCTGGAGGCCTTGTTGGTACCTGTTTGAGCTGGGGCCAAGGGAGGCGGATTGACCCCTGCAGCCTGACTGGATTTGGGAGCCGCCCATCTTTAGCTGGCCACCTTGGCCTTCTCTCTCTAGTGGCACCAGGGACCCTGCTCTGCCTCCCCACTCCTTCCCTTCCTCCCCTTTCCCTCCTCCCACCCCTCCATTACCGGCTGCCTGGTGCTGAATTATTGATGGCCCCTGTTGTTGGGAAATGACAACAACCGCAGTCCCCCCACCCCCCACCCCCCACCCCAGGCTGCCCACCCCCTCCAGAGACCAGCCAGCCCACCGCCAACCTCTACCCAAGGTTAATGCTGGGGGTGGGCAGGCAGGTGGGCAGGGAAGGAGCTGAAGATGAGAAGGCAGAAGTGGGAAGAGGGTGACAGCTCCAGGGTGCCTGCTCAAGCTCCAGGCCTGGGCTGGGCCCTCCAGCCAGGTGGGGCCTGGATGCCTGGGTCTGGGGAGGGCAGTGTAGCTCAGAGGGTCCAGGGCTTGGGGGGCCTCTCAGACAGTCTGGGTTTCACTCTCCAGGGAAGACAGAAGCCTCTGTGTGTGCAAGCGCTGACCTCATCGGCAACCGAGTCACCCCACCCCTCCTGGTCCTTTTAAGAAAAAAAAAAAAAATCTTCCTCTCAGGTCTTGGGGTTGGGAGTAGGGGCTCTGTTGGGTCTTCGGAGGAGACAGTGCATGTTTCTAAGGAGGACATCCGAGGAGCTGGGGTGGTGCAACTGGCTCTGAATGGGAGTGGGGGTAAGCTGGGGGGCTGTACCCCAACCCGGCTGGCCACGTGTGCCCCTTCCTGCCCCTCCCCCACTGGCAGCCCTGCCCGCCAGCCTGGCTTGGTGCCTGGCCCCCTGGCACTGGCCCCGGGACCCACCGCCGACGGTTTCCTGTTTCTCCCGGTGTCGCTGGAGCGGGCTCCAGCTTCCCCTCCCCCCCAGCTCCTGTCTAGCCCCTCACATGCAGACAGACAGACACGCACTGTCTTCTCTTAAATCAGATCTTGACTTGGCTGAGGTGAGACAGATTTCCCCATGTTGAAGGCAGGGCAGAGGTGGACCCTGGGATGGGACCCAGAGCCCTGGACTTGGCAGCCTGACCCCAGGCCACTCCCTGCCTCCCGTCCCCAGGGTTTGCCTTCCCGGATTGGGCCTACAAGCCAGAGTCGTCCCCTGGCTCAAGGCAGATCCAGCTGTGGCACTTTATCCTGGAGCTGCTGCGGAAGGAGGAGTACCAGGGCGTCATTGCCTGGCAGGGGGACTACGGGGAATTCGTCATCAAAGACCCTGATGAGGTGGCCCGGCTGTGGGGCGTTCGCAAGTGCAAGCCCCAGATGAATTACGACAAGCTGAGCCGGGCCCTGCGGTGAGGACGGGCTGGGGACCCCTGAGCACATGTGGAGTGCCCCCCCGGGGTTGCACAGCCCCTTGCCTGTGGGAACAAGCATTGGGTCTGACCCCTGGCTTTGCCAAATCCTAGCTGTGTGACCTTGGGCCACTCCCAGCCCTTCCCTGAGCCCCTTGGTAACACAGACGTATCCTGAGGAGAGATTACAGTCACCAGTGGATCCTCTAGTCCTGCCTTAGATGTGAGGAGAGAGCTGGTACCCACCCTCTGGGCACTTGATTTGTCTTTTGTGGCCTACGTTCCTCAGTTGGCCTTTGGGAACCACACCTAAGTGCGTGTTAAGGTGTGGAGTCTAGACCTGGGTCCCACGTACCTGACCTTCCCAATGGCATTTCTGTACCCACAGCTATTACTATAACAAGCGCATTCTGCACAAGACCAAGGGGAAACGGTTCACCTACAAGTTCAATTTCAACAAACTGGTGCTGGTCAATTACCCATTCATTGATGTGGGGTTGGCTGGTGAGTACCAGGGATGGTTGGTGTGGAGAGGGTCTACATGCCCCTTCAGGCTAGGCCAGGGGCCTTGACACTGTCTCCCTTCTGCCAGGGGGTGCAGTGCCCCAGAGTGCCCCGCCAGTGCCGTCGGGTGGTAGCCACTTCCGCTTCCCTCCCTCAACGCCCTCCGAGGTGCTGTCCCCCACCGAGGACCCCCGCTCACCACCAGCCTGCTCTTCATCTTCATCTTCCCTCTTCTCGGCTGTGGTGGCCCGCCGCCTGGGCCGAGGCTCAGTCAGTGACTGTAGTGATGGCACGTCAGAGCTGGAGGAACCGCTGGGAGAGGATCCCCGCGCCCGACCACCCGGCCCTCCGGATCTGGGTGCCTTCCGAGGGCCCCCGCTGGCCCGCCTGCCCCATGACCCTGGTGTCTTCCGAGTCTATCCCCGGCCTCGGGGTGGCCCTGAACCCCTCAGCCCCTTCCCTGTGTCGCCTCTGGCCGGTCCTGGATCCCTGCTGCCCCCTCAGCTCTCCCCGGCTCTGCCCATGACGCCCACCCACCTGGCCTACACTCCCTCGCCCACGCTGAGCCCGATGTACCCCAGTGGTGGCGGGGGGCCCAGCGGCTCAGGGGGAGGCTCCCACTTCTCCTTCAGCCCTGAGGACATGAAACGGTACCTGCAGGCCCACACCCAAAGCGTCTACAACTACCACCTCAGCCCCCGCGCCTTCCTGCACTACCCTGGGCTGGTGGTGCCCCAGCCCCAGCGCCCTGACAAGTGCCCGCTGCCGCCCATGGCACCCGAGACCCCACCGGTCCCCTCCTCGGCCTCGTCATCCTCTTCTTCTTCTTCCTCCCCATTCAAGTTTAAGCTCCAGCCGCCCCCACTCGGACGCCGGCAGCGGGCAGCTGGGGAGAAGGCCGTAGCCGGTGCTGACAAGAGCGGTGGCAGTGCAGGCGGGCTGGCTGAGGGGGCAGGGGCGCTAGCCCCACCGCCCCCGCCACCACAGATCAAGGTGGAGCCCATCTCGGAAGGCGAGTCGGAGGAGGTAGAGGTGACTGACATCAGTGATGAGGATGAGGAAGACGGGGAGGTGTTCAAGACGCCCCGTGCCCCACCTGCACCCCCTAAGCCTGAGCCCGGCGAGGCACCCGGGGCATCCCAGTGCATGCCCCTCAAGCTACGCTTTAAGCGGCGCTGGAGTGAAGACTGTCGCCTCGAAGGGGGTGGGGGCCCCGCTGGGGGCTTTGAGGATGAGGGTGAGGACAAGAAGGTGCGTGGGGAGGGGCCTGGGGAGGCTGGGGGGCCCCTCACCCCAAGGCGGGTGAGCTCTGACCTCCAGCATGCCACGGCCCAGCTCTCCCTGGAGCACCGAGACTCCTGAGGGCTGTGGGCAGGGGACCTGTGTGCCCCGCACCCCCCATGCTTCTTTTGCTGCCTTAAGCCCCCTATGCCCTGGAGGTGAGGGCAGCTCTCTTGTCTCTTCCCTGCCTCCTCCCTTTTCCCTCCCCACATTTTGTATAAAACTTTAATTTCTTTTTTTTAAAAATGGTGGGGGTGGGTGGGTGCCCAGGGCTAGGGGCTATTCCCTGTCTCTGTGGGTTTCTAAGCTCTGGGCAAAGTGGTGGTAGGGGGAGGGAGGGGGAAGTTAAGGGGGTCACCTCCATTCTGGGGAATTTATATTTGAATTGAGGCTTTGGCCTTAACACCCAGGAACTTTTCTATTACAATCGCTTAGGAAGTAAAGCCTTGTCTCCCTCCCTGTTCTCTGCCTCTTGTACCCCTCTGACCCACCCGCTCTGCCCCACTCCCAGCCCTCCTCAGCCCCAGCCCTGCCTGCCCTGCCCCTCCAGGGGGCCATGAGTGCCTAGGTTTCTCATACCCCACAAGGTCACAGCAGGGGAGGGAGGGACAATTTTATAATGAACCAAAAATTCCATGTGTTGGGGGGTGGGGGGCGGAGGAGGGTGAGGGGTGCCGCCCATGGGCCACAAATCTCTACAAGTGCCTGCTATCCCTCTCCCACTCCCCACCCCAGCACCGGTCCAACCCCTTCATCCCCAGCTGCTCCTAGGACTGGCCCATGGGCAGGCGGGTGGGGGGATGGGAAGGGGGTGCCCTGAAACCAAACTGGAAGCCCCCTCTGCCTCCCAGCTGGGGCCTCTGGGGTGGGGTGGGGGGCTGTGGTCAAGCCTTATTCTGTATTGGGGACTGAGGGTGGGGGGAGTAGAGGGGCCGCTGGAGAATGTATTCAAAACAATAAAACTTTGGACCTTTGGATGCAGTGATCAATGTCCTAGGTGCTCGGTGCAGCCCCCTGAGGGCCACAGCTTTTGCTTGATTCTGAAGGAGGGGCCCCACCCTGGCTGCTAGTGGGTCTGTGGCCAGATCAGTATAGAGGGCCTAACCCTAATCAGAATGGGCCAAATCCAGGCCTGGGAAACCGTCTCCTGACCTCAGAGGCACATGAGCCCCAGAGCTTGATGATAGTGGTCTCAGGCATGCGCCGGCTTCATCAGACTGCTCCTCTGTTCCATGGGGACCTTGTCCTTGAAAGCTCTTCCCACTGTTTTTCACCACAACCCCACTGCCCTTGCTCTTCTGATTGCCTGGATGCCTTCCCACTTGTGGCTAGGAATTCTTCCCACACCCCAGGTCCCCAGTGAAGACCAGGAGCTCCCTTTTGCACTGCCCCTCGCACCCTGCCCACACCCCTCTCTTGTTGCTCTGAGTTCAGCTGGGAGTCCTTTGGAGAACAGCCTGTGGTGTCTCTTGAAATGTAGACCTTGCAAGGTAACTTGGTGATCTTCAGGTCCAGGTATGGGAACACCCCCAGCCAGCACACAGCCAAGGGACTGGCTCACTAGTCATCGATGCTGTTGACCTACTGTGTGTCCAATACTTAAGAGCTGCAGTGTTGTAGCTCCTTCAGTATCCAGTAAGGTAGGGGCAACCAGTGCTGCTAAGTGACTTGCCCAGGGCCCTGTGGCTGAGCCAGGACTTCAAAGCCCACGTTCTTTCAACAACTCCTGACTTTTCCTTCCTAACACCAAGATAGTTGGATCCAGATCAGGCTTTCAGGATCAGAGGATTTGAGATGAGCTCATAGAGCTAGAAGCTGAGATTGGAGAGCTTGAATCAGGGATGAAAGAATTAGGAGGAATAATCCAGGCTGGAAGTACCCTTAGAGACAAGTTCTGTCTCCACCATGCAGGTGAGGTGCCTGAGGCCCAGAAAGGGGAAGGGGTTTCCCCAAGGCCACACAGCTGCTAAGAGATGGAGTGGCAATTGAGGGCTTGTTGGACTGGCTTCGCCATGAAACTCCACCCTGTGCAACCCTGAGGGGGAAGAAACGTTGACTGGCAACTGCTACCCACTCGCATCTCATTTCATGCCAGCCAGGGTGGGTGGTCCCAGATGATGTCGGTTGGCAGGGAAGAGAGGATCCAGGGCTAGGATACTGGCAGGAAACCGAGGCTCCCGAGGCGGCCTGCGGGAAACTGCTCCCTCTCCTGGGTGATGTAAGTCATTCCCTGGGGTGGGGGCCACTGGGCTATTTCTGGAAGCTGGGATGAGACATGTCTCCTGGCAACATAGTTGCAGCTGAGTTGGTGGTGGTGGTGGGGTGATGGAGAAGGGGATGTTGTCACTCGGGAGGAGAGGACCCTAACTACTGGCCTCAGCCCCTGAACCCAGTGCCTTCAAAGCACCTCTAACCACATCTAATATGGAATCATAAGTGCTCAGCTCAGCTCCCTAACTGCTGTCCAGGTCAGACCACAGCCCTACCAGACAAGTTGCCCCAGATTCTGGCTGTGTAGGATGTCACAGGTGGCATTTGGCCTTGAAAACTCCAGCGGCTACTCTAACCTTTAATCGCCCACCTAAATCTATTAGCTAGCTGGCTTGAAATGTTCCTGCAAGAAGACACCCTTGGTCCCATCCATATCCTCTGAGATCCTTGCTTCCAAGTAGAAAGCCCTTTACAGATGCTCTCAAGGCACTTCACATATTAATTAATCTCATCAGAGACCTCCCTGCTTTGTACGTGTAGCCCCAGTACCTCCACAGACTCTCAAAGCCCCTTCCCAATGCTTCTCAACCATCCCTCACCCCTTCAGGTCGCTCAGAGATCCCCTTGGTCACCAGTAATTTCTGTCTCCCATAGACCTTTTTTTTTTTTCTTTTTTTTCAAAACAGAGTCTCACTCTGTTGCCCAGGGTGGAGTGCAGTGGTGCAATCTCAGCCCACTGCAACCTCAGCCTCCCAGGTTCAAGAGATTCTTGTGCCTCAGCTTCCCGAGTAGCTGGGATTACAGGCGTGGGCCACCACGCCCGGCTAATTTTTTTGTGTGTTTTTAGTAGAGATGGGGTTTCCTCCATGTTGGCCAGGCGGGTCTCGAACTTCTGACTGACCTCAAGTGATCCACGGCCTTGACCTCACAAAGTGCTGGGATTGCAAGTGTAAGCCATCGCGTCCACCCACCCATAGAACTTTTAGCAGACAGCCTAAGTCCCCTCAGGCTTCTCCACTGGTCCCCAGTAATTATCCTGTCAACTAAGCTCATCAAAGACCCCTTCACCACTCCACGGACTCCTCTTAGCCCTTCTAGACACCCATAGGCCTCTCTCAGACGTTTACAACCCTTCCTAGCATCCCTCTATGAACATTCTCATCCTCTACAAACATCCTGATAGATTGCAGACCGTCACCTTCAAACTCCCACGGACCCCAATCCCCTCGTGGCGGTTGCCCACACGCAGCGGCGCATGCCCCACGGGTTCTGGCGGTTAAATAACCCTCGCTATCCTGCCCCATGTCGCCGCCCTTTTGAGCCGTCTTGGTCCCGCGTTGGAATCCCTAGGCCAAGGGGCTCGACTGAAATTTTTACTTTTTGACTCAGAGCTGCCATCAGAGGGCAGCAGGTACCATTTGGCTGGGAAACTGCAACTCCCAGAAACGCCCGCGCCTAGCCGCGCGTGGTGCGGCCACCTGCTTTGTGAAGGGAGCGGAAGTGTTCCGCACTTTGCCTTCTGGGTAATGTAGTCTCAACAGGCTTTGGCGCTACCGACCCCCGCAGTTGTGTCCGCGGGGAATTGCAGTCAGGAACAAACTGAGTGGACAGGACTTTCTTCTGGTTTCAGAAAGGACAGGACAGTTAGTATAAGCACAAGCTCGGATTAACGTGAAGTCCAGAGACTCCATTTCCCACCATTCCAGGATGCGGGAGGGGCTGAGAACGCTTTCATTCTACTTCTAAGTATTTCCGGGGGAGGAAGAGACACATACAGACACAGGAACTCTGTTTCCCAGCGCCTTTTGGGGGCTACTCTCCTTCGGGTATTAATCGATAAATAGGACGACTCACTGAGTACACAAAACCTGAGGCAGCTGGCTTCCTTATTTTTGGCTTTCCGGGATCTTGTAATTTAGGAAGCGGAGGATGCAAAACACAAGAGTGGGAGGCCCGGTGCCGTGGCTCAAGCCTGAAATACCAGCACGTTGGAGGCTGAGGTAGAATCGCTTGAGCCCAGGAATTGGAGACCAGCCTGGGCAACATGGCGAAGCCCACCCCGCTACCCCCCACCACCCCAAAAAACAAACCAAACCAAATTAGCTGGGCGTGATGGTGCACGCCTGTAGTCCCACCTACATGGGAGGCTTAGGTGGGGGGATTGCTTGAGCCTGGGAGTTAGAGGCTGCAGTGACCTGTGATTGCGCCACTGCCCGCCAGCCTGGGCGGCAGAGCGAGACCCTGTCTCAAAACAAACCAAAAACTGAAAACTGAATGGTGGTTCAAGACAGGATTTTTTTTTTTTTGAGACGGAGTCTCACTCTTTTCGCCCAGACTGGAGTGCAGTGGCGCGATCTCGGCTCACTGCAACCTATGCCTCCCGGGTTCAAGCGATTCTCCTGCTTCAGCCTCCTGAGTAGCTGGTATTACAGGCGCCCGCCACCACACCCGGCTAATTTTTGTACTTTTAGTAGAGACGGGGGTTTCGCTATGTTGGCCAGGCTGGTCTCGAACTCCTGACCTCGGATGATCCGCCAGCCTCGGCCTCCCAAAGTGCTAGGATTACAGGCGTGAGCTACTGGCGCCCAGCCTGAGCCACAGCGCCAGGCCCAGAAATGACATTTCCGTCTTTTTAATGCTCCATTCAGCTTCCTGGTGCGAACCACATTGCTAGGAAAAGCTAGACTGTATCCGAAGACTAGTTAGTGTTCTGAGAAACCGCCGGGAACTTTGTTTCCCGAATCTTTGCAGAGTTGCGGTTAGAGAGGGGACATTTTTTCTTTCCTGATCTATGGTCACCTGGAACTTAAAGGTGCTTGGATCCATTTTCCAGCAGTCCTTGATCGACCTCGGCTCTTTCTTAAAGAAGGACCTGGGGGCGAGGAAGGAGGCGCTGAAACACTTTTAAGTCTCTCCAGGGAACTGCCGCAGTCTCTAACCTTTCGTTCACACGCCCCTGATGGTGGCCATTGGACTTCGCTTCCCGGCAAGCCTCCGCAGACTGGCCTCACAGAGGGTCAGGTCTGGACTATTCCCCAGCATGCTTGGAGCTCATGGGCGATCCCGCCCCCTCAGTCAATGGGGAGGATACGTCGAACTCCATTTCCCAGAACACACCAGGGCTCGCTGTGGCAACTGCACTGAGGCCTTGGTGCTGACTACACTTCCCGGCAGGGACTGCGGCCCAGCGTACCTGGAAAGAGGAGCGCGTAAACCTACTCCATTTCCTCGCCCATCTCCGGAACTGCAGTATCCACCTGGGGCTTAAAAACCACCTGAGACTCCATTTCCCGGCGTGCTTTAAAAATCGCTTTACACCTGCAATGCGGTGAGGGCGTGGCGACGACTCCATTTCCCGGCTTGCCTCACGGCCCGAGACCCGCAGGTTCACGCGGGCCGACTCAATTTCCCAGAGCGCACCGAGCTCTGGGAGGCATACACAGCTAATAGACTGAGTGAGTGGACTCCGTTTCCCAGCGTGCATCAGGCTCTCTGCTTCCTAAAGTGCTTCAGGGCTCCCCGTCGTACAGTCGGCTGACAGATTACCCTGGACTCCATTTCCCGACGTACAGCGTGACCCGTCATTCCCGCCCATCATTCCCGCGGTCTACTCTGAGGCTTTTGTGGACTTCATTTCCCGGCGTGCCACGCGGCTCTCTGTGCGGGCCGAGGGCGGTGACGGCGGCGCGGACGACAGCCGGACTGCATCTCCCGGCGTGCCCCGCGGCGGGCGCTGGGCCGGAGCCGGAGCCCAAGCCAGAGCGGCGCGGCCTGGAAGAGGCCAGGGCCCGGGGGAGGCGGCGGCAGCGGCGGCGGCTGGGGCAGCCCGGGCAGCCCGAGCCCCGCAGCCTGGGCCTGTGCTCGGCGCCATGAGCGGCGGCGGGCCTTCGGGAGGCGGCCCTGGGGGCTCGGGCAGGGCGCGGACTAGCTCGTTCGCGGAGCCCGGCGGCGGAGGCGGAGGAGGCGGCGGCGGCCCCGGAGGCTCGGCCTCCGGCCCAGGCGGCACCGGCGGCGGAAAGGCATCTGTCGGGGCCATGGGTGGGGGCGTCGGGGCCTCGAGCTCCGGGGGTGGACCCGGCGGCAGCGGCGGAGGAGGCAGCGGAGGCCCCGGCGCAGGCACTAGCTTCCCGCCGCCCGGGGTGAAGCTGGGCCGTGAGTACTAGTGGCGCCCGTGTAGGGTGGTGATTAGGGTTCCCAAAGCTCCTCAGACATCCATCAGATTCTTTCATGTGCTTAGATAGGAGCTCGAGGTCACTGTGCCTCCCCATACCGGGGATCCGAGCCCTCTTCCTCCCAGGAAAAGGAGTCTTGGGGTTACCATCTCTTGGAGATCAGAATTACTCGTGGATCAGAATTACTAACACTTAAAGAAACGGGTTACAAGTCTCTGTTCTTCCATTATTGAGGTCTTGGGTCCTTGAGCCTTAAGAACAGGTATCTGATGTTGCTATTCATTATAATATTGGATCAGAGGTCACAGTCGCTTGCAAATGGGGATCTAGGGTTATTGTCTCCTAAGAGAACAAGAATAAGACCAACCCCGAAAAAGAGGGATCTGCATTCCCTGTCCTTCAGAAGATGGGGATTTGGAGCGAATATCACTTAGAAGCAGGGCTTTGAGGTTACTGTGTTTTGTCCCCAAAGAATAGGGCCAGGCTTTCCAAACCTGGTACTCAGATCATCTTCCCTATTAAAACCAAGACCTGGCATCATTACCCACCCTAAATCTTGTTGAGCTGTACTGCCAATGGTGAGAATTAATAGTTACTGCCTTTTAGATATAAAGACATTGGGAGTCAGCATATCCTTCAAACCAAGTCCATAGTCCATGTTTTAAAATACATGGCTTGGTGTGTCTCCTTTAACAAAAATGGAATGGAGCAGGGTAGGTCACAGTTTCCTACAGAATATGGATCTAAGGTTATACTTTTTTAATAATTGTTCTAAGGTATGGTGTCATTGGCTCTGAAAAAAAAAAGTGATGTAGGGTTATCTCCCTCTGAAAGAACTTGTCACTGGCCCCTCAAAATGGATTTGGTGGCCGGGCGCGGTGGCTCACGCCTGTAATCCCAGCACTTTGGGAGGCTGAGGTGGGCGGATCACCTGCGGTCAGGAGTTCGAGACCAGCCTGGCCAACTGGTGGAACCCTGTCTCTACTAAAAATATAAAAAATTAGCTGGGCGTGGTGGCGGGCGCCTGTAATCCCAGCTTCTCGGGAGGCTGAGGCAGGAGAATCGCTTGAACCCAGCAGGCGGAGGTTGCAGTGAGTCGAGATCGTGCCACTGCACTCCAGCTGGGCAACGAGAGCGAAACTGTGTCTCAAAAAAAAAAACAAAAAAATGGATTTGGTTCATCAGTTACTCAAAGGGGTCACTATCCTCTAAGAATGGCACCAAGGTTTGCCACCATTTGAATAATGGGAATTGGGAATTATAGCTTTCCTTCAAAGGACTGAGGCTGGAATAGCTCCTTGATAATAAAGGTCAGGTTCATCATTATCATAATTTGGTGCTTGTCCATTAGGGACCACCCACATATAGTGAGGGGTCTGGGTCTCTGGACCACTCAGATGAAGAGGTCAGGTCAGTGTTTTTTTCTAACCTCAAAGTACCAAAAAGTGAGGGTCAGGGCACTGGCACTTATAGCAGGAGAGGACATTCATTTCTGTCACCAAGAACCAGTAAAGTTACCAGCTCTACAGGGGAGGACTTAGAGGTCAGTATCCTCTAGGCTGTGAGAGAGGTTAGTGCTTTCCTAAAGTAGGAGTACCTCAGGGTTACTGCTCCCTGAAGTGGAAGAGGCTCGGTCAAGCTTTCTCCAAATAGGAGGGGCCAGAGGGCAGTAGATCCAGAGTAGATGGAGTCAACATCTGATGTCTCCCAGTACCAAGATGGACCAGTGATCTGTTGCTTCCTAGAAGTAGAAATTTGGGGTTGCCAACCCTTGAAGCAGAGAGATTTAGGTATCAATATCCTCCTATGTGGAGGGGAGCAGGACTTAAGATTCCCAGAAAGGAAGAGGGGAAAAGTCACTGGGAAGGTCCCAGCATCCACCTTTCCTCAAAGAGGAGGAGGGGACAAAGAGGTCCCCAACGAGCTTCCTGCAGAGATTTCCCTTCCTCCCACAGCCCCAGGATAGGGTGATGCGCAGGCAGGATGGGTCAGTGGATCGTGTATCCCCTTTGTTCCCCAGGTGACAGCGGGAAGGTGACCACAGTCGTAGCCACTCTAGGCCAAGGCCCAGAGCGCTCCCAAGAAGTGGCTTACACGGACATCAAAGTGATTGGCAATGGCTCATTTGGGGTCGTGTACCAGGCACGGCTGGCAGAGACCAGGGAACTAGTCGCCATCAAGAAGGTTCTCCAGGACAAGAGGTTCAAGGTAGCTTGGGCGGGATGGGGACAGGGAGGTTTGGGGACTGGGTGTGACTGGTGGGAGAACCTGAGCCAGAGAGCTGGAGGCTTGGGTTTCAGAGCCATGGGCCAGAAGAGAAGGGGGAAAAGAGGAAATGAGACCTGTGAAAGATGGGAAATGTGGATCCCAGGAGAGCCCAGAGCTTTTACTGGGCATTTGCTCAATGTAAGTGCTTAATAAGCAAATTCTTGTTTAATTTACATAAAGATTCTCTGAGGGTAGGTACTGTGGTTATACCCATTCTAAGTGTAAGCTAAGTTTAAAAGCAGGGAAACAAACTCAGGTAAGAGGATTGCCTGAGGTCATAGAGCAAGTGCCCCAGTCAAGGCTGGAATCTGATTCCCAAACCCTCTACCTTAACCATTTGGTTACACTTCTTCCCAGGAGAGAAAGGGACCTGGCAGGGCTAGCGCGGGTGGTTCTGAAGGTCGCGCTCTTCCCAGGTGTTTGGCCAGCGCAGAATGGAATGGAGGTGCCCTGTGAGCTAGGAGAGGCTCAGGGAACTAGAAGGAGATGGAGGAAGTGGAAGTTGAGGAATAATTGGTGTTTAAGGGCCTGGCATTTGGAGCTTAGACTAGTCTGGATGTAGGAGAACTGAGCCTAGACTGGAAAGGAACCAGACCAGGGCCTCGGTCTTGGCAGGGAGGGCCCTTGGGCAGGAGGAGCTCCAGGGTGTCAGAATTTGATTGGAGTTGAGTTCCAGAAGTAAGAGGGATGTAGGGGCAGGGAGTTCCTAGGCCTCACTGAGGAATAGAGAATGGGGAAGAATGCTGAGACCGCATTCTGGGAAAAGTCCAATGCCTGGAGTCTGGGACTCAGGATCCTAGATAGAGTTCGAGGACCCAGATGCTTCCACGGGACCAGAGTGAGCTGGATGGCCACTACCTGTCTGTTGTTGCTTGTGCCAGGTAGGGGGGCAAGCCTCATGTGCCCATGCCTGATTTTTTTTTTTTGAGATGGAGTCTTACTCTGTCACCCAGGCTGGAGTGCAGTGGCACGATCTTGGCCCGCTACAACCTCTGCCTCCCAGGTTCAAGCGATTCTTGTGCCTCAACCACCTGAGTAGCTGGGATTGCAGGCATGGGCCACTATGCCTGGCTAATTTTTTTTTTTTGTATTTTTAGTAGAGACAGGGTTTTGCCATGTTGGCCAGGCTGGTCTCGAACTCCTGACCTCAAGTAATCCGCCCCCACCTCGACCTCCCAAAGTGCTGGTATTACAGGCATGAGCCAGCATACCTAGCCCTGATTTTTCAAGACAAACTGAAAACTGGATTTAGATGTGAAATCTTTTTTTTTTTTTTTTTTTTTTTTTTGAGACGGAGTCTCATGCTGTCACCCAGGCTGGAGTGTGGTGGCGTGATCTCGGGTCACTGCAACCTCCGCCTGCCGGGTTCAAGCGATTCTTCTGCCTCAGCCTCCCTAGTAGCTGGGACTACAGGCGTGTGCCACCACTCTCGGCTAATTTTTTGTATTTCTAGTAGGGACGGGGTTTCACCGAGTTAGCCAGGATGGTCTCTATTTTTTTTTTTTTTTTTTTAAGACAGAATCTCGTTCTGTCACTAAGGCTGGAGTGCAGTGGTGTGATGTCGGCTCACTGCAACCTCTGCCTCCTGGGTTCAAGCGCTGCAACCTCTGCCTCCTGGGTTCAAGCAATTCTTGTACCTCATCCACCTGAGTAGTTGGAATCACAGGCGTGCGCCACCATGCCCAGCTAATTTTTTTGTATTTTTAGTAGAGATGGGGTTTTGCCACGTTGGCCAGGCTGGTCTCGAACTCCTGGCCTCAAGTGATTTCCCTGCCTTGGCCTCCCAAAGTGCTGGGATTACAGGGGTGAGCCACCATGCCCAGCTGTTTTTTATTTTATTTTTATTTTAAGGCTGGGTATGGTAGCTCATGCCTGTAATCCTTGAACTTGGAGAGCCCGAGGCAGGAGGATTGCCTGAGACTAGGAGTTCAAAACCAACCTGGCCAACATAGCCAGGTTCTTTTAAAAATAATAATAATAATAAATTTTATCTTATTTATTTATTTATTATTATTATTTTTTGAGACAGAGTCTGTCGCCCAGGCTGGAGTGCAGTGGCGCGATCTCAGCTCACTGCAAGCTCCGCCTCCTGGGTTCACGCCATTCTCCTGCCTCAGCCTCCCGAGTAGCTGGGACTACAGGTGCCTGCCACCATGCTTGGCTAATTTTTTTTGTATTTTTAGTAGAGACAGGGTTTCACCGTGTTAACCAGGATGGTCTCAATCTCCTGACTTCGTGATCCACCCACCTCAGCCTCCCAAAGTGCTGGGATTACAGGCGTGAGCCACCACGCCTGGCCCTGGCCTATCCTTTTTAAAACTTTATTTTGGAGAAAAAAATCAGAAGGTGCCATTTGGCTTTTACATGTCAGCAATAAGTTGAAAAAAAATTTTTTTTTAAGTGGGGTGGCTGGGCGCGGTGCCTCACGCCTGTAATCCCAGCACTTTGGGAGGCTGAGGCCTGTGGATCATGAGGTCAGGGAGGCTGAGGCAGGTGGATCACAAGGTCAGGAGATCGAGACCATCCTGGCTAACGTGGTGAAACCCCATCTCTACTAAAAATACAAAAATTAGCTGGGCGTGGTGGTGCATGCCTGTAATCCCAGCTACTTGGAAGGCTGAGGCAGGAGAATTGCTTGACCCAGGGAGGCAGAGGTTGCAGTGAGCCGATATTGAGCCACTGCATGCCAGCCTGGCAACAGAGCAAGACTCTGTCTCAAAAAAAAAAAAAAATGGGGTGAAGAAAACACATCTGTGGCCTGGGTTTAACCTGTGGGCTTCCAGCTCCTGTGGGAGGGGAATAGTCTGGAGACAAGGAATTGGGGGATACTCCAGGGGACCTTGGAGCTGGGACACAGGGAGTAGCTGCCTGGCTGTTGTTGGGAGTGAGTGTGAGTAGGGAGGAGCAGCCGAGAGAGTTGGTTGTATTCTGAGACTCTCCCTTTGCCCTCAAGAACCGAGAGCTGCAGATCATGCGTAAGCTGGACCACTGCAATATTGTGAGGCTGAGATACTTTTTCTACTCCAGTGGCGAGAAGGTGAGATCTCGAGGTGGTGGTGGTGGGTTGCTCCAGCCATTTTCCTGCCTGCCTGCCTTTCCCCCACTGCTCCCTGCATACCTTCCTTCCCCCTCCTCACTCTTCTCACAGTGCCTCACACCTCTCCTTTGCTCCCTGCAGAAAGACGAGCTTTACCTAAATCTGGTGCTGGAATATGTGCCCGAGACAGTGTACCGGGTGGCCCGCCACTTCACCAAGGCCAAGTTGACCATCCCTATCCTCTATGTCAAGGTAGGCCAGCAGGTGGGCTGCTGGGACCCAGGCCCACAAAGCCAGGGGCTCTGGAGCCTCCTGCCTTTTATGGGATCCCTCATCCGCCAAGTTTATGTTGGTTTTTGGAGGCCCCATGTCCCCTGCTGTTGTTCCCATAACCCCCCGAGATGGAGCTCGCCTAACACAGGGGAGGGCCAAGGCAGGCAAGGCCTGACTGAATCAGGAAGGCAGCCTGACACCTGGGGTTGCAGAAGCTGCCAGGTAGTTGCTCAGGTCCATACAGGGAGTCCAGTGGCACCAGAGATGTTGGAGTTAGCTCAGGATAAGGGGGTGGTGGGGACCAGGACTGCACAGAGACAGCTGCTGAGGCCAGAGTTCGGGCCTTTAGAGCCTTGGCTGGGGGTAGGTGGGAAGGAGTTAGGGCTGGAGGAAGGTTAGCATCCACAGAGCCAGGAATGCATCTCCGTCCATCATCTGTGCAGGCTCATTCCCCAGTGCCTGGCATCGTGCCCTGGGTGTTACAGACCTTCAGGAGGTGTTTGAATGAATGAATGAATGATTGCAGCCCAGGGATGATGTGGCGAACAGGCTGGAGCAGCCTACTGCATTGGAAGGAGGTGGGTGGGTTTGTTTGCTGAAGGTCACTTGGGGCCCAGCTGCTGCTCCTGCTGGCTTTACGTACCAAGCACGGGTGAGCCGACGTGGGCTCTACCAGTGGTTGTGGCTGTTGGACCTCACTTCCCAGGAGGGGAGCTCTCTGGTTTGGCGAATCTGTCCTGTGGCTGCCTGCATACGGGTCCCAGGGCTGAGGAATTCCAGAGGCACCACTGACTGCGACCCAGGCCTTGGCCTTGAAGAGCTCTCAGTTTGGTAGGGTAGAAAGGCGTCATCACAGAAAACTATTAAATGAACTAGCTGCTGCCATACCAGAAGGAGCACAGGGAATTCTGGAAATGGAGGAAGCACCCAGCCTGGTTTGTGGGTGAGAAGGATCAAGGAAGGCTTCCTGGAGGAGACCAAGCACAGGGCAAGGAAGTGGCATCTTTGGCCGAGGGGAACTGGAATAAAAGGAAGGGGGCCTAGGAAGCAGCCATGTCAGGACCTGGTCTGTCTAGGCCCTGGGGGATGCAGCAGTAACTGAAACTCAAAATCCTGCTCTCACGGTACTTCTGTTCTAGTCAGTGGGAGGGAGAGTGGCAGGAAAATGGAGCTGGAGAGGGGGCAGGCTCAGGGGTGGTTTTGATTGTCGGATTAAGGAGCCAGTGGTTTTGGTGAGGGGGAAGCTGAGTGCCTGGCTCCCTAGCCTGTTTTATGACAACCTCCCGATGTACCTTACTCATCAGGCTTCTGCCAAGGGTTGTGATTAAAGCAGTGGTTCTCAGAGTGTGGTCCGGGGACCAGCATCAGTGCTGGAGAGCTTGTTGCAAATGCCTCATTCAGAACTCACTGATCAGAAACTCTAAGAGTGGGGCCCAGCAGTCCCTTTTTTTTTGTTTTTTTTGAGACAGGGTCTCTGTCACCCACGCTGGAGTGCAGTGGTGCGATCTCGGCTCACTGCAACCTCCGCCTCCTGAGTTCAAGTGATTCTTCTGCCTCAGCCTCCCGAGTAGCTGGGATTACAGGTGTGCACCACCACGCCCGGCTAATTTTTGTATTTTTAGTAGAGACGGGATCTCAACATGTTGGCGAGGCTGGTCTTGGCCTCCCAAAATACCGGGATTACAGGCGTGACCCGCCACGCCCAGCCAGTAGTCCCTGTTTTAACAAGTCCTTCAAGTGATTGTGGTGCACATTAAGAGAACCAAGGTTTCAAATGGGTTTCCCCAAAGCTGTGGGGGCAGCAGGGAGAGTGGGCCTGGAAGGGCTCTTCAGGCCAAGCTGGTGGGGTAGTGGTGCTGTATGGGGAAAGCTGGGCTAAAGTTCTGCTATCCTGTGCCCGCCGCAGGTGTACATGTACCAGCTCTTCCGCAGCTTGGCCTACATCCACTCCCAGGGCGTGTGTCACCGCGACATCAAGCCCCAGAACCTGCTGGTGGACCCTGACACTGCTGTCCTCAAGCTCTGCGATTTTGGCAGGTGGGCCTGGGGCATGTTGGGTGGCTGAAGAGGCAGGGGGGACCCCAACCCTTGCCTCACGTGTACCCCTGCCCATCTCTTCCCACAGTGCAAAGCAGTTGGTCCGAGGGGAGCCCAATGTCTCCTACATCTGTTCTCGCTACTACCGGGCCCCAGAGCTCATCTTTGGAGCCACTGATTACACCTCATCCATCGGTCAGAGTTATGGGAGGGTGGCGGGGGGAGTGGCAATCTGGGAAGTTTTGGAGTTTTCTGTGTGCTGTATGCCAAGCTTGGTGATGAAAGCTTAACTTCTGTTCTTGTATCCAGTCCTCACAAACTTAGGAGGCTGATGCTGTTGAATGCTAATTTTACAGATGAGCTTAGAGCTGTGAGGCCGCCTGCCCGCACTGGCACCACTAGGACTGGGCAGGACTGGGATTTGAAAGCTGACCTGACTCCAGAGTCCATACCAGCTCTGGAACCTCCCTGTCAGCCCTCTGTTCTCAGCTAGGGGGAAGGGCTGCTGGAGACCTTGGGGGAACCGGGAAGCAAGGCTTTGCCACCATGAAGGTGCAACTTGCTCCCAGGGCCTCTGTGTCCTTCCCTGTTTGTGGGGACAACTGCCATTTTCCAGGCATGAGGGGAAGTCTGAATTGAGGGAATGGGCATGAGAGTTTGAAAGGGCACCTTCCACAGCAGCATGACGAACTGTGGAGTCCTTAGGTATGAACTCGTGCTGTGGGGGTCAAGGTACAAAGCAGGGAGGGGTGAGACTGCCACGCTGCAGCTCTTCTCATGGGCAGGAGAGAGGCTGGAACAAGAGGAAGGCAGTCCAGGATTTAAGGCTGTACCTTCCTGTGGCCCAAAGAACATGGGTGCCTGTTGGCAGGTTTGGGCCTAATTTGGTCTGTCGTCCAAGGCTAGCGGGAGAGAAGGAGCTCATTGGGGTCCTTAGCAGAGAGAGGAACTGAGGGCTGGAAACACACCTAGACTAGAGAGTACAGCAAAGGCAGGGTCAAGGTCGGGCCCATGTTTCTAAGCTGCATGTGACCTTGGGCCAGGTGCTTTGTCTTTGAGAAAACGGGGCTCCTGACACTCTTAGGATGGCCATGAGGAATAAAAGCATTGGGAGGTTGGTGGCCCTACTCGCCTAGCCCTGACGCTCCCTCCATTTCCCCTCAGATGTTTGGTCAGCTGGCTGTGTACTGGCAGAGCTCCTCTTGGGCCAGCCCATCTTCCCTGGGGACAGTGGGGTGGACCAGCTGGTGGAGATCATCAAGGTGAGGGGCGGGGCTGGGCTGGGCAGGGGGTGGGGCTGAGGGATGGGGCCCTTGTCTCAGACCCCTCCCTCTCTTTACAGGTGCTGGGAACACCAACCCGGGAACAAATCCGAGAGATGAACCCCAACTACACGGAGTTCAAGTTCCCTCAGATTAAAGCTCACCCCTGGACAAAGGTGGGGCAGGGCTAGGGGCTCAGGGCAGTATGGCTGAGAGCTGGTCCCCCTTGGAGGTCAACTGTTCTGTGGACCTAGCCTCAGAATCACGGCTTGGGAGGATTTGAAGAGTTATCCAGGGATCAATAACATCCATCCGCTTTCAAAGTTTATGGCATTTTAAAAGTTGAGAACCCACAAGTAAATTCAAGATTCCAATTTTTATGGAGGGTCAGCAGGGCTCATATAGTCCCAGACCTGGGCTGCCTGCTTACCCGATACAAACTGACCTCTCCTTAGTGGTTGGGCCTTAGTTTCTTCATTTGGAAGGTGGGGGTGTGGGAAGCAACCAGTCATAACTTGCCGCAGGCACTGTGGCAGTGAGATAACAGGAGTATGCCAGTGTCCAGGGCATCTCACCCTCATGAGCCCTGCACCCATCCCTCAGGTGTTCAAATCTCGAACGCCGCCAGAGGCCATCGCGCTCTGCTCTAGCCTGCTGGAGTACACCCCATCCTCAAGGCTCTCCCCACTAGAGGCCTGTGCGCACAGCTTCTTTGATGAACTGCGATGTCTGGGAACCCAGCTGCCTAACAACCGCCCACTTCCCCCTCTCTTCAACTTCAGTGCTGGTGGTGAGGGCATAGCCTGGGATCTGGGGAGTGGGGCGGGGTAGGGGGGCAGCCAAAGATTGTGAGGAGCTTGGTGTTGAAGCAGGAGTGGGGAGCTAAGGGCAGGGTACAAGGCAGGCCTGGGGCTCAGGAAAGATGACTCCCAGATTCAGGGGGAATCGAACCTGCTTCAGTTGTGCTTTACTGTGATCTGCCTTGTGCTAAGCTTTTTCTGGTTTTTCATTGAGAGAGGTCTGTGGCTGAAGGTGTCCACAAACAACTGGCCTTCCCAATAGCTGGGTTCCCATTTGGTGCCCATCATAACCCTGCTGTAGTCTACCCTGACTAGCATGTCAATTCCTGTTTCTAGAACTCTCCATCCAACCGTCTCTCAACGCCATTCTCATCCCTCCTCACTTGAGGTCCCCAGCGGGCACTACCACCCTCACCCCGTCCTCACAAGGTAAGTGGGGACCATCTGCTGGGGGTTAAAGTATCTCTCAGCCTGGAGAGGGTGGGGCTGTTCGCTCAGTGACTGGGTTTCCTGAATGTATTTTTAAATCATCGACATTTTGATGGCATAGGAAACACATCTTACAACATGTGAATGACCACCTTTAGAGGGTATTCTTGCGTACAAATGTTTAAATGTGTTTAATGCCAATGGGAAAGCCAGAGAAATAACGTCTGGCCTGAACACAAACAAAAAGTTGAATTCGTTGCCCAAGTTTGTTTTTTTTTTTTTTGTGCAATAGAGTTTCACTCGCCACCCAGGCTGCAGTGCAGTGGCTCGATCTCGGCTCACTGCAATCTCCGCCTCCTGGGCTCAGGCAATTCTCCTGCCTCAGCCTCCGAGTAGCTGGGATTACAGACACACACCACTACGCCTGGCTAATTTTTGTATTTTTACTAGAGATGAGGTTTCACCATGTTGGCCAGACTGGTCTTGAACTTCAGGTGATTTTCCCGCTTGGCCTCCTAAAGTGTTGGGATTACAGGCGTGAACCGCTGTGCCTGGCCATGGTGTCCACGTTTAAAAATGGGGCTATTTTATGTAAAAATTCAGATTTCCTGTTTCTCTTGGGGAAGAAAATCAGATTGGGCAGCAATGGGCCCGCCCATCCTACTGACAGTAGACAGTGGGCGCCCTTTATATTTTTTAGACGGAGTCTTTTTCTGTCACCCAGGCTGGAGTGCAGTGGCACAATCCCGGCTCACTCCAACTTCTGCCTCCTGGGTTCAAGTGATTCTCCTGCCTCAGCCTCCTAAGTACCTGGGATTACACGCTCATACCACCATGCCTGGCTTATTTTTGTATTTTGAGTAGACATGGAGTTTCACCATGTTGGCCAGGCTGGTCTCGAACTGCTGACCTTGTGATCTGCCCACCTCAGCCTCCCAAAGTGCTGGGATTACAGGCGTGAGCCACTGTGCCCAGCCCAGCCACCGCCTTATATGGAGCCTGGCACTCTGGTGTGTCACTCAGTTACTATCGTGGCCCTTTAGCACTTGAGTTTGCAACCCTTCACCTAAAGTAACAGCTTGTAACTTTTAATGTAGCATCTATGACAAGAGAATTCCTACTTTTGGGTTGGGCGAAGGGGTGTCTGAAAGGCAAAGGCTAACTCTGCTCCTTCCCTGCCTCCCTCCAGCTTTAACTGAGACTCCGACCAGCTCAGACTGGCAGTCGACCGATGCCACACCTACCCTCACTAACTCCTCCTGAGGGCCCCACCAAGCACCCTTCCACTTCCATCTGGGAGCCCCAAGAGGGGCTGGGAAGGGGGGCCATAGCCCATCAAGCTCCTGCCCTGGCTGGGCCCCTAGACTAGAGGGCAGAGGTAAATGAGTCCCTGTCCCCACCTCCAGTCCCTCCCTCACCAGCCTCACCCCTGTGGTGGGCTTTTTAAGAGGATTTTAACTGGTTGTGGGGAGGGAAGAGAAGGACAGGGTGTTGGGGGGATGAGGACCTCCTACCCCCTTGGCCCCCTCCCCTCCCCCAGACCTCCACCTCCTCCAGACCCCCTCCCCTCCTGTGTCCCTTGTAAATAGAACCAGCCCAGCCCGTCTCCTCTTCCCTTCCCTGGCCCCCGGGTGTAAATAGATTGTTATAATTTTTTTCTTAAAGAAAACGTCGATTCGCACCGTCCAACCTGGCCCCGCCCCTCCTACAGCTGTAACTCCCCTCCTGTCCTCTGCCCCCAAGGTCTACTCCCTCCTCACCCCACCCTGGAGGGCCAGGGGAGTGGAGAGAGCTCCTGATGTCTTAGTTTCCACAGTAAGGTTTGCCTGTGTACAGACCTCCGTTCAATAAATTATTGGCATGAAAACCTGCTTTCTGTCCGGCTGCCTGTTTCCGCTGAGGTGGTGGGGGCTTCCGGTGGGGGGACTGTTCTGGGACGGGAGTGAGCTGCATCTCAGGCAGAGGGCTGTCCGAAGGCCCTGGCTCAGGTGCCCAACCTTCTCACACCGTGGCTTTCTCTGCACGTGTGGTGATGAGCTCCATCTGGGTTATCTGCTGTAGAGGCCTAGGAGGAGCCTGCTCCATGACCCAGCATAAATCATCTGCTTCTGCTTAGGGAGGGAGGGATTAACCTCCCAGTAACTGGTGAGCCAACTGGGGATCAGAGAGGGGAAGGCCATGGAGCTTAAGTGACAGAAGAGTCAGGACTTGAACAATGGGCCGTCTGTCTTAGCCCAAGCTGCCTGCTGCTCTAGGGTCTGGGGGGACATGAGATGATGAGGAGTCACTCAGGCCAAAACTTAGCCTGCTTGTAGACTCTTTGTTGGGTGGCCATGGCTGGAGATGGAACCCTAGAAGATTCCAAGCCTTCATTTCCAAGTCTTAAACAGGACACCTACCTGGTCCACCTCTTAGGGATGTTGGGAAGTGACAACCCTGTGAAGGTGGGGACAGAGAACTTGACTTTTATCCTCACTTAAAACATGCTGGGGCCAGATAGTGGGGCATGGGCGGAAGGAAATGTTATCTCCTCCACATGGCACCGAGCAGTGAGTGTGGCCAGGACACCCCAGAGGTGGAAGGGGGCCTGGGGAGGAGCAATGGGTATGCCCCCTACTGGATTCCACCGGTGAACAAAAAGGGAGGAGTTTCAAATGTCCCAGATGGAGTGAAGGGACTGTTCCTGTGGGGTCTGGGCTCTCCAGTTTGCTCAACCCACTCCAGGGGCATCTTTACACTGCCTGGGATAGGACAGACCCTGCCCCTTCCTTGCTCAACACCACCCAGATTTCGCCTGGTTTGTAGTATCAATGAATGAACATACAGAGCAAGCTGATGGATAAGGGGGAGGATGGCTGTTCTGGGCGAGGGGCAGACCTTGGGATCCTGGGGACGCCTTCCTCCCTGCTACTCACACGTGGTCAGCCGTGAAGTCAGTGAGGTGTCCCTCACCCTTCTACCACCCCATGACCCCTTCCCAGGTCCAGCCCTGTCTTCTGCTGGACCATCTTTAGCTTCCCACTCACCCCACTTTGAGCCCAGATCTAACACCAGTTACGACCCTCCCCCAACCTGGAACTACTCAGCCAGCTTTCAAGGCCTTCCAAAGTCTAGGCCTCCCTCCTGGACAATTCCATCCCCAACTGCATTCTGCCTGCCCTGCCTGAGCACCCTGGGCTGCAGGGGCCTGGGAGGAGCCTATCAGGAATCACCTGCATGTGCTTAGGGAGATAAAGACTATTATGGCCAGGCTCAGTGGCACACACGTGTAATCCTAGCACTTAGGGAGGCCAAGGCGGGCAGATCACCTGAGGTCAGGAGATTGAGACCAGCCTGGTCAACGTGGCAAAACCCTGTCTCTACTAAAATACAAAAATTAGCTGGGTGCAGTGGTGGGGGCCTGTAATCCCAGCTATTAGGGAGACTGAGGCAGGAGAATCGCTTGAGCCTGGAAGGTGGAGGTTGCAGTGAGCTGAGACTGCACCACTGTGCTCCAGCCTGGGCAACAGAGCAAGACTCCATCTCAATCAATCAATCAATCAATGGAGAGAAAGACTATTATCCTAGGTAACCTCTGAAAAAGGTGGGAATCTTCCTGCTCTCAAGACCTTTGATGTTTCGAAGCCCCTTCAAATCCCAATAGCTCTGACACTGGTTTACTTTTCCTCTAGTTAGAATGAATCTTCCTCTGATCCCCTACCCCTGCACAAGTTTCAGGTCTTAATCACTCAGAATAGTATGGGTTACAAATGTGGGCCGCAGGGGCCTCCCGTACTCAAATCTCACATCTCTGCCTAGCTGTGAAACCTTGGGCAAATCTCTGTCCTTAGTTTTTTTTTCCTTTTTTTTTTTTTTAAGTGACAGGGTCTTGCACTGTTGCCCAGACTGGAGTGCAGTGGTGTGAACACAGCTCACTGCAGCCTCAATCTCCCTCATATCAAGCAATCCTGCCTCCGCCTCAGCCTCCAGAGTAGCTGGGAATACTGGTGTGCACCACCATGCTCGGCCAATCATTTTTATTTTTAATAGAGACAAAGTCTCTCTCTCTTGCCCAGGTCTTGAATTCTTGAGCTCGAGTGATCCTCCTGCCTCAGCCTCCCAAAGCACTCGGATTACAGGCATGTGCCACCAGGCCTGGCTAACTTTTAAGTTTTGTAGAGATGAGGTCTTGCTGTTGCCCAGGCTGGTCTCGAACTCCTGGCCTTAAGTGATCCTCCTGCCTCAGTCTCCCAAAGCACTGGGATTGCAAGCGTGAGCCACCGCACCTGGCCAGTTTATTTTTATTTTTATTTTCTTTTGAGAGGGAGTCTCACTCTGTCGCCCAGGCTGGAGTGCAGTGGCGCGATCTCGGCTCACTGCAAGCTCCGCCTCCCGGGTTCACGCCATTCTCCTGCCTCAGCCTCCTGAGTAGCTGGCCACCACAGGCGCCCGCCACCACTCCTGGCTAATTTTTTGTATTTTTAGTAGAGACGGGGTTTCACCGTGTTAGCCAGGATGGTCTCGATCTCCTGACCTCGTGATCTGCCCGCCTCGGCCTCCCAAAGTGCTGGGATTACAGGCGTGAGCCACCACGCCCAGCCACCAGTTTTAAAAATCTATACAACAGGGATAATATGAAATCTATGTCACAAGCCTGTTGGGATCATAGTACACATACAGTGGTAAGTGTGGTGCTTGCCTCAGGTAGGCAGTCAGATGAATAACTGGATGGTCTCCAAATACACCAAGAGCTCACCCTCTTGCAGTGCTGTCTGCCTGGAATGTTCTTTTCCTCTTTCACTGCCAGATTCCTACTTTTCCTTCAGGGACTACCTTCTCTAGGAAGTCCTTAACTCCTGATCTCCCACCATGGAGGTCTGTTTCCTGGGATCCCACTGTCCCTGCACATCCCCATCACAGCCCAGAGAAGCCTTAGGCCTGACTCATCTCTGCCCCCAGCATCACCCAGTATGGGAGAAGGGAGGCTTTAGGACACACAGGCTGAATGAATCAATGAGACACACTCAGAGAGCAAGCTATCTGTACTTGTGCGTTTCTCCTACCAGATTGTGCATGCCTCCTGTGGGCAGAGCCTGTGCTGACTTGCTCCTGGGTCTCCAGCATCACCCAGTCTGGAGCTGAGGACCTGGGTACCTACAGATTTCCTTCCACACTGTCAGAATTGAGATGAAGGAAGCCCAGAGAAATCAAGTACCCTCCACCAGGCAGAGCAAAGTCCTGGGTGCCCAAAATCCAGGGAAGGCAAGGGCTGGGGGTACAAGCAGAGGATCTGAAGAGGTATATGAGAGTGGCCAGCACAGACCTGGCATAAGCTTGGTGCTCAGTGAAGGTTACCTGATGTTGCTGGGCACCAGGGTGATGCAGTGCAAAGGGCCTTGGCCAACCCACTTTGCAGCATAGCTGGGTGACCTGGTACAGATCACATCGCATTTCAGAGCTTCAGTTTCCCCTCAGGCAGAGAAAGATGACAAGAGAAGCCTGGAAGGGTTGTTCTGGGGAGTCAGTGGGTAAAAAGAGGCCAGGGTGGATCCTGGCACATGGTGGGTACCAGACCAGTTTGTCAGAGGAGGTCCTCTCTCCCCAGAGGTACCCACACTGGCTGTTGCAACCAAACCCTTTTGTTGTTGCTTTTCAGCTGCGTCACACGAAGGCCGTGTCCAACTGCAAGAGCCCGCCTGCTTCACTGGCCCCCAGTGCAGCCTGGCACAGCTGCAGGGTGTCCTCAAGCGCCAGTGGCTGGGATGTCTCAATGATGGCGATGGTCTCCCCCAGCTCTGTGCACATGATAGTCTGTTGAGGCTCTGGAGGTGGGGGTGGGGCAGGAGATGGTGATCTGGGAGGCTGTAGCGTCAAAGTCCGAGCTCGGGCATGGACCCGCTGATGCAGTCGCAAGCCCGCCATGGCGCGGAACCAGCGGCCACAAGTCCCGCAGTAGTAGGGACTCTTGTTGTAGAGACCAGTGATGGGGAGGCGGGGGGCGCGGGCAAAGGCGACTGGCCGCAAGTGCAACCGCCGGTGCTGCTGCAGGTTGGAGCTCTGTGTGAAGCGCTTGCCACAGTCCAGGCATTGGTAGGGACGTGCACCCGTATGGGTCAGCTGGTGGCGGCTGAGGTTGGCCAAAGAAGCAAAGGTCTTGCCACATGAGTGGCACTGGAAGGGCCTCTCACCCGTGTGTGTCCGCAGGTGGTTGCGCACGTGGATCAGCTTCTTGAAGCCCTTGCCACAAACCCCACAGCGGTGACGCCGTTCAGGGGGCCCGTGTACTGCACGCCGGTGCCGGGACAGCCGGGAAGCTGAGGCAAAGGACTTGGAGCACTGTGGGCAGGGCAGCTGGGCAGGTGGGGCAGGGGGTGGTGGTGGAGGGGTGGGCTCCGCTGGAGCTGGGGGAGCTGTTGCTCCTGTGGGAGGTGCCCCGCTTTTGCCGGCGTGAGTGCGCCGGTGGTAGAGGAACTTGGTCATGTTGCTGAACGTCTTGCCGCAACGACAGCGATGCAATGGGTTGGCAGTGTGGGCCCGCCGGTGAGCCACCAACGTGAGTTCTGTGCCAAAGCCGCGGCCACAGTCTACACAGAGGTAGCGGGCTTCCCCGCGATGCAGCCGCAAGTGCTGCTCAAGCGATGCTGCTTTCTTGAAGACCTTGGAGCAGGTTGTACACTCATGTGTGCCACCAACATGGGCCCGCCCATGAGCCTGCAGCCGGTTGGCGGAGCTGAAACTGCGCTGACACTGGCTGCAGTGGAAGGGGTGGGTGGCAGATGCCGGGCTGTGAGCCGTCCGCCGGTGTTGCCGGCGAGCCCCTGCTGAGGGCTGGTGCTGGGGACAGTCCCCGCAGCCCTGAGCCCAGCCAGCTGTGGACTCGTCACCTCCCACAGCATCATCACCGACCTCTGCCATGGCCTCCTCATCCTCCATCTCTTCATCATCTTCTTCATCCTCCTCATCGTCCTCTTCCTCCTCCTCCAACCCATTGCGCTCCTCTTTCTCTAGGGAGTCAAAGTGGGTGCCCTGATGCTCCAAGAACTCCTCAGGGGTGGCGCAGAGGGTAGAGCACTCAGGACACTCATAGGGCTCCATCTTGACTTCGGATGGGGGAGAAGGTGGAGGCAGTGGTGTTGGGGGAGGCAAAGGAGGTGGCACTGGTGGCTCAGCTACCGTAGCAGAAAGGTGCTGGGCCTTTCGATGAGCCACCCACAGCTCGGGCGAGGGGAACAGCTCCTGGCAGTCCCAGCACTGGTATTGGATCTGGTTTGCAGACTCTCGGAGGTGGGCATCCTGGTGGGCCAGGAGCTCCCCAGGGGAGAGGATGAGCTGGCTGCATTCACCACACTGGAAGGGCCCCTCAGCACCCGGCACCAGCTCCGGCTCCAGGCCAACATTCTGTGTGGTCAGTGCCTCCTCCTCTGAGACAGCAAGCATGTGCTGCTCCTGGTGTGAGAGGACTTCCTCCAGTGTGTTATAGAGGCTGCCACACTCAGAGCACATGAACTGGTGATGCTGGAAGAAGAGGGATGAGGCAAGGGCCTCCCCAGGTGTCATCTCAGTCACTTCTGTTGACATCTCCATCATCTCTGCCGACATAGGTGTTGACATCTCCACTGCCCCTGGTGACATCTGTGTTGGCATCTCGGCCACCTCAGCCACCACCTCTGCCATTGTGGGGAAGGCAGTGCCTGGAGAAAGAGGGGCAGGAGCCAGTGAGACAGCAGGAAACCAAGGGGAGGTGGAATTCTCTTGCACATCCCACTACTCACCAGCTATCGCTCAGGAAGTCTTAATCCACTGTTTCTGCTTCAGTCTTCCGTGATCCCATGTCTCTGAAGCCTACACACACCCCACGGCAGCCTGCAGGAGAGAAACACCACTCAGCCCAGCCTCTTTTTTTTTTTTTTTTTTCTTCTGAGACAGAGACTTGGTCTGTCACCCAAGCTGGAGTGCAGTGGCACAATCTTGGCTCACTGCAACCTCTCGCTCCTGGGTTCAAGCTATTCTCGTGCCTCAGCCTCCTGAGTGGCCGGGACTACAGGGGTGTGCCACCATGCCTGGCTAATTTTTGTATATATATATATATATATATATATATATTTTAGTAGAGACAAGGTTTCACCATGTTGGCCAGGCTGGTCTTGAACTCCTGACCTCAGGTGATCCACCCGCCTTGGCCTCCCAAAGTGCTGGGATTACAGATGTGAGCCACCACCCCGGCCAACAGCCCGGCCTCTTTTTTTTTTTTTTTTTTTTTTTGAGATGGACTCTTGCTCTGTTGCCAGGCTAGAGTACAGTGGCGCAATCTCGGCTCACTACAACCTCCACCTCCTAGGTTCAAGTGATTCTCCTGTCTCAGCCTCCCGAGTAGCTGGGACTACAAGTGTGCGCCACCATGCCCAGCTAATTTTTGTATTTTTTTGTTGTTATTGTTGAGATGGAGGCTCGCTCTGTCGCCCAGGCTGGAGTGCAGTGGTGCAATCTCTGCTCACTGCAAGCTCTGCCTCCCAGGTTCAGGCCATTCTCCTGGCTCAGCCTCCCGAGTAGCTGGGACTACAGGCGCCTGCAACCACGCCCGGCTAATTTTTTGTATTTTTAGTAGAGACAGGGTTTCACCGTGTTAGCCAGGACAATCTCAATCTCCTGACCTCGTGATCTGCCCGCCTGGGCGTCCCAAAGTGCTGGGATTACAGGCATGAGCCACCACGCCCGGCCAATTTTTGTATTTTTAGTAGAGATGGGGTTTCACCATGTTGGCCAAGATGGTCTCGATCTCTTGCCCTCGTGATCCGCCTGCCTCGGCCTCCCAAAGTGCTGGGATTACAGGTGTGAGCCACCACACCCGGCCCAGCCAGCCTGGCCTCTTTACCGAGAGGGCCAGGCACACCTTTTCTGAGAATACCATAGCCTTTGCCTGCGTGCAGCTTTCTCTTTGTGCAATGCTTTTCCTCTGCCTCTTACATATACACACACAGATACACCCAAGTGTTTAAAAACACAGGCCCTGGAACCAGACTGCCCTTGGCTTGAATCTGAGCTCTACCACTTACTTCCTCTGAGGTTGTCTTCTTACCTGTAAAATGGGGCTAAAAGTAGTACTGACACAAAGTCCCTGGTACTTGTAAAGGTCAGCTGTAACCCTGTGTAGTTCTCCAGAAAGATTGTTTTTAGACCCTAAGTCTTTGATGTTGCTATTCCCTTTGCCAAGAAACTTCTCTCCTCTTTTTGTCTGACAAACTCCTACCCAGCACCTTTTGTGAAGCCTTCTCTGACATCTCTACATCCTCAGGGTTCCTATGGTATCCTGTGCCACCTCTATCATGGCAAATATCATGAGTTTGGGGTGGCATCTCACTGTTCCTCACTGGACTGAGAGTTTGTGGGTCTGATTCATTGTGGAGGCTCCAGTCAGCAACAAAACCTCTGAGCAGGGACAGGAATTTTAACTTTCAAACTTCCCTCTATATGCCCCATCTTCCCTTCTACGTATGTGGGCTCAACCCCACCCAGGCCCCTTCACACAGCAGGGACTCAGAGTACACTCAACAAATGACTGCCTCCCTCCCAGGCCTAGCAGCTAATTTTATGAATTCAAACCCACCTTCTTTACCTCTTTTTCACCTAATCTATTAGTGCCAGAGGGCAGGTGGAGTCTGGTTTACAGCCTTGCATATAGAAGTTGCTCATATTGCCGGGCGCAGTGGCTCACGCCTGTAATCCCAGCACTCTAGGGGCCAAGGCAGGCGATCACAAGGTCAAGAGATCGAGACCATGCTGGCCAACATGATGAAACCCCGTCTCTACTAAAAAAAATACAAAAATTAGCTGGGCGTGGTGGTGCACGCCTGTAATCCCAGCTACTTGGGAGGCTGAGGCAGGAGAATGGCTTGAAACCGGGAGGCGGAGGTTGCAGTGAGCTGAGATTGCGCCACTGCACTCCAGCCTGGAGACAGAGTGAGACTCTGTCTCAAGGAGGAAAAAAAAAAAAAAAAGTTGCTCATATTAAGCACCTAGACGGTAGCAGTTTAGCCTGCACATCACTGAAGCACGTCCAGTGCCAAGAACAATGTCTAGCACACAGTACATATTTAGTGACTGAGAAATGCTCCCAGGCCAGGTGTGGTGGCTCACATCTGCAATCCTAGCACTTTGGGAGGCTAAGGTGGTTTGATCACTTGAGCCCAGGAGGTGGAGGCTGCAGTGAGCCTCCCTTGGGAAGTGAGACCTTGAGAGGTTTTTTTTTTTTTTTCCTCCTTTTGAGACAGGGTCTCACTCTGTTGCCCAGGCTGCAGTGCAGTGGTGCGATCTTGGCTCACTGAGGCCTCCACCTCCTGGACTCAGGTGATCCTCCTGCCTCAGCCTCTTGAGTAGCTGGGACCACAGGTATCTGCCATCATGCCTGGCAAATTTTTATTTTTATTTATTTTATTTTACTTTTTTTGAGACAGAGTTTCTCTCTTTTTGCCCAGGCTGGAGTGCAGTGGCACGATCTCGGCTCACTGCAACCTCCGCCTCTTGGGTCCAAGCGATTCTCCCGCCTCGGTCACCTGAGTAGCTGGAACTACAGGCATTCACCACCACGCCTGGATAATTTTTGTATTTTTAGTAGAGATGGGGTTTCATCATGTTGCCCAGGCTGGTCTTCAACTCCTGACCTCAAGAAATCCACCCACCATGGTCTCCCAAAGTGCTGGGATTACAGGTGTGAGCCACCACACCTAGCCCCTGGCTAATTTTTAAATTATTTGTAGAGAGGTCTCCCTATGTTGCCCAGGCTGGTCTCGAACTACTGAGCTCAAGCAATCCTCCCACCCAGGCCTCCCAAAGCGCTGGAATTAGAGGTGTAAGCCACTGCCTGGCCGACCCTGAGTTTAACTGTCCCTATGCACAGTCCATTTCTACCAGACCAACTTCCCCATTAGACTGTGAATTCCCAAAACACACAGCCCAGTACAGGGCCCTGCTTTCAGTTAATGCCCAATACATACTCCTTGAGTAAATTATTCACTAAAGGAGCTGGAGCTAAACTTTCCTTATCTACTATTCCAATCCCCTTCCTAATTTTTGAGTTGCCAGGCCCCTGCACACAACAGCCATTCCACAAAGGACCTTCCTGGAAGTAGGCAACCAGGGGCCCGAGAGTTCCATTTTTCCTTGATTACAGCCCCATTTCCAACAGAGAACTCCCCTAGGGCGAGGCCCAGTGCCTGCTGCAAAGCTTGCACAAAGCAGGTACCCAATAAATGTCTACGAGGTGGCCCGGGAGACTTGAAATTTGCCCTTTCCTCGTCTACGATTCTTTCTCCCACTCTTGAATTGTGAACTACTTAGGGAAAGAATGGGGGTTTTTCACACAGTATATCAGTAAGTCTTTCCAGGAAGGAACCCACTAGGGCCCTGGAAATTCAACTTTCCCGCTTTACAACGCTTGTCTCCTACCAGACTGAGCTCCTCGGCAGGGTGAGAGCTCGCAGCAGTGGGTGGTGGGCGAGTTCCAGCGTAGGCTCCCGCACACTAAAGGAGCCCCAGGGCACACAGGAAGGAGTGCTCTCCTTCCAGCCCGCGCCGCTCCCGCCCTAGCGCAGGCCCCAAGGCTCTTCGATCCCTGCAGACCCCTTAGTTTTCCTTCCGCCCCCTCCGTCCGCCCAGCGTTCTCTTCCCAGTCCAGCCCCGCGCGGCGCCCTCACCCGTTTCTCTTATCTCCTGCAGCCCCTGCCGCTCTTGACACAGACCCTCGGCTCCAGGCGTGTGGGACCCCTCACTATCCACACCTCCCATTGGGCGGTGCCCTTACCCGTGGCGACCAATCAGAGCCTGCAGCGCAGGGCACGCGACCTTGCGCCTGCGTGTTGCCACACAGGCGGGGCTCTGGGAGTTATCCACGCACACATCTTCGCCCTGTGGGCGGGGCTCAGGGCGAGGAGATGCGCCTGCGCATTTCTCTGGGTCGCTCCCGGGCTAAGCGTCGGCAAGTTCTGTAGAGAAACTCGGGCAACCTTTGGTGAGCGTTGGGCCCATGGAGTGAACTGGGCGGCGGGAGACCTTGACAGAGATGTCATTTCAAAGCTGAAGAGACGGAGCATTTCTGAGAGTACAGCTTTAGAGCCCGACACACTTGGAGTTATTCTCCTCTCCGGGCCTCTGTTTTACTGGTGTGAAGTGAGCTTGAGTCACAGCCACCTCAAAGATTGTTTAGGGGATTGGATGATATCACACATGCACAGCGCTCATACACTGTAGGCGCCCACTACAACCCACTTAGCAAGACAGAATCCTTCACAGTTTGTTAAATTGCTTTCCTATTCTCCCTACTCTTCGTTTGATTTAATGATAGTCACTTACCAGGCCCCCTTGTGAGTTTAGCCCAGGACTATGCTTCCGTAGCTTACCATTGCCATCCATTTGTTTCACAAGTAGGGAAACTGAGGCCCAGAGAGGGGAAGGGATTTCTTGGAGGGTTTGTTTGTTTGTTTGAGACGGAGTCTCACTCTGTCGCCCAGACTGGAGTGCAGTGGCACGATCTTGGCTCACTGCAACCTCCGCCTCCCGGGTTCAACCGATTCTCCTGCCTTAGCCTCCCGAGTAGTTGGGATTACAGGTGTCCACCACCACGCCCGGCTAATGTTTGTATTTTTTAGTAGAGACGGGGTTTTGCCATATTGGTCAGGCTGCTCTCGAACTCCTGATCTCAGGTGATCCACCCGTCTCGGCCTCCCAAAGTGCTGGGATTACAGGCGTGAACCACCGCGTCCGGTCTTGTTTGTTTGTTTGAGACAGAGTTTTGCTATTGTTGCCCGGACTGGAGTGCAATGGCGCAATCTCGGCTCACGGCAACCTCCGCCTCCAGGGTTCAAGCGATTCTCCTGCGTCAGCCTCCCGAGTAGCTGGGATTACAGGCATGCGTCAGCACGCCCGGCTAATTTTGTATTTTTAGTAGAGATGGGGTTTCTCCATGTTGGTCAGACTGGTCTCGAACTCCCGACCTCAGGTGATCCGCCCGCCTCGGCCTCCCAAAGTGCTGGGAATGCAGGCGTGAGCCACCGCACCTGGCGTTTGTTTGTTTCTTGAGACAAAGTCTCGCCCTGTGGCCCAGGCTGGAGTGCAGTGGCACTATCTCTGCTTACTGCTCCCTGGTTCAAGAGATTCTCTTGTCTCAGCCTCCCAAGTAGTTGGGATTTCAGGCGCGTGCCACCACATCCGGCTAAGAACAGACAGGGTTTCATCATGTTGGCCAGGCTGGTCTCGAACTCCTGGCCTCGTGTGATCCGCCCACCTCGGCTTCTCAAAGTGCTGGGATTACAGACGTGAGCTACCGCGCGCAGCCGATTCTTTTGAATTCACTGCTACAGCTCAGGCAGAGCCAGTACTGGGCCAGTGCTAGGCAGGACCCAGATCTCCCGACTCCCAAGAGGAGTTAATTGCGGGGGTGGGAAGAGGTCCAGGGAGGGGACTTGTCTCAAGTACATGCAGGTCCTGACCTTGAGTCACCTAAGTGGGGGGCGTGGCGACCGTCACACCCAAGGCCCCGCGGTAAGGGGACACGCATACACCACAGCCTAGACTCCCTGACAGACCCTCTCTAGTTGTTGCAAGTTAGGGAGCGGGTATCTGGGCGACCCTGGAGGGCAGAGATTGGAAGGGGTTACGGAGGGGCCGTTTTGGCTCTGGGTGGAGACATCTGACTGTGATGGGGGTCGTGATGGACGCCATCGAGATGTACACAGTCGGAATGGAGGGTTCTGTTGCCGCTTGGAAGGAGGTATCCGTCCTGAACGTGAGATGAGGGAATTCTGGTTTTGATCAGGGGAAGGAACTTATAGACTGCGGGGGTGGTGGTGGGGGGGCGGGATTTCCATTTGGGATCACGAGAGAGCACAGTTGAGATGTAGATCCCTGGTTGTCACTAGAAGTGAGGGACAATCTAATGGAGGAGTGCCCAGGACCAGATCATATAAGGCCTGGGAGTTTACTGGGAGACGGGAAAGTAGTGATTGTGTTACTTTGCCACGGGCAACTAGGGGCAGTGGTGATGTGGGCGTCTAGCTCGTGATCAGGAGGGGGCTGTAGTTTATGAGATGAGTAGTTACAACTACTCGTGACGTGGCGCTACATGGCCCCGGTGGCTTGAGTCACGGGCAGGAAGTAGGGACCTGGAACCGGGTACCAGATACAGCCCAAGAGGCGGCGTGCTCTCGCTCTGCGCAAGCGCAGCACTCGCGAACCAAGATGCTTCGGTTGGGGGCAGGTCAAGCGGCCCAGGAAGGGCGGGGCTTGGAGGCCTCGTTCTGCGCATGCGCCGAAGGGGCGTGGCGGTCGCACCTGCGCGAGTTGGGGGAAGGAGGAGGGGCGAGGTGACGCAGGCGTAATAATAGAGAAGGTGCCAGAAAGATCCAAAACAAGTGGCTGCGGCCGTCGCCCAGGAGTCATCGGACGCCAGAATCTGGTGAGGATCCAGAGAGGCCTAATGGTGACTGGTGGCGGGTAGACAGGACCACCTGGGCTCTGGGGAGCGGGCGGGGCCGCCCTTGCAGGGCGAGGGGGTCGGGTTCGGACGGTACCACCTGTGTGGAGCAAAGGGGCTGCCTGGGTCGCTCCTCTGTGTAGGGGGCAGAGGGTCACTTTCGGGAGGTACCACTTGCGTAGAGCCGGGGGACTCATCAGACGGTACCGCTGGACGGAGAAAAGGGGCTCGTCTGGGCAGTCCTACCCAGAGTCAGGGGCAGTCAGCAGGGAGCCCCGGGGTGGGCCCCGAGGCTTGTTTGGGCCGCATCGTTTGGTCAGGTCCGGAGGCGAGCTCCGAACGTAGCACGGTGGTGGGGGCAGAAGCCGAGCGGGCTCCGGCGTCCCGACCTGTTCTTAGGGGACCTCGGGCGGGACCATTCCCTCCCGGGGGAGGGGGAGGCCGAGGCGGTTGGGGGTGCGGGAGCGGCCCTGCCCGGCGCGATTGGGCGGGGGAGACGCGCTGGCGGTGTGGGGTTCGGGCCTCCGCGTCGCTGACCACTGCCCCCTCCCCGCTGTGTGGGTTCTAGGCCGGGTTCTGAGCTTGTTCCGCCTCCCTCCCCCGGGAATGGCGCTATCCGGGTCGACCCCGGCCCCGTGCTGGGAGGAGGATGAGTGCCTGGACTACTACGGGATGCTGTCGCTTCACCGTATGTTCGAGGTGGTGGGCGGGCAACTGACCGAGTGCGAGCTGGAGCTCCTGGCCTTTCTGCTGGATGAGGCTCCTGGCGCCGCCGGAGGCTTAGCCCGGGCCCGCAGCGGCCTAGAGCTCCTGCTGGAGCTGGAGCGCCGCGGGCAGTGCGACGAGAGCAACCTGCGGCTGCTGGGGCAACTCCTGCGCGTGCTGGCCCGCCACGACCTGCTGCCGCACCTGGCGCGCAAGCGGCGCCGGCCAGGTACGGTTGAATGGGAGGGTGTCACACTTCCTGGGAGGAAAGGGCCTGGCTCCCGCTGGGCCTCCCTGGTGCCCTGATACGGACAGTGCCATATCAGGCAGCTTATGTCCCATTCTGCTACTCTCTCTTCCCACAATATCAATGAGCAACATAAGAGGAAGAAAGCATGGCTTTGGGAATTTGGCCACATCAGTGATGATGATTTTGGCCACTGTTTACGGAGGGCTTGTTTCATGCCAGGCACAGCTGTCAGCCCTTCATATGAACTAGTGCCTTATAGTCTCCCAGTAATCTCACAAGGAAGTCCTGTTACTGTCTTCACTGTAACCAAGAAAATAACAAGTTCAGAGAAGTTAAGCAGTTTGCACGTATAATAACAATCCTGTTTGCTGGGCCTAGGAGGGATACAGGATGATGGAGCTGACAAGGTGTTTGTTCCATGAAGTTTAAGTTTAGTGGGGGCAATCAGATAATAAGAGAACTTATTTTTAGACGCTGTTGTAGGAAGACTAAAAGTAATGGAATAGAGAGAGTCAGGAGAGCAGCAAGGTGAAGGGAGGCTTTGCCCTGAGGCTGCACTGCCAGCCATGCATAGACCCCAGGGGAGAAAATCCCAGGGAGCATCCAAGGCCTGAGGTGGGAATGAGTTTGGCATCATCAGAGGCCAGTGTGGCAGGAGCAGAGGGGACCCAAGCTAGGGAAGAGAGGGAGGTAAGAAGTTATGTCATGAAGGGGCTTGCAGAGAACGTAGCTGGGAAGTGTGGGAGCCAGGATTCAAACCTAGCCAACTTGTCCCCAGAGTTGATGCCCTTAATCCTTGTGAAGGAAGTGCTCCTGGAGGATAGCAGCCTTCACATGAGAAGCTGGGAGGGGTTCAGGCTGCCGGTAGCCGTGTGCATGAATAGACCAAGCCTTTGTCTGGGTTACTAAAGGGGCAGTGGCTAGTTTGGGGAGGGGGGATTATGGCCTTCCCTGACCCAGAGTAAGCCCACAGGATTTAGATAAGCAGGAGAAGGACAGCTCTAGGGAAGAGCTGACAGCATTTTTGGATATCTATGTCTGAAGATCACGCTCTAGAAGAGAAGATTTGGGGAGCCTGCACAGAGGCCTGCTTACTCCTTGGGGAGAGCTGGGGGCAGTTGATGCCAGGGCAAAGGGCCATTACAGGGACCCTTACCATGACTATCAACAGAATAACCTTGACAGTTTGAGCTGCCGTAGACGTGGGTTAGATTGCCCCAAGTCGTGATAAGTTCTCTCTCTTAGGAGGCATCTGAGCAACCTCTGCAGGAGGTGTTTGAGAATGAGTGGGTATTTGGGCTCTGACTACTGGGGAACTTAGGCACCTCGTGGTGCAGGCATTCTTCCAGGGGTGGGAATTAGGGCCAGGAGGCTGAATGCTTCTTCCTGTTCTTCTCTTCCTCCAGTGTCTCCAGAACGCTATAGCTATGGCACCTCCAGCTCTTCAAAGAGGACAGAGGGTAGCTGCCGTCGCCGTCGGCAGTCAAGCAGTTCTGCAAATTCTCAGCAGGGTCAGTGGGAGACAGGTGAGCCCAGCTGGGTGGGTGTAATGGCAGCATCCCTCTTTTCCTTATGAATTGTGCCCATCAAGGAAGGGGCCTGAGGGGTTATTCTGTCTCATTTTCACTGTGTGTGTGTGTGTGTGTGTGTGTGTGTGTTTATTGCTACAGATACTCTGTTCTGAAGCAACATACAGAATTGTTGCACATAGTTTCGTGTTTCGTTTAAATGGCATTACATTGTGGGTATTACTCTGCACCTGGCTGTCTTTGCTAGATGTGTCTGAGATTTATTCATGCTGAGTATCTCTAATTGTATTATTTTAATTGCCATGCCCCAATTAACTTATTTATTCTCACCACCCCCAGTTTTTGTTTTTTTCTGTTTGGCTTTTTCAAGATAGGGGCTTGGTCTGTCACCCAGGCTGGAGTGCAGTGATGAAATCATAGCTCTCTGCGGCCTTGAACTCCTGGGCTCAAGCTGTCCTTCCACCTCAGCCTCTCAAGTAACTAGAACTACAGGGGTATGCCACCATGCCTGGCTAATTTTTTCATCCTTTATAGAGGTGTGGTCTCCCCCTTGTTGTCCAGGCTGGTCTTGAACTCCTAGCCTCAAGCAGTCCTCCCACCTCAGCCTCCCAAAGTGCTGGATTACAGGCATGAGCCATCATGCCAGCCACCTCTAGTTGTTGTTGTTGTTTTGAGGCAGAATCTCATTCTGTCACTCAGGCTTCGGTGCAGTGGTGCAATCTCGGCTCACTGCAACCTCTGCCACCCAGATTCAAGCAATTCTCCTGCCTCAGCCTCCCAAGTAGCTGGAACTACAGGCGCATGACACCATGCCTGGCTAATTTTTTTGTATTTTTAGTAGAGATGAGGTTTCACCATGTTGCCCAAGCTGGTCTCGAACTCCTGGCCTCAAGAGATCTGCCCACCTGGGCCTCCGAAAGTGTTGGGATTACAGGCTTGAGCCACTGCGCCCTGGCCACCCCTCTTTTTATTATGTGAAATTTCAAACATACAAGTTGAAAGATTAGTACAGTTAACATCTTCCACTTAGGTTCAATAATTGTTAAGATTTTGCTACTTTTGCTTTATGTGTATACGTAATTCTGGATTTTTTTGTTGAACCCTTTGAAAGTAAATTACAGACATCAGGATGCTTTACCCCTAAATTAGGCATCCGTGGAGAATAAGGATATTCTCCTGTACCACTTTAAGACTATTATACCTAAGAAAATAAACACGAATTCTCTGACATTCTAATGGTCCATTTTCAAAAATCCCCAGACTGTGGGACCGTTCAGAATCTATTCATAGTTGAGTTGGTATGCATTCAGTTGTTATGTCTCCTGCTATAGCACAGAAACTGCCCCTACACCCCATACCTTTTTCTTTTTCCTGTAACATTGATTTTTTCACCCTAGCAGGCCGGTTGTTTTGTAGAATGTCCTGATTGTTTCTTTATCTGTCTGTTTTTTTCCTGATGGAGTTATGTAACTCGTCCCTCTTTCCCTTACATTTTTTGTTAAATGGGAATTGTGTCTGAGGCTTGGTTAGATTCAGTTTATACATCTTTAGCAGGAATAATCCTTGGTTGCTGCCATCTAGTTCATATTGGAGTACATCTCCAGGCATGTACGGCCTGGCTTTTCCGATGTGGGAAAGTTTGGTCACTTGGTTAAGGGGATATCTGCCATGTTTGTCCATTGTGAAGGGACATTTAGTTCTCATGGTTAGTAAACAGTCTATGGGGTGATACTTTGGCATATCCTGTTCCCTAATAGCCATTTACTCAGTGGGTTTCACATCTATGAGCTTTGCCTGAACCAGTTATCACATTGGTGTTTGCAAAATGGTGATTTTTCTAATTCTTTTTCTTTTTTCTTTCTCTTTCAAGAGGTATTCCCCCAATGCCCCTTTGAGTTTGAGTGTCACTATAGACCCATACACTATTTACTGACTTGTTACAGTCAGTCAGTCTTCCTGCAGTTCCAACTGGCTAGCCTCTTGTGTCTTCTTCATGTGTTTGTATCATTCTTTGTGTGCTTCCTGCTTTGTGGCACTGCAAGATGTCCTGGGCTGACTTTGAACTTTCCCTTCCGCACCCTAGAATCAGCTGTTTTTCAAGGAAGCTGTGGTATTTAGAGACCAAAACCTGGGTGTTGAGTGTGTATATTGTTCTAGGTTCTTTCAGTGAACAGTGTTAGAGACTTGACTTTTCAAAAAGTTTCTGTTAGTATTTTAAAGATTAATGTTATAGCCATGTTTGGTGGCTCATGCCTGTAATCTTAGTGCTTTGTGTGGCTGAGGCAGGAGGATTGCCTGAGGCCAGGAGTTCGAGATCAGCCTGGGCAATATAGTAAGACCCTGTGTCTAAAAAGATAAAAAACCTAGCCGGGTGCAGTGGCTCACACCTGTAGCCCCAGCAGTTTGGGAGGCTAAGGCGGGTGGACTGCTTCAGCCCAGGCATTTGAGACCAGCCTGGGCAACATGGCAAAACCCTGTCTCTATAAAAAATATAAAAATTAGCCTGGCATGGTGATGTGCACGTGTAGTCCCAGCTATTCAGGAGGCTGAGGTAGGAGGATTGCTTGAGTTGGGAAGGTGGAGGTTGCAGTGAGCTGAGATCATGCCACTGCACTCCAGTCTGGGTGACAGAGCAAGACCCTGTCTCAGAGAAAAAAAAAAAACGAGCCGGGTGTGGTGGCATGCCACTGGACTCCAGCCCGGGCAACAGAACGAGATCCCCACTCTAAACAAAGAAACAAAAACATCACAAATACTTTTTTTTGAGATGGAGTCTCACTCTGTCACCCAGGCTGGAGTACAGTGGCGCCATCTCAGCTCACTGCAACCTCTGCCTCCCAGGTTTAAGTGATCCTCCTGCCTCAGCCTCCTGAGTAGCGGGGACTACAGGTACACACCACCATATCCAGCTGATTTTTGTATTTTTAGTAGGGACGCAGTTTCACCATGTTGGCCAGGCTAGTCTCGAACTCCTGACCTCAGGTGACCTGCTTGCCTTGGCCTCCCAAAGTGCTGGGATTATAGGTGTGAGCCACTGCTCCCAGCCAGACTTTTTAATTAATTAATTTATTATTATTATTATTATTATTATTGAGAAAGAGTTTCACTCTTGTTGCCCAGGCTGGAGTGCAATGGCACAATCTCGGCTCACCGCAACCTCCGCCTCCCGGGTTCAAGCGATTCTCCTGCCTCAGCCTCCTGAGTAGCTGGGATTACAGGCATGTGCCACCACGCCCGACTAATTTTGTATTTTTAGTGGAGACAGGGTTTCTCCATGTTGGTCAGGCTGGTCTCGAACTCCCGACTTGAGGTGATCCGCCCGCCTCGGCCTCCCAGAATGCTGGGATTATAGGTGTTAGCCACTGCACCCAGCCCCAGCCAGACTTTTTTATACTAAAAGTCTTTCCTCTTAATAACATTAAGATGTGGGTTTGTTTGATTTATTTTACAACAGTAATTAAATAGCATCAAAATAACAAAGTCAGTACAACTGCTGACTGTATCTAGTGAATGAAACATAGATTTTATTTGTGTTTCTTGTTCTCTGAGCATATCCCATTGAGATTTTACAGTCAGAATGTTCTTCAAGTTACTTGAATAATTGTTTCATCTGAGTATTCCTGTTACCAATTATGTATACAATCCCCTCCCTCCCTTCCTCCCTCCCTCTCTTCCTCCTTCCCTCCCTCCCTCCCTCCCTCCGTCCCTCTCTCCCTTCCTTCCTTCCTTTTCTTCTCCCTTCTCCCTTTGAGGGTCTAGCTCTGTTTCCCAGGCTGGAGTCCAGTGGCGCAAACACTGCTTACTGCAGCCTAGATCTCCTGGGCTCAAGCAGCCCTCCCACCTCAGCCTCCCAAGTAGCTGGGACTACAGGCACGTGCTACCACACCCGGCTAATTTTTTTACATTTTATTTTAATAGAGACGGGTTTTTCCATGTTGCCCGGGTTCCAGGTTGGTCTTGAACTCCTAGGGCGTAGGCTGGGATTACAGACATGAACCACAACATCCGACCAGGTTCATTTTCTTCTGTTTGTGTTTAATTTTTTTTTTTTTTTTTTTTTGAGACAGGGTCTCACACTGTCACCCTGGCTGGAGTGCAGTGGCACAATCTCGGCTCACTGCAGCCTCCAGCTCCTGGGTTCAAGCAATTCTCCTGCCTCAGCTTCCCCAGTAGCTGGGATTACAGGTAGGCGCCACCACGCCCAGCTGATTTTTGTATTTTTAGTAGAGACAGGGTTTCAACCATGTTGGTCAAACTGGTCTCGAACTCCTGATCTCAAGTGATCCACCCACCTCGGCCTTCCAAAAGTGCTGGGATTGTAGGCGGGAGCCACACCGTGTGCGGCCTATTTGTGTTAATTTTATGGTTTATTTCATTTTAACTTTTTAAGTGTGTAAATCAGTTATATGAGTCAAAAGTCAAAACTAAAGTGTGGGGCTGGGCTTGGTGACTCAATGCCCATAATCCCAGCACTTTGGGAGGCCGAGGCGGGTGGATCACTTGAGGTCAGGAGTTTGAGACCAGCCTGGCCAACATGGTGAAACCCATCTCTACTTAAAATACAAAAAATTAGCCGGTTGTCGTGGCAGACACCTGTAATCCCGGTTACTTGGGAACCTGAGGCAGGAGAATTGCTTGAACCCGGGAGGCGGAGATTGCAGTGAGCCAAGATTGTGCCATTGCACTCCAGCCTGAGCAACAAGAGCGAAACTCGGTCTCAAAAAAAAAAGTATGAAAAGTATTTTTAGACATGTCATTTCTACTGCTGGGTGCCCCTCACCCCCAATTCATTCATTTCTAGTCTGTGCTTCTAGTGTTTCATTTTGCAGATATATATAATCTTAATTTCCCTCCTTATGCAAAGTACAGCACACTGTAGACACTTATTTTGTATCTTGCTTTATTTCCTTAAACAGTCTATCCTGGACATCTCCCTATATTCCTGTTTCTTCTTGCCAGATATGTTGTTCTCAGGTTTTCATCATGATAAACAATGCCCTGGTGGCGGTTGTCGTGTGTGTCTCCTGGTGTAAGTGTGCAGGGATTTCTCTAGGGTCACATCACACCTGGAGTGAGCCTGCTGCAGCGTGCTGGGGTGTACTCATTTGCCCTTCTAGATGATGCTAGATGGTACTCTTCATCTTTTAGACAGGGCCACTGAAGAAGGGAGGCAGACTGGCTCACTCAGGGTCTCAGCACCGAGAACACCTTGAGTTCTTTTCCAGGCATACACCTGGGCACTCTAGCTGTCATCCTGGTCCTCAACTTGCCCCATTTTTTTCCCCTCAGGCTCCCCCCCAACCAAGCGGCAGCGGCGGAGTCGGGGCCGGCCCAGTGGTGGTGCCAGACGGCGGCGGAGAGGGGCCCCAGCCGCACCCCAGCAGCAGTCAGAGCCCGCCAGACCTTCCTCTGAAGGCAAAGTGACCTGTGGTAGGTGTCTGTAGGCTTTGGCAATGCATGTAGAGTGCCCCGGGTGGGTTCAGAGGGTGGGAGAAATGAGCATTTTTCTGGGGGATGTGACACACTTGGCAGATGGGTGTCAGCTCTCGTTCACCACAGTGGAATTCTTGTCCTTTCTCTCGCCATCTTGCCTGTCTACATCCTGTCCATTGTTGAAGGATCAGATCTTGTGCCACCTCCTTCAGGAAGCCTTTCCTGACAACCCCCTGCCCTAGTTTCATTTGTGTATTCAGCAAACATCTGCCGGGGTTTACTTATTCAGACATTTCTTGTGCAGTGGCAGCATATCACGGGGTAAAAAAACAACGATCCTGGATCAGGCTGCCTGATTTACATCCTGGTCTTGGCACTTAAATAAGTTGTCTGACCTCAGGCCAGTAATTGAACCTCTCTGCCTCAGTTTCGTTTCTTTTCTTTTCTTTTTTTTTTGAGACGCCATCTCCCTCTGTCTCTCAGGCTGGAGTGCAGTGGTGTGATCTTGGCTTACTGCAACCTCCGCCTCCTGGGTTCAAGCAGTTCTCCTGCCTCAGCCTCCCAAGTAGCTGGGATTACTGGCACCCACTGCCACGCCCAGCTAATTTTTGTATTTTTAGTTAGTAGAGATGGGTTTCACTATGTTGGCCAGGCTGGTCTTGAACTCCTGACCTCAAGTGATCCACCCGCCTCAGCCTTCCAAAGTTCTGGGATTACAGGCGTGAGCCACCGCACCCAGCCATCCACCTCAGTTTCCACATCTGTAAAGTGAGGCTGATAATCACCTCCCTGTTTGGATTGTTGTGAGAAAACAAATTTACCCACAGTATGCCTGGAGCAGTGCCCAACCCGGCACACGCTGTACGAGGGTTTGTTCTCACTGTTGCTGTGCAGTGTGCCTGGGGCAGGAGTGCTGCAGCAAGGTTCCCGGCTCTTGTGGAGCTGACCTAGTCAGGTGACCAGTGAAACTGAAGATCATTTTAGACAATGATAAGTGCCACCAAGAGAGGGTGGGAGCAGGTGGAGGAGCCAGGCTGGGGCCGGAGCAGCTTGGCCTCGCGGGCCACGGCAGGGATGACAGTTTGGATTTTATTCCATGCGCCAGGCACTGGCAGTGGGTTTTGAGCAGGAGGGTGACGTGATGTGATTCCTCTTCAGGGAACTCTAACTCCATCTGGAAAATCAGTTAATAAGCAAGTTAGGGTTTTCAAAGTGTTTAGGATGCACTGGGCTTCTAGTAGGTGCTCTGCTAGGCATGTGTTACGTAGATTAAATTAATCGCTTGAAGAGGCTGTGAGGTCTGTGGAGAAGGACTAGGCAGAGGTCTGGCCTGGGGGTCGTGTTGGAGAGGGTGAGGAGAAGTGACCTAGGAAATAAGGAAGGGCACTGGCCATAGGGCTGACTGTAGACACGATGGGTTGGGTGGGTTGGGGACTCTGCTGTGAGACTACTTTGACCTTGCTCTTGAGAAATTCCACTTGGTCATGTGGGGAGGACACAGCAATGAGCACCGCCTCAACTGTAGTACTCCTTTCTCTAGTTGGGCAAGCTTGGGAAACACAGAAGGGATCAGATATGGTCTTCGAGCTCTCAGGCTGCAGGGAAGACAGATGAGGGAAGTGGCAGCCAGGCTGATGTGACAGGTGGCACGGGTATTGTGAGTGCAGGGGCTCTGGGGTGTGCAGGGAGTCTCCTGGCCAGCCCCAGTTTCCTTGTGGAGGTGCCATGTCTAGAACAAGCTCAAGGAAGCTGGAAGAGGAGCTGGGAAGGGTGATTCTGGCAGAGTGACTCATGCGTACAACGTCCCCAGCCGGATGTGGTCAGGGCTGAGTCTGTCTGGAGCAGAGGCTTTGTGGGTGGGAGCAGGGGGAGATGAGGCAGGTGGGGGGCCTTGGTTTGGATTTTATTCTAGGGGGTGGTGGGTGAGGGAGCCATGGAAGGGTTTGTTAATTCCTTCATCCAGTTTTTATTAGGATCATCTTTATGCCAAGCACTGTTCCAGGCACGGAGGGCTCAGAATTGGACCAGGTGAAGAAAGTCCTCAGCCTCCAGGAGTTTACGTTATAGTGGGCAAGACAGATAACTCGAAAATAAGCCAGCGTAGCAGACGGCATCAGCTAGTGACAAGTGCCCTAATGAAACATGAGGCCAGGGGTGGTGCCGAGCCCCTGCAAAGGGCTGAGGCTGCTGAGGGAGGGGAGGAGGCCCCTGGGGGGAGTGGAAGGGTTCAGGGGAGGAGGCCATTGTGGAAGCTGGAGGTCAGAAGACCAAGTTGGAGCTGGTGAGATGCTGGCATGTCCTGTCTTCTAGGAGACCTTGGCCTGGGGGTGCTTCCTTCTACCATCTGCAGAGCTTTCTCCAGCCCACAAAGCACGCGCACCTGCCCCCTCCTAGTGCCCATAATGGCCCTCCAGGGAGTGGGCATCATGCCTGCTTTGTAGATGAGGCAGCAGATAACCTGTGCTGGGTGCTGTCAGAAGGAACAGACCTAGAGAGCCAGCCCTGGGTCCTCAGGCAGCTATGTGGGCTTGCGCGGCAGGGTTTGAGGGGGTGGTTGCCTGGTGGTGACTCCCCCTCGAATCAGCCAGTAATTCCCAGAGCCACCAGGCTGGCTGGGCAGGTGAGGGAGTCATTGCCTCAAGGAAGATAGGAACAGGCCAAGGGAGGCTTCAGGTCTCTTTCCCGAGGCGAGGAGGTCGTTAACCAGGGCTTGGCTAGGTCTTGATGGGAGATGGGTGAGCAGGTCTGACTGCTGACTCACCAGGCAGGGTGGGGCTGGAGTGAGGCTCTCCCCATCTGGGCTCCTGTTTTTCCCTCTGAAAAATGGAATGGCTTACTTTTTAGAGAGGCCGAATGCCAGAGGTGGAAGGAGGCCTGACTGAAGAAGAGGCCTGCTATTCTTGACTCTTCCTCACCTGTGATACCTGTGACCCCCAGCCAGCTGCCCTCCATTGAGGGATAGAACTAGACAAACTCTCGACTGCCTGAGACAGTGAGGAAGGACACCTTGGTGGTCCTAGGGTTGGACACAGGACATCTGAGCGACCATGTGCCTCTCAGGGTCTGTGGTGGGCACTACTCGGCCCTGAATTCTCAAGACAGCCATTGAGGTGGGATGACATCTTGCAAAGGAAGAGGCACGATCAGGGAAAGGCGGTCACTAGTCTGAGTGGCAGGGGGCAGAGCTTGGCTGAAACTTGGGTTTGTTTATTTGTTTATTCCATATGTATTTATAGGGTATTTACTATATGCTAGGTCAGCCGGGGTGGGAGACCTTGCCCTCATTGAGCTTGTGCTGTGGTGGGAGAAAGCCAAGAGAGAGATTTCAGATGTCAGGGGAAGGGTGTTCCCGATGGAGAGGACAGCGGGAGCACAGGCCCAAGTGGGATGTGCCAGTGCTCAAGGGCAGCGTGGAGGATGGCAAGGAAACTGACAGGAATGGAGGAGTAGGGTGGAGACCCCTAGGAGGTGAGGGCGGGAGAGGGAACCAGGGCAGATCCTGCAGGGCCTGGGCTTTGCATTTTTTTTTTTTTTATTATGGAAAGCAGTTGGAGGATTTGAATGACAGGATCAGCTTTGCTTCTCCCCTGCAATTTTTTTTTTTTTTTTTAAATTATGAGACAGGGTCTCCGTCGCCCAGGCTGGAGCACAGTGGCGCAGTCTCAGCTCACTGCAGCCTCCGCTTCCCAGGTCAAGTGATTCTCCAACCTCAGCCTCCTGAGTAGCTGGAACTACAAGCGTGATCCAGCATGCCTGGCTAATTTCTGTGTGTTTTTTTAGAGGCAGGATCTTGCCCTGTTGCCCAGGCTGGTCTCGAACTCCTGAGCTCAAAGCGATTCACCTGCCTTGGCCTCCCAAAGTGCTGGGATTACAGGCATGAGCCACCGCCTGGCCCCTGCAATTTTTTCTATGGAAAATACACCAAAGTAGATAGACTAGCTTTAGCCATTGTCAACTCATGGCTGATCTCATCTTAGGATAATTAGGAATTTTGGAGTCAATTCTGGTTGCCCTATGATCTCATCTGTAGATGTTTCACTGTGTATCTTGAAAAGAGATTTTTTTTTTTGAGATGGAGTTTTGCTGTTGTTGCCCAGGCTGGAGTGCAATGACGTGATCTCAGCCTACCGCAACCTCTGCCTCCCGGGTTGAAGCGATTCTCCTGCCTCAGCCTCCCGAGTAGCTAGGATTACAGGCATGTGCTACCACACCCGGCTAATTTTGTATTTTTAATAGACAGGGTTTCTCCATGTTGGTCAGGCTGGTCTCGAACTCCCGACCTCAGGTGATCCACCCGCCTGGGCCTCCCAAAGTGTTGGGATTACAGGTGTGAGCCACTGTGGCTGGCCAAAGATAAAAATAGGGTTTCACGCCAAAAAAGATTAGTAACTCCTTACTATCAAATATCTGATCGGTGCTCAGATTTTCAGTTGTTTTATAAATGTAGGTTCTCTGAAGTCTCTCCTTTCCCCTACCATCTCTCTTTCTCCGCCTTGCGTTGTATTTTTCTAAAGCAGTTGTCCTGTGGCATTTCCCGAAGACTGGATTTTGCTGACTGTATCCTGCAGTAGGGTTGATTCAGTGTGTTCTACCCTGTCTTTTGTATTTCCTGAAGATGGGTAGTGGGGTCTGGAGAGGCTTGATCAGATTCTGGTTTGATGTTTTGTTTTCCTCAATCCCGCTTCTGAGGGTGTGTTGTGCGCCTCCATCAGGAAGCAGGTGATGGCTGCTTATCCCTCTCTGGAGTTGGAGGCAGCTTCTCCTCATTGCCTCAATTCAGTAGGAGTTGAACTCAGTAGGAGTTGAAAAACTTTCCATTTGACATGATGATGCTGGCTTTGTTGTGGAGAAGAGACGAGGGAGGCAAGCCAAGATGCTGGGAGGGTTCCCACCATTGTCCAGAGGGGGCTGGTGCTGGTCCTGGTGTGGGGGCGGGGCGGGGGTGGGGTCTCTCCACTGAAGCACCTTGGCTGCCTCTCTCCAGCAAGGCCGGAAGCATCTCCCAGTGTTGTGGGAGCACAGGTCCTCTTCTTCCCCAGCCCATCTTTGTTAGTTCATTTTTGTGTTGCTATAAAGAAATACCTGAGACTGTGTAATTTGTAAAGAAAAGAGATTTACTTGGCTCACGGTTCTGCAGGCTGTACAAGAAGCAGGGTGCCAGCATCTGCTTCTGTTGAGGACCTCCGGAAGCTTCCATTCATGGTGGAAGGCCAAGGGGAGCAGGCTTGTCACATGGTGAGAGTTGGGGGGTGGGGGAGCTGCCACACTCTTAACCAGCTCTCACGGGAAATACCAGAGCAAGAACTCACTCATCACCAAGGGATTCATGAGGGACCCAGCCCCATGATCCAACACCTTCCATGAGGTTCCACCTACAATGTTGGAGTCACATTTCCACATGAGATTTGGAGAGAACATACATCCAAACCTTATCACCACCCAACTAGGAACTCTTAGAGAGACGACTTGAGTGAGGTTCATCTCTGGGCTCCCAGACACACCCAGCCCAGGGCCTGCTCCCTTGAACTTCACCCTGGTCCCCCACTGAGAAGCCCATTTCACTTGATGTCCCATTTGCCCCAGAAGAGAGACTGGTGAGGTGGGGGTGGGGGACAAGAGGGTGCTGGGCCCACCTGAGTGCAGGAAGCAGGAGCAGCTCTCCTCTCTAGGAAGGCATGGCACCTGCCCCCCACCCTCCCAGGGACAGGGAACTTTTCCCCACAGCTGCCAAAATGGAAAAGATGCAGCCAGCCCACGGTCCAGCGCACATGGTGCTGGGTGCTCTTCCTGCCTGCCACCTCAGGGCCACACTGGACAGTTCCTCCACTTCTCTCCATGTCTACTGCTCCCATCCTGGACAGCCATTTGTGACCCTTCCCCTGCCTGCTGCCCTGGCCCTGTTTCTACCCACCTGCCACTTCACAGCACAGCTGGAGTTGCCCCTAAGTTGGCAGGTCCTGCCTCCTGTCCTCTCTGCATGCCTGGCCTTCCTGGCCTCCCCTCTTTCCTTGCATTGAGCCTTGAATTCTCACAGTAACCCCACATGGGCGGATGTTAGGGGGAGCCTTGTTTTACACAGGAGGCCACCGAGGTACAGAGAGGTGTGGTCACTTCCAGAGGCCCTAGAATCTTGAGTCTGCTGGCGATTGGGATTGAGATCAGCCTCCCTGACCTGGCTGCCCGTTCTCCCTTAGCGCCCTTCTCCCCTCCACGTTCCTGCCACGCCGGCCCCTCAGCCTGTGCAGGCCTGAAGTTCATTTTCTCTCTGGACTTCCATAAATGCTCATCTCTCCTGAGAATGCCATTCTTTTTTTCTCTCCTGTTTTTCTTTCTAAACCTACTTGTCCTCCTTCACATTTTACTTCAGATGTCATTTCCTAGAGAGATCCTCTCTGATCCTTTCAATCTGAACTATAACTCGCCCTGTCTAATTTTCTCTGCTGGCTCTCAGGATGTCTTTTAGTTGTGTATTTGATGTGTATGGTTCTGTGTGAGGTAGCCAACAGGATAGGGGTAGTTAAGAGCTCGGGCACTGGAGCCATACACGTGAGGTAAAATTCCAGCTCTGCCATTTCCTATCTGGTGGCCTTAGGCAGGTGACTCAACCTGTGTGCCTCAATTTCCCCATCTGCAGAAAGGGAATAATAACAGCATCACCTGATTGTTGTGGGGACAATCAAAGGGGTCAGCAGATGTGAAGTATGTAGTACCGTGCCAGCCTGTAGTAAAAGCTATAGGCAGGTGTCACCTGTTGTGATTATTTTGGGGAGGGGTAAAGCACGTGATTGGGTGCTAAGGGTGGAGCAGAGGCTCAGAGAAGCCTCGCCTGCTCCTATTGCCTGGTGGCACCTCCCTGTCTTTTCCCTGTGCACCATGATCATGTTTTCCAGCTCAGAGGTGGGAGTGTGTGGTCTGCTGAAGGATTTGCTCATCTGTAAATGGGGCTGGTGAAAGTACTCTGAGGATTAGGTGGGCTGAGAGAGGAAAGCCCTTGAGTAGAGCCTGGCTTGTGGGGAGTGCTTCCTAACTGTGGGTTACATGTCTCCCCGTCCCACTTGTGGCAAGGTTCTTGTGTCACCCTAGCATGCCTGGCATTCATAAAATATCTGTTGAATAAGAGATTGAATGGGGGCATGGAGATTGCTCTGGCCTTGTCCCTGTGACCTGTCCACTCTGACATGGTGGGGGCTCTGGGTGGATTGAGAACTTATACCAGAGGTCCATGCTGGGGAGAAGGACGAGCTGAGAGAGGATTCAACTGGGCAGGATGTGGGGCTCCCACGAGCTGAGCCTTGGCAAATGTTCTGGATGGAGGAGGTGGACAGGTCATTTTGTAAGTAAGGCTCTTGTTGGGAACATTTTCTTGTGACTGGAGTGCAGGGTATGGGGGGACACGGCAGGGACTGGAGGAGTCCAAGGAGGAGGTTGGCTTAGGGACCCGTGAGAGAGAGATGAAGGCCTGGGTGAGGGCCATGGGTGTAGGGAGTTGGGTGTCGAAATTACAGTTCCTGTTTCTGGGAGCCTTCTTTGTCGTAGGGCTGTAAGCAAGCATTTTATGAGTTGCCTCATTTAATCCTTGTGACTTCAATGTGCAGCAGGGACCTCTTGTTTGTTTGTGTTTCAGATGGGGAAACAGGCTCAGAGAGGTAAGGTCACATGCCCAAGGCCCCACAGCTTAGAGAGTGGCAGAGCTGGGACTCACCTCAAGGTCTGTTGGACTCCGCCACCTGGCCCTGCCTCTGTGGCCAACCACTCCTGGGTGGCCTGGAAGAGGTGCTGCTCCTCCCAGCCCCCTGCTCTCCCACCCACATTGATTGAGGTCATGGCCAGTTGCTTACTGGAGTCAAGGATGCAGTCAAGGATCTGGTCGTCTGGGTAGAGACAGCTGGGTCTGAATGCCATGGGAGGGCCTGGGGGCTGAGGCTGGGCAGGCTTCCCTGGGCGTTGGGTGGAGAGGATGGGGTTCCCCTAGAGCCAGAAAGAGGAAGGGTTTGGGGTGGAAGGAGGAAGTGGGCAGGGCTGTGAAGTTGTCTTGGGGAGCAGGGGCCCTGCATTCTCCTTTCTGCTCTGTGGCTGACATGGTCTGTGAAAGTTGAAGGGAGCCACAGCATGAGACATTCCCTCCCAGAGCCTTGTTTCCTCATCTGTCAAGTGGGCTGAAGGTGGCCTCTGCCCCACAGGGCTGATTCTACTGCATCCCCAAGGGTCAGGCAATTGGCCTATCAGAGGGGTTGGTGGCTGCCATTCTGGGAGCACCCCTTGGACACTGTGTGCAGTGCTAGCTTGTTCCTTTCTATCCATTGCTCTCTTTTTAATCCTCTTAACAGCTCCTCACAGTAGGAATTGTCCCCTTGTTTAGGCAGGAACCCATGCTCAGAGAGGTTGTGACTTGTCACAGGTCACACTGCTGAAGGCTCCTGTGTGGGAATCCACTTCATTGATTGAGGAGCCTTCTCTCAGGGACATAGGAGGTTAAATGACCTCTGTCAGGCACTGCCATTGTCTGGCCGTGTGACCTTGGGCAAGTCACTTCACTTCTCTTGGCCTCCATTTTTTCATCTGTAAGTTGGGGGTGATAATAGGACCTGTCCCACAGGGTCATTTATAGGTTAAATGAGTTTCTGTGATTCAAGCACTTGGCGCCTGGCAGATAGTCGGCACTCTGTAAGTGTTGGCTGCTGCTGTTTCTGGCTCACAGCTGATCCTCAGGACAGCCTCGTTGGGTGTGTAGAGAGAGGGGGTACTGTCACTAGCCTAAGTGATGGGTGGGAATTCAGAAATTCTGGAAGAGAGGTGGTATGTGAAGTTCATGATTACAGGATAGCCTTAGAAGTCCAGTGTCCTGTCCCCTGTACACAGCTGCCACCTCTTTTGCGCAGATGTGGGGAGAGTTGTGACAGAAACCGACTCAAACTGGCTTCAGCAAAAAGGGGAGTTGAGTGTAGCTGAAAATCCAGCTACGATCGTGGGCTCATGTGATGACCTCAGGAATCTTTTTATCTCTGGGGCTGGCCCTGCGTAGGCTTCCTTCTCTCCTCTTGGCACAGTGGCTCCCAGCAGCTCTGGGCTTCCAACCCATCATCTTAGCAGCTCTGTGGCAAGAGAGTACCTGACTCCCAGTAGAGCCAGCACAGGTCCAGCCGCAAGCCTCCCGGGCCTGGTCAGGACCCTGCGCATCCGCAGTGCTGGCTCAGGTGGATGGGAGGGATGGGGATGTGGTTGGCACCATGTGAATCTCATTGTTTGGGGGCAGGGTGTGAGGCTGGTTGCCTTAAGGCAAGTCCATTAGTTCATGCATTAGTTCTTCACAAATACATATTGAACACCTACTATGTGCCACAGTTACACAAGTGAACAAAACAGACAAAAACCCCTTCCTTGCTGTCATCTGTCTCTCCATGCTGAGTGTAGAGACAGATAATGAGCAGATAGTAACTGACAGAGGAGGTTGGAAGGTGATAAGTGCCTTGGACAAAAATGGAGCAGGGTGTGGGACCTGGCATGCTGCAGAGAGGGCTGGGTGGGTGGTTACAGCTGTAAATAGGTTGGCCTAGGTGGGCCTTGTTGGCAAGGTGGCTTTTGAGCAAAGACCTGCAGGAAGAGAGGGAGCAAGTGTTGTGCAGATCCAGGGAAAGAGCACCCCTGGCGGTGGGGAGGCTTGTTGGAGCAGTGAGGAGGTGGTGGGCTGGAGAAGAGGAGGACGTACTTGGTCAGGGAACCCCACAGAGCCGGGGAGGCTGTGTCAGGACTAGGGTGTGGCTACCGGAAGGGGGTGGAGGGAGAAGGCTGGAGGGAGGAAGGGTGGCGTTCCCCATAAGTGTGTCTAGTGTTGGCCCCCTCCCTGACAAATCCCTCCTTCCCCTGCAGACATCCGGCTCCGGGTTCGAGCAGAGTACTGCGAGCATGGGCCAGCCTTGGAGCAGGGCGTGGCATCCCGGCGGCCCCAGGCGCTGGCGCGGCAGCTGGACGTGTTTGGGCAGGCCACCGCAGTGCTGCGCTCAAGGGACCTGGGCTCTGTGGTTTGTGACATCAAGTTCTCAGAGCTCTCCTATCTGGACGCCTTCTGGGGCGACTACCTGAGTGGCGCCCTGCTGCAGGCCCTGCGGGGCGTGTTCCTGACTGAGGCCCTGCGAGAGGCTGTGGGCCGGGAGGCTGTTCGCCTGCTGGTCAGTGTGGATGAGGCTGACTATGAGGCTGGCCGGCGCCGCCTGTTGCTGATGGAGGAGGAAGGGGGGCGGCGCCCGACAGAGGCCTCCTGATCCAGGACTGGCAGGATTGATCCCACCTCCAAGTCTCCGGGCCACCTTCTCCTGGGAGGACGACCATCTCTACCCCTAGAGGACTGTCACTCTAGCATCTTTGAGGACTGCGACAGGACCGGGACAGCAGGCCCCTTGACAGCCCCTCCCACAGGATGTGGGCTCTGAGGCCTAAACCATTTCCAGCTGAGTTTCCTTCCCAGACTCCTCCTACCCCCAGGTGTGCCCCCTTAGCCTCCGGAGGCGGGGGCTGGGCCTGTATCTCAGAAGGGAGGGGCACAGCTACACACTCACCAAAGGCCCCCCTGCACATTGTATCTCTGATCTTGGGCTGTCTGCACTGTCACAGGTGCACACACTCGCTCATGCTCACACTGCCCCTGCTGAGATCTTCCCTGGGCCTCTGCCCTGGCCTGCTTCCCAGCACACACTTCTTTGGCCTAAGGGCTTCTCTCTCAGGACCTCTAATTTGACCACAACCAACCTGGGCTTCAGCCACATCAGTGGGCACTGGAGCTGGGGTGCACATGGGGCCTGCTCACCTTGCCCACACATCTCCAGCCAGCCAGGGCCCTGCCCAGCTTCAATTTACAGACCTGACTCTCCTCACCTTCCCCCCTGCTGTCCAGAGCTGAACATAGACTTGCACTTGGATGTCACCTGGAGTGTCACATGGGAGTGTTATGGCAGCATCATACCAAGGCCTACTGTTGCACATGGGGCCAAAACCAGTAAACAGCCACCTTCTTGGAAAGGGAATGCAAAGGCTTTGGGGGTGATGGAAAAGACCTTTTACAAATGATACCAATTAAACTGCCCTGGAAAGGGCATAGGTGGGCATCGGCCTCTCTAGGACTCTTTATTTATTATTTAATTTAAATTTTTTTTTTAGAGTTGAGGGTCTTGATATGTTGCCCAGGCCAGCCTCAAATTCCTGGGCTCAAGCGATCCTCCTGCCTCAGCCTCCCAAGTAGCTGGGACTACAGGTGCCCGTCACCATGCCCAGCTTTTGGACCTCAGTGGGCTGGGAGGAGGAGTGTTCCTGGCCCAGCGTTAGGGACTGGAGTGTGGGCAGGATGCTGGACCATATGCCAGCTGATAACCACACGCTTGTCCTCCCCTCTGGGTGTCAGTCTTGTCCTCTGTCAAAGGAAGAAATAGAATACTGCCTCGGAGTCAGAAACCCTTCCAACCATGTTCACACATGCTTTGCTCCTGTATGTCCTTGGGGGCTCCCAGGAATTTTTTTTTTTTTTTTTTTTTGAGACGGAGTCTTGCTCTGTTGCCCAGGCTGGAGTGCAGTGGCATGATCTCAGCTCACTGCAAGCTCCGCCTCCCAGGTTCACGCCATTCTCCTGCCTCAGCCTCCCGAGTAGCTGGGACTACAGGTGCCCGCCACCACGCCCGGGTAATTTTTTGTATTTTTAGTAGAGACGGGGTTTCACCATGTTAGCCAGGATGGTCTCGATCTCCCGACCTTGTGATCCGCCCGCCTCAGCCTCCCAAAGCGCTGGGATTACAGGCGTGAGCTGCTGCACCCGGCCACTCCCAGGATTTTTAATTTGTTCAGTGAGGTGGGCCAGCTACACCCAAGGCTGATGAAGCGCCTAAGCTTTGGAAAATGAAAAGATAGGCAGCCAGAGGTTCTCTGCCTGGAATTTGTCTCCACGTGGCTCCCCACTGGTCACACCTGGACATTAACCTTCTCTTCACCTGGATCTCTGTTCTTTCTGAGGCCAAACACTTCCTCCTGCTGTTCTGTGGCTCCAGCTGAGGTTGTGGCCTCCTGCCCTTCCCCCACCCCTCATGTAAGGGCTCAGGAACTCGTTTCTCTTACTCAATATTCAGGGTTTTCCTTCCTCAGGGGTGGGGAGTGGGGGTAGGGTGGCAGGGATTTCCAAGGCTGCCTTTCTTGCAGGGATGGGTGCCCCTGCCCACACCTTGGAGCCTGTTCTGGAATTTCGACCCGTCTTGATGTGCAGGAGGGGAGTGGCAAAGTCTAGTCGTGAGTCCTATCCAGCAGCCAAGGCCTGGTGGAGCCAGCTGCTGTGTGATCCCAGGTTCTGCCTTGACCCTCTCTGGGAGGAAGCTGAGTTCCACTGGACACCTACTCAAGATCTATTTAGCCCCCAGCCACACTGTGGGATTTTAAACCCATGTTTGATGTGAAATGGACTGAGAGAGGGCAGGTGATTTACCTGAGTGGTGGGAGCATTGAGATGGAGAGTACCTTAGTGACAGCAGTTAGGTGGGGAATGAGGTGGGGAATTCCACTCCCTTGCCCTGACCCTTCCATTTTCATGACCTAAGGCTGAGGCTCTCCTCTAGGTGGGGTTACCTGTGTTTGGGCTCCCAATTACTGGGCTAAATTCTAGGACCTGCCATTCCCTTGAGCCCCTAGCCCCTGGCTTGTCTCCTGGCCTCATTTGAATACGGGTCCCACCTCAAGGCTGGACACATTTCAGGCTCTGCCCCTGCTTCCGTTCCATGTCATTGGCCCCACCCCATTCTCTGGGTCACCTCCCCCTTAACCCTGTTCAGCCCCAGACGTGCCTCTGGCCAGCACGTGCTTGCCAGAAGTCAGGAGGGCCAACCTTGAGGCTGAAGGGATCTGCGCTGGCGCAGTGCACTTGGCGGGAACCATGAGGCAGAGGCTCGCGCCTCCAGAGCCTCCCTGAGCGCATGCGCCGTGGAGCTCCCTTGAGCTAGTCAAGAGTGCGGGCGAGGCGCGGGGGGTGAGGGACTGACCCTCGGGGCCCGGAGGTGGGTCAGATCTGAGCCCGGAGGACAACCCTGGGAGCATCGGGTAGAGAAACAGGATCGTGTGGGGACAGGGCGTGGGGCCACAGGAGATCGGAGCCCATGGGAGATGTGGGAGGCCGGCGTGGCCCCACGGAGGAGCGGAACCTTGGGTTGGCCTGTGCGGGCTGAGGAGGAGTTCAACAGAGTGACGGGGTATTCTGGGCAGGGGACAGCCTTTGCTGGAATTTTTCAGCCCTTGCGAAGGCCTCGGGACGTGCCTGAATGGGATGTAGTAAGACGGACAGAGTCAGAGGTAAGTGAGAACGTGCCGCCACCACCCATTCGAGGGTCAGCAGCCATTGTCCCCATGTTTTTCCGCGTGGGGAGCAGGCACAGGTGGGGACACAGGCCTGGAACCCGACAGTTACACACAAGGAGATCATGTGAGACAGGCCCAGCAAATGGCCCACAGGTCCTTGAGGGGACTGTGGCCTGGGTGCTGGCTCTGGAGGGCACCTGTGATGATGTGGACACAGCGGGTCGGAGCCCAGGGGACGCTGGGGGCACCGGGAAGCTCCCTGTGCTTTCTGCTACGAATCACCACCGCCACCGCCCAGATACGTTTAGTTGTGAAATAACATTCTGAAAAGTGCAGGACAGAAACGAACTGTTCATATTACCTGAGGTCAGGAGTTCGAGACCAGCCTGGCCAACATGGTGAAACCCCGTCTCTACTAAAAATATAAAAATTAGCCGAGTATGGTGGCACATGCCTGTAATCCCAACTGCCAGGGAGGCTGAAGCAGAAGGATCTCTTGAACCTGGGAGGTGGAGGTTGCAGTGAGCCGAAATCACGCCACTGAAGTCCAGCCTGGGCAACAGAATGAGACTCTGTCTCAGAAAAAAAAAAAAGACAGGAAGGGGAGGGAGGGAGGAAGAAAGGCAGAAAGGGAGGAAGGGAGGGAGGGAGGGAAGGTGGTGGAAGGAAGGAAAAAAGGAACGAAGGAAGGAAGAAAGGGAGGGAGGGAAAGAGGAAGGGAGGGAGGGAAGAAAGGGAGGGAGGGGGCCAGGCGCGGTGGCTCATGCCTGTAATCCTAGCACTTTGAGAGGCTGAGGCAGGTGGATCACGAAGTCAGGAGATCAAGACCATCCTAGGTAATACTGGGAAACCCCTTCTCTACTAAAAATACAAAAAATTAGCCTGGTGTGGTGGCGGGCGCCTGTAGTTCCAGGTACTGGGGAGGCTGAGGCAGGAGAATGGCGTGAACCCGGGAGGCGGAGCTTGCCGTGAGCCGAGATTGCGCCACTGCACTCCAGCCTGGGCGACAGAATGAGACTCCGTCTCAAAAAAAAAAAAAAAAAAAAGAAAAAGAGGGAGGGAAGGAAGGGAAGGAAATGAAGGAGGAAACCTCCCTCCTTTCCTGTGTTACTCTTGCCAAGAAATAACGTTAACAGCAGGGACGCTGGGGGATATCAGGGAGCCACCTGCCCACCTTTCTGTCATGCTCTCATCCCTCCCTCCATTCCCCCTCCCTTCTTTCCCTCCCTCCCTCCCTTCGTTCCTCCCTCTCTTCGTTCCTCCCTCCCTCCCTCCCTTCCTTCCTCCCTTCCTCCCTCCCTTCCTTCCTCCCTCCCTCCCTCCCTTCCTTCCTCCCTCCCTCCCTTCGTTCCTCCCTCCCTCCCTCTCTCCCTCCCTTCCTCCCTCCCTCTCTTTCTCCCTCCCTCCCCCCTCCTTCATTTCCTTCCCTTCCTTCCCTCACTTTCTTTCCTCCTTCCCTTCCTTCCTCCTTCCCTCCCTCCCTTTCTTCCTTCCTTCCTTTTTTCCTTCTTTCCACCTTCCCTCCCTCCCTTCCTCCCTTTCTCCCTTTCTGCCTTTCTTCCTTCTTCCTCCCTCCCTCCCCTTCCTGTCTTTTTTTTTTTTTTTTTTTTTTTTTTTTGAGACAGAGTCTCACTCTGTTGCCCAGGCTGGACTTCAGTGGCGTGATTTCGGCTCACTGTAACCTCCACCTCCCAGGTTCAAGAGATCCTTCTGCTTCAGCCTCCCTGGCAGTTGGGATTACAGGCATGTGCCACCATACTCGGCTAATTTTTATATTTTTAGTAGAGGTGGGGTTTCACCATGTTGGCCAGGCTGGTCTCGAACTCCTGATCTCAGGTGATCCGCCAGCCTCGGCCTCCCAAAGTGCTGGGATTACAGGCATGAGCCACGGCACCCGATCTCTTCCTTTCTTTCTTCCTCCCTTCCTTCCTTCCTCTCTCCCTCACTTTCTTCCTTCATTTCTTTCTTCCTCTTTCTCTTTTTCTTTTGCTTCTTTCAACAGGGTCTTGCTCTGTTACCCAGAATGGAGTGCAGTGGCACGATCACAACTCATTGTAACCTCAAACTCCTGGGCTCAAGCAATCCACCTCAGCCTCTTGAGTAGCTGGGACTACAGGCATGCACCACCACACCTGGCTTATTATTATTATTTTTTTTGTAGAGACGGGGTCTCACTATGTTGCCCAGGCTGGTCTTGAACTCCTGGGCTCAAGCGATCCGCCTCAGCCTCCTAAAGTGCTGGGATTACAGGCATGAGCCACCGCCTTGCTTTTCTTCAATTTTCTAGTTTTTCATCACTCAGTGATAGAGTTAATTTTATCTCTTCTTGAACATAATATAAATGGAATCATACCATATGTTTGCTGTTGTGTCTGGTTTCCTTTACCCAGCGTTGTGTTTGTGAGATTCTTCTATATTCTGCTTATCTGTAGTTGACTCATTTTTATTGGCGTATCATGGTACTCCATTGTATGAATATACACAATGAGTTCATGCACTGACCTTTTGATGGACATTTGGGTTGTTTCCAGTTGGAGGCTATTATGAATAATGCTGCTATGAACATTCTTGTGCATGGTTTTTGGTGAACAAATGCTTATGTTTCTATAGGGATATACCTGGAAATAGAATTGCTGGACATAGGTATGCGTATGCATGGGTTTGGCTGTCTATACTGTTTCTTGTAACTGCTATAACAAATTACCATAAACGTGCTGGCTTAACACAATATAAATGTATTTTCTCACAGTTCAGGAAGCCAGAAATCTAAAACCAGTTCCACTAGACTGAAATTAAGGTGCCAGCAGGACTGCACTCCCTCCTGAGGCTTAGGGGAGAATGTGTTCCTTGCCTATCTCAGCTTCTGGTAGCCACCACCATCCCTTGGCTTGTGGCAGCATCACTCCAATCTCTGCTTCTGTGGTGCCTTCTCCTCTTCTGTCTGTGTCAAATCTTCCTCTGCCTCCCTCTTAGAAGGGTATATGTGATTGCTTTAAGGGCCCACCCAAATAATCCAGGATAATCTCTTCATTTCACAATCTTTAATTACATCTGCAAAGTCCTTTTTGCCATTTAAGGTAACATTCACAGGTTCCAGAGCTTCAGTCTGGACATCTTTCGCAGGAAATTTTTCTTTCCTCTTTTTTTTTTTTTTTTTTTGAGACGGAGTCTCGTTCTGTCGCCCAGGTTGCAGTGCAGTGGCCCGATCTTGGCTCACTGCAAGCTCCGCCTCCCGCCATTCTCCCGCCTCAGCCTCCCTAGTAGCTGGGACTACAGTCGCCCACCACCACGCCCGGCTATTTTTTTTTTTTTGTATTTTTAGTAGAGACGGGATTTCACCGTGTTAGCCAGGATAGTCTTGATCTCCTGACTTCGTGATCCGCCCGCCTCAGCCTCCCAAAGTGCTGGGATTACAGGCGTGAGCCACCGCGCCTGGCTTTTGCAGGAAATTTTTCTGCACACTACACTCTCCAACTATTTTTCTGAAGTGTCAGTACCAGTTTACTCTCCCACCAGCACTGAATGAGAGCTCTCTTTGCTTCACATTGTCACCAATACTATGTGTTGTCAGATGCTTTAATTTTGCTGATCTGATGGATGTGTAGCAGTTTATCATTGTGGTTTACTTTTCTTCTTCCTAATAATTAAATTCTGCTCTTTCTTGAATGAGGAGTAGGAGGTCTTTGAGTGTATAGAGTGGGTGAGGGTATTCCAGGTAGATGGAATAGCATGTATGAAGGTCTCAGGAAATATTTGTTTAAATTGAATAAGAGGTTTAAAAGAAGCATTAGGTTACTTAAAATAAGAAGAATTATTATTACCAAGGGTAAATACGATGCAGAGGTAGACTTTTCTGTTTCCCTCAAACACCAAGTCATTCAACAAGCATTTACCAGCTTAAACACCTGTCCTAGGTACTACAAGATGAGTTAGATCCAACCCCACCCTTGATAAACTCTGGCTTAGTAGGGAACATGATCACTGGGGACATCTCAAAGGGATGTAAGAGGGACTGAGGACCCAGATTTCCTTGAGGCTTATGTCCTCAGGTTCCACCACCCTCTATCCCACTTCCCTGTTGACATCCGTTGACTCCCTGGTCACTTCACCTCGTTCCTGAAGACTAGCACCTGCTCATAGACTTCCTCTCCACCCCAACCCATGCTCTCCTGCTGGGATATTTAACTGTCCCTGATAATCCATCCTCGTAATGATCTAGCCTCACAGTCTCTTTCCACTTCATCTCTGGTGACCTTCATCCCACTTTAGTCATCCACTCCCATGACCACACCTTGGGTTTAGTCATTACCAGGAAGTGTAACATACATAGTGAACATTTACAGAGCACTTATACCACATGCCAGGCACTTTGCCAAATGCTTTACATGTGTTTACGCCTGACACAAACCTGGAAGGCTGGTGTTAGTATCCTCATTTTACAGATGAGGATATACACTCAGGAAGGTAAAGTCACTTGCCTGGGTGACACATTTAGTAAAATGGCAGAGTCGGAATTCTAACACATGACTTTCTGAGTTCCAAATAAAAAATCCCTGATTTTAACCACAACCCAGTTCAAAATCCAGCATCCTGCTCTCTGATCCCAGCACCTGCCTTTCAGATCTGACAGCCCCTCACTGCCATCACACCTGTGGCGTCAACTCAAAGAGAGCTCTACTCCCTTGATCCCTCTGTTTTCTGCCAGTCTGCCAGACCCCTCCTGGCTTCTCTCCCTTCCTTGCCCAGCCAGAGTCTCATATTGGACCATCTGAGCTCTTTCACTAGCTCTCTAATAGTCAAGGTCCCAGCAGGAAACAGAAGGCACCACAGCTGGGATTTTGAAGATAATTTAATGAAGGGACTCTTTGCAGAGGTGTGGGCAGGGTTGAGGTAACCAACAAGGGAGGTGAAGGCAGCAGGAAGCTGTGACCACCCTTAGGTCTGAAGGAGTGAGGAAAGGATTGGTATTACTGGAGTGCTGTGAGAGTCATGGAACATGCCTGAGAGGAGCTGGAGTTGTGGAGGGGCACAGCCACTGTCAGAACCAAGGTGCTGACACAGAGCTGGGAGTTGGAGAAGAAGTATCCAGAATGCTTTCTTTTTCTGTTCTCTGATGCCCTGCTGGTGCTTCTTTTAGGGAGGAACCTAATTTGAAGTCAGAGAGCAAGGGGGGGTCCGATGATGCCACCCATATGGGTAGAGAAGAATGGAGGGTGGACCTGGAGGGCAAATGGAAAATGACCAGCATATGCTCTCAATTCCCTTACAATCCTACAACCCTAGCCTTTTTTTTTTTTTTTTTTGAAACTGAGTCTCGCTCTGTCACCCAGGTTGGAGTGTGGAGTGCAATGGCGCGATCTCAGCTCACCACAACCTCCACCTCTTGGGTTCACGTGATTCTTGTGCCTCAGCCTCCCAAGTAGCTGGGATCACAGGTGTCCACTGATTCCCCATTTTTTCAGGTTACACACTTAACCAGACCTATGCTAAAATCCACTTTACCGTTACATCTATAGGTGTTAATTTAACCTTTATCCCACAGAACTTCCTTGGCCTACCAGGTATGCCTCGACGTTACTCCGACTATCCTGATACATATACCGCATGAAATATTATCTCATCCATAGGCTCATTTATCTCAGTAACAGCATTCATACTAATAATCTTTATAATTTTTGTATTTTTAATAGAGACAGGCTTTCACCATCTTGGCCAGGCTGGTCTCGAATTCCTGACCTCAAGTGATCAGCCTGCCTCGGCCTCACAGAGTGCTGGGATTACAGGTGTGAGCCATCGTGCCCAGCCCCTTATACCCCCAGCCTTCTGCCTCATTTGCCAGCATATCCCTAACTGTGGTCCAGGTGGTAGAACTTGGCTCAGGGAAAAATGGTGGCAGAGTAGCACATATAGGTGTCACTCAAACTTCTTAGCCAGCCCCCTCTCTCACTTACCCTTCTCCCTTGAGCATCCCTACAACCCTACCCTTTCAGTCTCAACAAATAAAATTGAGGCAAATGGACCATGATTTCCTTCAACTTGTTATCAAACATATATATATATATAGGTTTTTATACATATATATACACACATATATATATAAAGATTTTTTTAAACAAATGAAACAACCCTTCATGTAGCCACACCCATATTTATTTCACTTCTTCAAGCTCTGTTCTTGTCCTCCTCTCCACCTGTGTATTGCTCATCCCAGCATGACTCCCAGCATGACTCTTACTCCATCTTTCTTCCCTTCCCTGTTTCCACACCTTCCCTCTTCTCTGTCTTCCTTCTTAACCTATAGATACATCCATGTTTCTACCACCTTAGAAACTAACTAAAAGAAAAAAACTCACCAGGTGCAGCGGCTTACGCCTGTAATCCCAGCACTTTGGGAGGCTGAGGCGGGAGGATTGCTTGAACCAAGAGTTCAAGACCAGAATGGGCAACATAGTGAGACCCTGTCTCTGCTAAAAATAAAAAAAAATTAGCCAAGTATGGTGGTGTGCACTTGTTGTGGTCCCAGCTACTCAGGGGGCTGAGGGAGGAGGATTGCTGGAGCCTGGGAGATTGAGGCTACCATGATCCCACCACTGCACTCCAGCCTAGGTGACAGAGTATCTCAAAAACAAAGAAACAAAACAAACTCCCCCCGCCGCACTCAAAAAAACCTCTACCTTCCTCCAGGCTATGCTCCCCTCGTGCTTGTCCTTCATTGTCCTCCTCATCTCATCCCAAATTCTTGAAAGGACAAGTATGAGTTAGGGTTCTTTGGCTGCAGCAACAGAGACCGACTCTTGCTAACTTAAGCAAGAAAGATATTTATTAGAAGGAGATTAAGATGGCACTCACAACAGAGGGAGAGACTGAAGAAGCAGCCTTCAGAAAAGACTAGAACCAGGGCAGTAGCAGGGATTGAAGTAGCAGGAAGGAATGGCAGCTTCCTCAGGGCCCTGGGTACAACATAAATCAGCTGCAATCAGATTTGGGCCTCCTGTCACATAAGCTCATGATTCAAATTCCAGGGAGAGCTTCTGACTGGTGCAGCTTGAGTCTTGTGGCCTCCCATGACTCCCCTTGGCCTGTGGACAGCTGAGTGCCCTAACAGTCTCATGGAAGCATATCCAGTAGGACGTGGGTAATGGTTACTCAGTGAAAAGTCAGGGAGCCATTACAGAGGATGGCGAAATGGATGCTGGGTGGGCAGAAACATTGGTATCCATTCCTGCTTACCAGCCCCGGCCTTCACCTTGCATTTGAGTCACAACTCACTGAAACCACTCACATTGAGCTTGTTAAGGACTTTCTCTTGCCAAATCCAAGTACATTTTTCATCTTTATCTAAAGCTTTAACTCCATCGACCAGTACCTCTCTTTTAGAAATCTTTCCTTCCTTGGCTTCTGTATATTAAATCAACCCAAAACTCCCTTCCTTCCTTCCTTCCTTCCTTCCTTCCTTCCTTCCTTCCTTCCTCTCTTCTCTTCCTCCCTTCCTTCCTCTCTCCCTTTCTTTCTTTCTTTCTCTCTCTTTCCCTTTCTTTCTTTTTTCTTCCTCTCTCTTTTTCTTTCTTTCTCTTTCTTTCCCTCTCCCTTTCCTTCCCTCCCTCCCTCCCTTCCTTCCTTCCTCCTTCCCTCCCTTCTTTCCTTCTTCCCTTCCTCCCTCCCTCTCTCTGTCTTTCTTTCACTTTCTTTCTTTTTTTTTTTTTTTTTGAGATGAACTCTCTCTCGTCCCCCAGGCTGGAGTGCAATGGCGCAATCTCGGCTCACTGCAACCTCCGCCTCCTGGGTTCAAGCAATTCTCCTGCCTCAGCCTCCCGAGTAGCTGGGATTACAGGCATCTGCCACCACGCCCGGCTAATTTTTGTATTTTTAGTAGAGATGGGATTTCACCATGTTGGCCATACTGGTCTCAAACTCCTGACCTCAGGTGATCCACCCACCTCGGCCTCCCAAAGTGTTGGGATTACAGGCGTGAGCCTCTGCACCCGGCCCTTTTTTTCTTTTTTTTTTTTTGGAGACAAGGTCTCACTCTGTCACCCAGGTTGCAGTGCAGTGGCACCGTTTCAGCTCACTGCAACCTCTGCCTCCCAGACTTAGGTGATCCTCCCACCTCAGCCTCCTGAGTATCTGGGACCACAGGCACGCACCACCACGCCTGGCTAATTTTTTGTATTTTTGGTAGAGACGGGGTTTCACTATGTTGCCCAGGCTGGTCTCGAACTCCTGAGCTCAAGCGATCTGCCTGCCTTGGTCTCCGAAAGTGCCGGGATTATAGGCATGAGCCACTGCACCAGGCCATAGTCTTTTATAACCTAATCTCAGAAGTAATATCCCATCACTTTTGCCACATTCTATTCATGAGAAGTGAGTCACTTTTGAAATGAAATATAGAATGATTTAAAAAAGTCAAAAGGTTCAGCCCACGTTCAAGCAGAGGGCACCACACGAGGACATGAGTATCAGGAGGCAGGGGTCACTGGGACCTCTTAGGGGTGGCCTACCACAGCCTCCATAATGAAGCAGGCTCATGGTTCTCTTCTCTTCTCCCTGACAGCTTCTTCTGTGGTCCATTTAGGGACTTCATTTCTCTGCCCACCTGTTTTTTTTTTTTTTTTTTTGTGATGGAGTCTCGCTCTGTCGGTCAGACCGGAATGCAGTGGCATGATCTCGGCTCACTGCAACCTCCACCTCTGGGTTCAAGCTATTCTCCCTACCTCAGCCTCCCAAGTAGCTTGGATTACAGGCGCCCACCACCATGCCCAGCTAATTTTTGTAGTTTTAGTAGAGATGGGGTTTCACCATGTTTGCCAGGCTGATCTCAAACTCCTGATCTCAGGTGATCTGCCTGCCTTGGCCTCCCGAAGTGCTAGGATTACAAGCTTGAGCCACCTCACCTGGCCTGTTTTTTTTTTTTTTTTTTTTTGAGACAGAGTCTCACCTAGGCTGGAGTGCACAATCTCAGCTCACTGTAGCCTCCACCTCCTGGGTTCAAGTGATTCTCCTGTTTCGGCTTCAGCCTCCTGAGTAACTGGGATTACAGGCACCCTCCACCACGCCCGACTAATTTTTTGTATTTTTAGTAGAGACGGGGTTTCGCCATGTTGGCCAGGCTGGTGTTGAACTCCTGACCTCAGGTGATCCGCCCGCCTCGGCCTCCCAAAATGCTGGGATTACAGGCGTGAACCACTGCACCTGACCTCTGCCCACCTTTGAAATGTGGCACTTCTCCTGGGCTCTTTTCTGGGCTTAGAGCTCTTCACATTCGGCGTATTCTTCTTGAGGGACATCATCGACTCGTGATTTCAGCTATCAACTCTATGCTAATGATGTCCAGATCTTCAGCCCAGAGACCTCTCTCTATGACACTGCACACAACTGTATCCCAATATAGACTGAAGAACTAATATAACTCTTTGCTGGATCCAGGACATGTCTCATAGGCACCTCAGATATAAGAGGTTCAAGAAAGAACTTTGTCGAATAAGTTCTGTGCCTCCTCCTATTTTCTCCTGTCTCAATGAATGTCACCTCCATCCATCCGGGCATCCAAGTGAGAAACGTGGGCATCATCCTTGGCACCACCCTCTCCCTGACGCTCATATCCAAACATAAAGCCCTGCTGACTTGAGTTACCTCCGGGTTTTTTAAACCTGTTGCCTCCTTCATGTCCCTGATACCAATGTCAATACTGGCCATTAGCATCTCTTGCCTAGGCTATTGCAATAGCTTCCTGGTTTTTCCTGCTTTCATTCTTGTCCTCTCAGATTCATATTCTCAAAAATGCAAAGCTGCTCTTGATGAAAACCCATCAGCGGCTCCCCATGGCCTCCTAGATCAAAAGATACTTAATGATTGGGCCCCATCTAGCCTCTCCAGCAGCATTTTTCTCTTATGGTTTATGCTTTAGCAATCCCAACTGCCTCCCTGCACACAACCTACTCTTCCTCACCTGTGTGCTCTTGTTCATGCTTCCCTCCAATTTTAATGACTCCTTCAGAAGGACTATTTCCCCTTTAAAATTCTTTTTTTGTTTTTGTTTTTGTTTGAGATGGAGTCTCGCTCTGTCCAGCCAGGGTAGCCTGGCTGGAGTGCCGTGGCGCAATCTCGGCTCACTGCAAGCTCTGCCTCCCGGGTTCACACCATTCTCCTGCTTCAGCCTCCCAAGTAGCTGGGACTACAGACGCCCGCCACCACACCCGGCTAATTTTTTTTTTTGTATTTTCAGTAGAGATGGGGTTTCACTGTGTTAGCCAGGATGGTCTCAATCTCCTGACCTCATGATCCACCCGCCTCGGCGTCCCAGTCCCCTTTAAAATTCAAGAAAATGCCGGGTGTAGTTGTGCGCACCTATAGTCCCAGCTACTGGGGCGGCCGAGGCAGGAGGATAACATGAGCCCAGGAGTTCGAGTGTGCAGTGAGCCATAATAGTGCCACTGCACTCCAACCTGGGCAACAGAGTGAAACGGCATCTCAAAAATAAGTAAAATTCAATTTTCCCAGTCTAGTTTTGTGTCCTAGCACACTATAGTGTTGTGATTTATATATGCATTTGTGTCTCTTACTGGACCGTGAGCTTTCTTGATGGCAGGAATTGTGTCCTATTCCCCTTTGTGTCCCCGGTACCTTCTATGGAGGTCATACAAGTATAGATACTCAAGCTGTGTGTATTGGATGGATGAATGGATGAACTGGAGGTTTACATTAACATATGATTTTAAGTTGGTTCTTGGAGTCAAATAGAAGTTAGCCAGGGGGACAAGAGTGAGAAGGGCATTCCAGTTATAGGGAACTGCAAGTACAAAGGCCAAGAGGTTAAGGGCAGATTCAAGGAAGTGGTGGTGGTTTGGTGTGGTTGCAGTACAGGATGCATAGTGGTGCTCCCTGTAGAGGGAGGGGAGCCAGTTACTGTGAAGGGTCTGAAAAGCTGACTAAGGAGTTTGGCTTTTGTCCTGTGTGCAACAGGAAGTAAGAGTTTGAAGCAGGGGAGTGATTTGATCAGAGCCATATTGTAGAAACATTACCCCAGTAGCCAGTGTGGAGGATAGACTAGAAAGGGGGCAAGAGGGGAGACTGGGAGGCCAGGTAGTAAGGAGATTCATGGGCCAAGCAGGAGATGTGGAGGCCTGAACTAGGACACTGGGAGCAGGGAAGAGAGGAGGAGATGGATTTGAGAAATACTCGGTTGAACTCTATGAAATTCCCATTTTGTAAGAAAAAGCTGGGTGATATTGTCAATTTCATATGGTTTAAAATTTTAATATTAATGAAGTAAATGAACTGGATGGGATTTCAATCCTGATTGGATGTGAATATGAGGAAGAGGAAGGTGTCAAGGACAGGGACAATTTTTCTGACTTGAATGCTAGATTGGATGGAGTATCACCATGGGGAGTGGGAACCAAGGTCTAGGGGCATGGTAGAGAAGATGACATGATTAGATTAGACATGTTGATTTTGAGGTATTTTTGGAACCTCTAGGAGGTGGCTGGGTATCCTGATGTGAAGCTTAGGAGAGAGGGCTAAACTGGAGACAAATTTAGGGATTACCAGCATAGAGAAAGCAGTTGTGGGAGGGGATGATTCACCCTGGGAGAGCAGCCCAGACAGAGCTGGAGAACCAAGAGAGTGAGGTTTCTTAGATGCCAAGAGGATTTTGAAAAGATATTTGTGGCTGCATGCTGCAGAGGAGAGTCAGATAGGACTGAAAAGTGCTTGTAGGATTTAGCAAGGAGGAGACTGTCAGGGACAAGGGTGTGTCTTGGGGGGCAGTAGTGGGAGTGCCTTGGACTGGCCTCTGGAAGGGCATGCTGGGCCTGGACTTGGAGGTGTCCCTTCGTCCTTAGTCATGCATCACTTCAGCCACCAGGGGGCAGTGGCCACATGGAATCCAGGTTGGAGGGATTCACTGGGGCCCACAAACTCTTGGAGATGTGGGCAGGGTTGGGGGATAGGTCCAGAGCAGAGGCTGCTTCCTAATGGAGAGAGACATCCCCATGTGAAAAGAGCAGGGAGGAAGTTCTGGGAAGGGCGGCAGGAAGGAGACCTTTCTGTGGGGCAGACAGGAGGCCAATTAGAAATCCCCAGTCTTGGCCCAGAGCGGTGGCTCATGCCTGTAATCTTGGCACTTTGGGAGATCAAGGCCAGTAGATCGCTTAAGCCGAGGAGTTCAAGACCAGGCTGTGCAACATGGCAAAAACCTGTCTCTACCACAAAATACAAAAATTAGCAGGTTGTGGTGGTGCACGCCTGTCGTCCCAGCTACTCAGGAGGTTGAGGCAGGAGAAGGTCGAGGTGGCAGTGAGTTGTGATTGTGCCACTGCACTCCAGCCTGGATGACAGAGGGAGGAGAGAGACCCTGTCTCAAAAAAAAAAAAAAAAAAAAAATCCCCAGTCGTGTCTCATAGTTTCCTTCTCTCTGGGCCTTTTCAGGTGCAGGTGGGTTTTATTCAACATGGTACTTCGAATAGCAATGGATTTGTATTTTGAACCCTGATTTTCTTTGCACTCACTTCTTGATAGTCTTACTCTCCATTCTGTGTTCAAAACATAGTGAACTTTTTTCAGTTCTCACCTGCTTCCATGTGAAAGCTCTTCTTCCATGGGAACGCTTTCTCCATCCTGCCTCCTGTTTATCCTTCAGGTCTTATCTCAGGCATCACCTCTTCTCAGAAGCCTTCCGTCACTGCCCCATCCACCTCCTCTTGGCTCCCATAGAGCCCTATCTTGAGTCTTGAATATTCTGGCTGGTAATTATTTATTTATTTATTTGCAATCAGCTTTATTGTGATATAATTTGCATGCAATAAAATTCACCAGTTGTAAATGTACAGTTTAATGAGTTTACACACACACACAGTTGTGTAACCACCACCACAATCATGTTACAAAACATTTCCATTACCCTAAAAAGTTCCCTCCGGCGCCTTTGCTGTCAGTCCCCTCCTTCCACTGCAGCCCTTTTCAACCACTCATTTGCTTTTCCGTCACAGTAGTTTTGCTGTCTAGAATTTCATGTAAATGGAATCCTACAGTGTGTGGTCTTCTGCATCTCTCACTTTGGTTTTGAGGTACTTCTGTGTTGCTGTGTGTATCAGTAACTGTGTATTTATTGTTCATTCCCTCCCCCACCAACAACTTCAGATGAGGGTCTCTATGAGGGCAGAGTTGTGTCTCATTTGCATTTGTTTCTTCAGCTTACAGCATAGTGCTAATTCGTGATAGTATTCAGTATGCATGTCTTAAATGGAACCAAACTGAATGCTTGGGGAGAGTCAGCCTGGGAGAGCTTCTGAACCCGGGTGTGCATAAGGCAGGACCCATCTGCAAGATGCCTCATGGCCTTTTCATCCCACTCCAGCTGCTCCTCCATTTACTTTGGCTGGTTCTGCTCAGCAGGCCCTCACTTCTCTGCCCTTCTCTAACCTGCTTCCCTTTACCTGGTCTTCGATTCCCCGCTTGTGGTCTCAGGGCCCTGCTCCATTGCCTGCTCCAGCCTCCTCCTGGTCTTTGGAAGTCTCCACACCACTGAGCCCTGGCCTCCCTGAGCCTGCAAGTCTCTCCACTCCTCCTCCTGCCTGTCCCAGGACCCTACCCACTTCAGATGACTCCACATCTCAGTCCAGCTCTGCATACCTCTCTGTCTGTGCCTCCGGGTCCCTGTCTCTGGGCCCCTTCTAGGATGATGGAGACAGCTGGCTGCCCCATCCTAGGGAGCTAGGTTGTGATTCCTCTTCCTTTCTCTCTTTTGCTTCACCTTCATCCTCCGACTCGAACACCTTCCCATAGGAGGCCACTGGGGCAACCTCTAAATTTCATTCAGACCAGAAAAGCCTCTGTCTGTTTCTTATTTCTTTCCCTTCGGTCTTTATCTCCTTCTCCCATCTCCTTTCTCCTCTCCCCAGTCCCCTTCACTCTTCCTGATACCCTCACTCTGCTCTGCTCACCATTCACCTCCCTTCCTCCTCCTAGCTTCCTCTTTTCTCTCACACCCATTCTCCTCCTGTCCTTGTTCTCTTCCTTGCTCCCGCACCACATCTCCCTCTGCCTGTGTCCTCAGGGCCTCCTCCCTTCCTTCCATACATCCAGTTCCAGTTCCAGGTCTCTCTCTCTCTCTCTCTCTCTCTCTCTCTCTCTCTCTTTTGAGACAGAGTCTTGCTCTATCGCCCAGGGCAGTGCAGTGGAACAATCTTGGCTTACTGCAACCTCTGCCTCCTGAGTTCAAGTGATTCTTGTGCCTCAGCCTCCTGAATAACAGGTCTCTTCTTTTTGCTCCTTGTCCTTGCACCACTTTTTTCCTTCTCCCCAGTTTCTTCCCTTCCTGCTTTGTGTGCCTTCGTTTCCCTTATCTTACACCCTTTATCCTCAGAGATTATAAGGGAGCCCCAAGACTTGTAACCAAGACACCAAGATGTACACACACGCACACACATGGCCACAGATGCGCGAACAAATGTTTCATTAATGAACAAATGCATCTATCTAAAGGTATGTTCAAGGCCGGGAGTGTTGGCTCACGCCTGTAATCCCAGCACTTTGGGAGGCCGAGGTGGGTGGACCACCAGGTCAGGAGTTTGAGTCCAGCTTGACCAACATGGTGAAACCCCGTCTCTACTAAAAAATACAAAAATTAGCTGGGCATGGTGGCATGCGCCTGTAATCCCAGCTACTCGGGAGGCTGAGGCAGGAGAATAGCTTGAACCCGGGAGGCAGAGGTTGCAGAGAGCCGAGATTGTGCCACTGCAGTCCAGCCTGAGTGACAAAGCAAGGCTCTGTCTCTAAATAAATAAATAAATAAATAAATAAATAAATGTATGTTCAGACGCACACACTCAATTAAGGTCATCCATAGCTTGCAATGTTTTGTACTTAGTATACATCAGGTACTATTATTTGTATACATGTTTCTGAAAGATGAACAGGCAGAATGAGGAGGGAATAAGAGCTGAGCTCATTCGTACAGGAAGAGCCATGTACATGCACACCTGTACCCAGAGATGGCCCTCACTCAGACATGCACACACACACATTCCTCAGAGGAATCTGGTACTTCTGGAATTATGCTATTTCAGAAGCAGAGAGAGCACACATGTTTTTGCTGTGTTGTGTACAGTGTATGGTGTACGTCTTTGCATGTGCCTGGTGTGTATACATGTGCTGCATCAGCCTTCGTGGAATCATGACTCGGGGCTGGGCGGAGCCCTAGAAATCAGTTAGGACAACCTGCATGTGCGGATTGCTTAAGTCTCCTATTGGATCTGACTTTTGTAAGTCCATGAGGGATGTCAGCTTCTGCTTAATATGGATATTCTGGATAATTAAGATACCAATCATGCATAGGTTGTGGACCACAGACTCTTAACATACTGGCAAGTAAGCATATGATATGGACTTAGCACATATCAAACCAAGTTTTTTGGATCCTTAAAATTGGTGCTTTAGCCTGGGGAACATATGGAGACCTCATCTCTGCTTAAAAAAAAAAAAAATAGATGGGTGTGGTGGTGCATGCCTGTAGTCCCAGCTACTTGGGAGGCTGAGGCAAGAGGGGATTGCTTGAGCCCAGGAGTTTGAGGCTACAGTGAGCCATGATCACGCTGCGGCACTCCAGCCTGGGTGACAGAGGGAGACCCTGTCTCAAAACAAACAAACAAACAAACAGACAAACATTGGTGCTGTGTGCTTAGTGTATACTCACTGTATACACAATTATTATGTACTTGGTCATTCTTAGGAAGGATGACCGCCCCCCACCCCACCCATGTACTGGTCCTTGTAGGTGCCAGGGCCAAGGCAGGGAACAGGACATCCTTGGTCTCTGCCCTGTCCCTGCTTCCCTTCTAGTAGGTACTCAGGCTGTCCATAGCTCCTCCTAGGTCTATTGTACACGTACAGATGGAGGGACCTGGGAGTCTGCTGGGTAGATTCATTGCAGGGTCCAGTATTCCTTGTTGCTCCTTCCAGAATGGATAGTGTGTGGGTTGTCATTATATACACCCTTTTTTGAGTTCTCTCCTCACTATTGGGACCCCATGTGCCTTTGTATGCAAGCGGAGTGGGTGTTTCTTATGTTCAGTTTTGTTATGTGCCTTTGTGGATCACCAGAACCTGCTCATGGGTGTCTCTTATGTTCACACTAGCTAAGTCTATTAGGTTGGTGTGCCAGCTTTGTAGGCATGGGGGATAGGGTACTTCCTGCATTCATTTATGTTGTGCCCACACAGTATGGGTCCCAGGGAGGCTGGTTGGTAGGTGGCTATGGGGTGGTTCCGTGTCCACTATGTTCATGCCCTGTAGGCCCATGTGCCTAGTTTGTGTGCAGTTGGAGTGGGCGTTTCCTGTATTTATTTGTGTTGTGAACACACTGTGTGGATCCCAGGAGTCTGCTCTGTATGGGGGTATTAAGTGGTCCCATGTCCATTATGCATCTGCTGCATAAGACCCAAATACCTACTTTGTATGGACAGAGGGTAGTATTCCTTGCATTTATTTGTGTTGCGCACACAGTGCGGGTCCCAGGAGGCTGCTCCGTACAGGGAGTAGTAGGTAGTTCTGTGTCTATTATGCACACGCTGCACAGGTCCTGGGTACTTACTTTGTACGCCCACGGGGTAGGTGTTTCCTATATTTATTTATGTTACGCACTTCCAGTGTAGGTCTTGGGAGCGTTCTCCATACACGTGGGCAGTTGGTGATTCTCGTGTTTCTCACACACACATGAGGGTCCCGCGTGTCCACTCAGTATGCATGGGGTAGCCTTGCTGGTAACAAAGCGAAGGGCGGTTGCAGCTGCTAAGCCAAGACCGCGCAGCGCGTGCCTGCGTCCTCCTCCTCCTCCTCCCTTTCCCTCCCTGCCTTCCCCCTCCTGTTCCCTCCCTCTCACACCCCCTCCCAGGTCTGGGTACCACTTGCAACCCTATCCTCCTCTTTGCACCACTGCACCCCCGCCTGCAGGGGGCGGGAGCCATGCACCCTCCCAAGACCCTGTGCCCACCTTCCCCTGGTCGGAGCCCCTTCACCCTTGGCCTTCCTTTCCTTCCTCCCTGTCTCCAAGCCATAATGTGCCTGGCACAGGGGAGGTGCTTGGTGACTGGGCACTGCCCTCCTCTCTTTCTTCCCCTCCTCTCCCTTCCCCACTCCTCTCCTTTCTGCTGTTCTTCCCTCCCCTCCTGTCTGCCCTTTCCCCCTTGGTGCTTCCCTGGACCCTCTTGTCACCTTCCTACTTTCTGCTTTCACCCCAGCCTGTCCCTTCCTCCTTTACCTGGGCTCTGTCTCTGCCCCCCATCCCCAGCCTTGTCTACCAGACCTCATTCTCTATTTCTGACTCTCCATTTGTCTCTTCTTGTCTCTGTCTCGCATCTCTCTGTGGATCTCTGTCCAACTGAAAGCCTCTTCCAGTGCCTTTCTCCATCTCACTGTGTCTCTCTGTGTGTCTCCTGAGGTTTCTCTGTTCCTGTCACTTTCTTGCAGTCTCTGTCCATGTCTCTGCATTTCTCTGCCTCACTTTGACTCTCTGGGTCTCTGTCTTTGCTTTCTTTCTCTCACCATCTCTGTATTTCTTTTCATCTCTTTTTATGTCTTGATCTCTGTTTCTCTCTTTGCACATTTCTTTCTGTCTCTGTTTCTTAGGTTCTCTCTCAGAATCCCTATGTATATTTCTCTGTGTTTCTGTCTACACCTTCTTGTTTGACTCTGTCTCCTTGTTTGACTCTCTCTGTGCCTTTTTCTCTGTCTCAGTCTCAGTCTCTGTATCTTTTGGTCTCTGTCAATGTCTGTCTTTCTGGCTTTGCATCTCTCCATCTCTGTTTCTCTGTCTCTTTCAACGGCTCTTTCAACGGCTCTTTCTTAATCTCTGTCTGTTTCCGCAGGTCTATATCTCTTACCTCTGTGTGTGTCTGCCTCTGTCTCTATGTCTTCCTATCTCTGTATCTCTGCAACACTGCCTTACATCTTCATTTGTCTCTCTTTGCGTGTAGCTTTCTCCTATCTCTGATTTGTGCATATCTATCTCTCTTATTTCTGTGTCTCTGTCTTTGTGAATTAGTCTCTTTCTCTCCCCATATATATTTTTTCACTATCTCTCTGTCTCTGTGTGTCTACTTCTCTGTGGCTATCTTTCTGACTCTGCATCTCTGTCTCTGCATGGACCTCTTCTCCTTATCTCTTTGTCTCTGAGTGTCTCTGTGGTTCTTGGTGCCCCTTTATGTCCCCATCTGCTCCCTCCTCCCTCCTCTCCCCCCACTCTGTTCCTGTGTCTCTATATTTCTGTGTGTCTCTGGACATCTCTCTGCCTCCATGTCCCCTATACTTCCTGCCCTCTCCCTTCTCCTTTTCCTCTTTGTCTCTGGGTGTCTCTTTGAGTCTCTGGCTTTTAGGGCCTCTCCCTGCCTTTGAGTCCCCTGTGCTCCCCACCCTTCTCTGTCTCTTTTCTGTGTGTCCCCGTGTCTATTTGTTTCTGTGTGTCTCTGTGTCTCTGAGCATCTCTCTGCCTCTAGGAGTCTTTCTCTGCCTCTGCATCTTCTGTGCTCCCTGTCCTGTCCCCTCTCTCTTTTTTCTCTGTCTCTATCTCTGGGTGTCTCTGTGTCTCTGAGTATCTCTGTTAGTCTCTGGACCTCAGTGTCTCTCCATACCTTTGAATCCCTCTCTGCTCCCTGCCCCTCGCCCTTACCCCTCTGTCTCTTACTGTGTGTCCGTGTGTCTCTGTGTCTCTGTGTGTCCGTGTGTCTCTGTGTCTCTCAGTATCTCTGTGGGCCTCTGTCGGTCTCAAGGATTGTCCTTGTCTCCGTGTCCCCTTCTATTCCTACCCCTCTCCTCTATCTCTGTGTCTCTGTTTCTGCATATGTCTGCATCTCTCCGTCTCTGTGTCTCTCTGTGTCTCTGTGGGTCTCGGGCCTCTCCCTGCCTCCGTGTCCCCTGCGCTCCCCGCCCTCTCCCTCTCCCTCTCTCCCCCCTCGCTCTCTCGCTCGCGCTCTCTCTCTGAGCATCCTTGGGCCCGGGGTTGCCATGGGGACAAGGTGGGAGCCGGGGATGGCGCGCGCCTGGGCTCGCGCCGGCAGCTCAGGCGAGGAGCAGCGGCCAGAGCAGCGCCAGCAGCAGGCAGCGAGCGGGCGCGGGAGCGGGAGCGGGAGCGGGGGTAGCGTTGGCGGCGGCGGCTCCTCCTCGGCCATCCCCTCGGAGCCGTGCAGCTGACGCGCATGGCGAAGACAGCGGCGCCTACCGATGGGAGCAGCGGTAAGGCAAGGCGGCGCGGCGCAGCCGGGCGGGCGGGCGGCGGGCAGCCTCCTCCTCTCCCCAGCTCGCCTGCGCGCCCGCCCGCCTGCCCTCCCTTCCTCCCTCTCCCCTCGCAGCCCCTGCCCGCCCGCCCGCCCGCGCCGCGCTTGCCCTTCCATTTAAAAATCTTTAAAACTTTGCATATTAATATCTGCGCTTTGCATAATCTGACCCGCGCTTTATTGATTGCAAGAAGCTTAATGCAGCCGGCTCGGCCTATTGCAGAGAGCTCTCCGGGCGGGAGCCGGGCGGGAGCCGGGCGGGCGCCGCTCACTCCGCACCGCGCTCCGGCTGTCAGCCGCCGCCGCGGCCCCGGCCCTCTCGCCTCCCTCTCGGCGCCCGGCGCCGGGGCTTTGCCCCCTGGCTGGGTATTTTTATTATTTGGGGATGGGGGGGGTCAGCTTGCTCTCGATGGCAGTGAGGGAACCAAAGGAGAGGTGTACGTGGGGGCGGGGGGCAGGGATGGAAAGAAATGGGGACGGAGAGGAGGTGAAGAGGGAGAGGAAAAAGGGAGAAGGGGCAAGAAGGATGAGGAAAGGAGAGGCGTGGAGGGGGAAGCAGTAGAGAGAGGAGAGGGCAGTCGGCTGAGGACGGAGCTGAAAGGACGGAGGAGCGGAGGAGCGGAGGAGCGAGAGCCGAGGCAGAAGAGAAAGGAGGGAGTCAAGAGCGCAGACTAGAGAAAGAGCCTGACGGCCGCAGAGCTGAGGAAAGAGGCAGGCAGTGGGCGCTTCGCCGCTGCTGCCCCCGGGCCAAAAAATAAAGAAAAGAAAAAGAGAAAAAAAACAATACCAATAAAAAGACGATGAAAATAAAACACATCGCAACCAGGGCCACTGAACACAAAAAGGAGCGAGGACAGAGAAGAGAGGCGAGGTGGCATCTGCTCCCGGCTGGCTGCGGCGCTTCGGAGAGGCTCCCCGGGCTGGGCGGGACCCCCATTTTGACCCTGCATTTGAGGAAGGGGCGACTGTGGAGAAAATGAGGCGAGAGGGGGTCAGGGCTGGTGGCGGTTCCGCCTGTTTTTTTTTTTTTCTCTCTCTCTCTCTTTTCCTGGAGGTGTGGGGGCCGGTTTAGTACGATGATGGTGAGGATATTGGTCGGTGATGCTGTCTGAAGCTCCGAAGCAAGCAGGGTGCAATGGGGGGGGAGAGGTAAGAGGGCACAGGGAACGAGAAAGGGCTGGGTGGTGGGAATGAGGGGTGAGAGAAAGGAACGGGGTGCCTTGGAGAGCAGAAACGGTGAGAAATAGGAAAAAGCAGCCGGGATGGGGCACTCAGAGGCGGTGGCATCTCAGGCAGGAGGAGAGGTGGAAAACGGAGCTCCAGGGCCCCAGAGTGAGGTTGGGGAGCCGCGGTGCACCCCTCAGCTCTCTGGACAAAGTCTGTAACTTGGGGAACCCCTTCGACTGCCTGCTGCCTCTTTGGTCTCTTTTCTTTCCCTTTTCATGTCCTTTCTCAGCTCCTTTATTTCCATCTCCTTTACTGTTTTTTCTTTCTCACTGTTTTTCAGTTTCTATCTCTTCCTTTTCTCAATAAAAGCTCTTTCTCCTCCTCCCCACCCCTTAGTTTTTCTTTTTCTACCTCCCTTATCTCCACCTCCTTCCCTTCTTTTTTCTCCGTTTTTCCCTTCCCCCTTTCCCCCTTTCTTTTATTCTTCCCTTCCTGCCACTCATTTCCCCTGTTGCCAGCTCTTTCTACCCCCTCCCTCAGTTTCATTTATTCATCACTCTTGCTGCTCTGGCCTTCAACAGGGTGCCAGGGAAAGGGGCTCCATGCAAAGGCAGGAATCCCCAACTTCCTACCAGAGCCTAACCCCTGTTCTGAAACCCCATGTATTTCTACCCTCTTTTTTACCCTGAGTGGGGGTTTGGGTCTGTCCCCTGGGTTCTAGTGCCACCCCCTACTTCCTTGTGGCCTCCTGGAGAAGTCCTGCTGGATGCTCACTGGGGCTCTGGGAGGGGGAGGGGAAGATCTTAAGTGAGGGCTCATGGCTGTCGACTCAGCCCCACTGAGAAGGGTGTGGACAGAGAAGAAAATGACATGGATGCCTAGCGGGAAGTGAAAACGGGAGGAAATTGGGGCGGAAGTCCATCTGAGAGAGTCCTTAGAGCTTTTGAGTCCAGGTAAAAGATCCTGAGAGAAAGCCTTTGGCCTGATGACCACTCCCCACTTTCTGCCTCCTTCCTGGGGCCTGTGGAGTTGGGGAGTAGGTCCTGGATTTAGAGAAAGACCCAATCAGCCGCTTCGCTCAGTAGCTTTTAGTCTCTTGCCATCTTGTCAGGTGGATTTGTCCTTCCACCCCCCAGGATATAAGGGGAAGGTACAGAGTCAGTGTGCAGTGGGGGGCTGGTGGGTACAGAGTCAGTGTGCAGTGGGGGGCTGGTGGGTACAGAGTCAGACCATGACGGCAGCATGCATGTGTATAAGGCCTGCATGTGTGGTGAGATGTGTTCAGGAAGGACTAACTGTGTGTGCTGGGCCTCGAAGCCTTGGCAGAGTGAGGAGCCAAAGGTGTAGAATCGTGACATGTGTTTTCAGTGGGGGGTTGGGTACTGGGGGTCCCCATCATGGGTGACATATGTGCAGAAGGGAGTCAGTGCATATTTGTACTGATCTCTCCCTCGTCCTGATGTTTATGTATCACTCGCTATGTGTGCATTCAGGAGGCCCTCTTTGGCTCTGTGCGTGGAAGCCGTCCACGCGTGTGCAGGCCCATGTGCCGAGTCTGGCTTCAGCAGTGGACACGTGACACTTTGTATGTGCAGCGTGTTTGGAGTGAAGGCTCTGTGTATGGGTACTAGGTCTGAACATAGTGTGTGCACACAAGGGTGCACATCAAAAAAAGTCACATATGTGAAAGTACCATTTCTGCATGGAGATATTATTATTGTTATTGCTCGGGGTCTCTGCGTGTCCTGGGTAAGAGGGAGGGTGGGTTTGTGAAGCAGGGTCTGGGTAGAGTGATGAGAGATGTGTGAGTGCACAGAGGTCGCGGGCGTATGGCTGAGTTTGACGGCATGCTTGCACAGCAGCCTTGAAGCTGGGTTCAAGAAAACAAAACAAGAAAAGATCCCCTCTCCCCACAGTCTATCAGCCCATGAAAAGCTTCCCTGGACCTTCTGTAGTAACAAAGCGTCCCATGTCAGGGGGTGACAGGCAGGCCAGGAGTAAAGCCGATCAGGGCCATAGGCAGCATCTCCAGTTGCTGATAATGCGATTCCACATCTACTTCCTGATTTATGGGTAATGCTGGACAGAGGCCCATCCTTGCCGTTGGAGAGGTCCAGACCCCCATTTCCCTGAGGCTGTGCTGGCATGTGCTGGTGAACTCTGTGGCAGGTTGCAGTGTCATCTTTGGGGGTCTTGGTTGCGCTCACTTCCCTCTGCTAGTCTTTGCAGGGAAAATGGAAGGTGTCTGTGTCAGGGCTGTAGTAGGGAAAGAACTCAGCCACAGTGTGTGTGTATGCACACACCTATACCCATGCTGTGTGTGTAGAGGTTGTTAGCCTATACGTCCTAGACAGCATGCTGGCCAGGTGTTTTTTTTTTTTTTTTCTAGCAAGTCCGTCAGTGGCCACTCCAGGCCACCTCCATTCTGGTTCATATACACTCCCTTCTTGTATGCAGGGCCTATAAGCCAGAACTTCTTCCTCCACCAATGTGACAGCAAAGCAAGGGCCCCAACCTTAGCACCCCACTGGGTAGAGCTTTTCATAGCCCTGGTGCATAATCATAATGTGTAGAGGCATGACTTGCAACGAGGGGAGCAGGGACAGATGGCCACACCAGGGGCTACTTGGACATCGATGATGGCAAGGGAGAAGTTTCCATCTCTGGCATGTGCTGGTTAATTTCCAAGATATTTCAGGATGGAGATGGTTGAGAAACCCAAGTGTGAAGAGTTGTTAGAAGACAGAGTGGGTGTAAGGCCTCCTCAGATGGATGTCTATTCCTCCTTCTAAATATATTTCACTCATCATTTTTCCCTTGGGCTCAACACCTCTTGATCTAATAATAATAATGACCATGATGTCCCTTACACCCACCTCGCTCTCACAGCAGCCCCAGTGGTGTCCCTCTCACAGATGAGAATTCTGAGGCCCACATCATTTGCTCAGCCTGTCAGCAACCATGCTGGCGCTAGAACCAAGGTCCTCCTCATACCGAGCCTTGTCTGTCCTTATAGGTCTGTCCTATCCCATTAGCTGTCCCAGCGCCATTTCCTTTCACTGGCTCTGTCTCTTCCCCCACTTCCTCCCTGCCCCCTGAGATGTCCATCCACAGACCTGTCTCCCAGGACCTGTCGGGTGGATGGATGCCTTATGTGGTTCAGTGAGGGCTCTAAGGATGTGGGTCTCGCTTTATATCCTGAAGGGAGAGCCAGCAAATGAGCATGGTTGAGCTCGTTCCATCAGTGATGGTTTGGGGCTGGGCCTGTTCAAACACAGGGGTTTGCATGAGCTTATGGTCCCCCCTACCCCTTTTGGTGAGCCCTGTGTCACCTTTTCAGATCCACATGGTGGCCTTGGGAGGCAGGTGCATTTTCCCTCACTCGATCACCACCCCAACTTCATTAGATCCTCGGGACAGGCAGCTTTCCCAGCTCTGACGCATTCGGAAGGAGGCTGAAGGTGGTGGCTCCACATGCAAGGTCCCTGCATTCAATAGGTATTTATTGAGTGGTGTGAATCACTGAACAAATAAAGTCCAGTGAGTTCCCTGAGGTAATCGGGCAATGGTGGTATGATCACTCCTTAACCTGAAAATGATCGCTAGGCACTGACCATGGGCCAACAAAGGCCTAGACTCTGAAGCAGAACCAATCCCAGCCTTAGACAGGATTCTGGGCGCCTGGACTGTGAGCACAAAGGGAGTTTCCAGGTCATTAGGAATCTGGGGAATGAAGATGGTGTGGGTTTAGACAGGGAGGTGAGTCTTTAAGGATGCTCAGATACTGAGAAAAGCAGACTGGTGGCAGGGCATAAAGATGGCAGAGGAAAGTGAGGAGAAAGCAGCCCAGGTTGGAGGTGTAGTCTAAGAGTAGAGGTTGGCACAATGTTGCAAGGCCCTGTCTGTGGAGGCTCAGCTGCTGCTCTGAGAAGTTGGAACTTGATCTGGCTGGCAGCGGGGAGCTATTATGCCTGCAATCACACACACATACACATATACACATGCATCTCGTGACAACGTACTTTGGACAATACGGACTTGTCTATGAGCATGAGTGTGCTTGTGCACACACACACAGGGACCTTTATTCTGGCATCCATTCAGGGTCTCCCTCACAGAAACCAACAAGGTTGGGGGTTACTTTAGTCCACACTCTCAGGATCCTATAAAGTATAGGGCTGTGGCCCACACACGCAAGTATAAGAGCAGACTGGGGACCCTCCCCCACCCGGGGTGCAGACTCATGTGGCATTCACAGACTTAATCCGCCGCAGTGAGGCCAGGGAGGCAGCATCTGTCACTTTCACAAACACAAGCAACGGAGTCTGAGAGAGGCACATTCCACTTGCTCACAACTGCTTGAGAAACAGATGCCTGTACCGCACTGCCCCCCATGCCCAAAACAGACACGGCCCCTCATGGCCCCCCACGCCAAGCCCAGGCCAATACACCAAGTCACTCCTGCATTAAAGTGCACACACACACACACACACACACACACACACACACACACGAAGCGCAGCCCCTGACATTCCATCTCCCCATATATACAACCATATACTCAGGCACTCTGACTTTAAGCACAGCTGCTGACTTCCTATCCCCTTATTCACACACAGACACAGACACACACGCATACACACACACACTCATTTTGACTTAAAGCACAGCTATAGCCATCCCACCACCCATACACATATACCTACAAGCGGACTTCCACACATACTCAAACACACAGCCTCACAATCCACCAGAACTACTGTGGCCAGCGGTCATTGAAGAATGACAGCCTGAGCAGTGTGCTGAGGGGAGGGTCGCCCTGAGGCATGGGCCGAGGGTCATACAACAGGGTACATCGGAATCCCTTGAGGAAAAGGTCAGGCCGACTCCAAAAGGGTTCCATTGGTCCGGACGGTTCTGCCAGGTAAGGGAGATTCAACAAATGCAGGCCAGAGGCAGGAGCCGACTAATGGCCGAGGCCGCTGATGGCCGAGATGGCTGGTCAGCGAGGAGGGGAGGCTCGACAACTGATGTGACTCAGAGCTGGACAAATGATGGCGCATTTGGCTGAAGCTGGCTGGGGGCCCATGACCAGAGACCAGGCAGCCATTCTCGCCTCAGCGGGGAAAGGGCCAGATCCGGCTCTGTTGCAGCAGGGTGGGTTTCCCAGCCTGGATCCACCATGCATCCTGCCTGCCGTGTGTGTCTTGGGGTCTTTGTATGTGTGCATGTTTGTGTGCATGTGTGTTCATACATTTATCTGCAGTTGTCAGCATGTGCCTACCTTCGTAGAACTTTGTATCTTTGGGACTCCTGGTGTGCATCTATGTATGTGCCTTTGTGTATGTGTTTGCTTGTGCGTCTATGTGTACATGCCCACCCACAAAGTGTTCAGGGACCTTTCTTGTTGGACTCTGCATTTTTGGGTCCGTGTGTGTGTTTGCGTCTATTGAATGTGTAGAAAGCTTTCTTACTGTGAGACACTATGCACTCTTGAGCATTTTTTTTTTTTTTTTGGCGTTGGGTTGAAGGTTGGGGTGGGGAAGAAGCGATGGGTCTGGCTCTGCACTCTGAGCCTTCCATGTATCTGGTGGCCCATGAGGCCGTCTTTGTGCATCTGTTTGAGCCTCTGTCTAGGTGTCGGCGGGTGTGGGCTTGTGTGATTGCCTGTTTCAGAGTTTGAATATCTGTGTGTCCACAGCAGCATCTCCCTCGGAGCATGGATGTGGGTGGAGTGGGCCAGACCAGGATGAGGGGGGCATCTCCCTGAATCTCATCAGACCTCTGGAGGGGGGTCACACAACCCATGCTGAGCCTGGCTGGGACCCAGCAGCACAGCACAGTGCAGACCACCCCTCCTCCTCCTTTTCCCCCCATGACCTTTGAGCACAGCAGCCCCAAATACATATTTATCAGAGGGGCTGTGGGGACCAGCCCCTCCCCCACCACTCCCCTCAGGGCCCAGCCTGCCTGGCTGTGGAGAAATTAACCTTGTGACACAGGAGCTCGCTGACACCCCGGCCCCCTCCCCATCTGCAAGGCACATATGAGCAAGGGTGTGTGTGTGAGAGAGAGAGAGACAGAGAAAAGGTACTCATCCAGACTGGGAAGGCGCAGCAGCGAGGGGAAGAAAGACACACAGGTACACACGCACATGTGTTTATATCACCCCGACACACACACACACGCACACACACACGTGTGCGCGCACTCATTCGCCAAACTAGAGAGGCCACGTAAGTCTTGAACGGATGCACAAGGCAAATACTGAAATACATAAGCATGCAGACACATGCAATGATCCTGCAAGAGACATACACAGATTCTGAAACACATGGTAGCCATGTGCACCCTTGGGTCCTGGGAGCCAGATACCCATACTTTTGGTCAGAGATTCCCTAAGAAAATTCATAGATGCTAAACCCTGCAGATGCACATAGACGTTTGTATATTTGTCCACAGAGATGCCAAAATGGACACACCAGGTTTGGAAACAGGGGTAAACACATACTCAGACACAGGTATGAAAACCCAGATGTCTGTGCAGGCACATAGGTGCTGAGACCTCTCAGGGCAAGACAGACACCAAAACACCAGGGTGCTCCTCGTGTGGAGATTTGTTTTTCAATAGAAAATGTACGAATAGAAATACTAAAACATGGCAGCATCCCAGCCTATATGCCTGTGGGTGCACACAGGCCACATTCAGAAATCCCACAGGGAGGCCACACGTGGTGACCGAAAGGGCCATGCCCTGAGTTATAGCACACAAACACCCCCCAGGCTAGCCTCATCCCCCTAAAGCAAAACAAAATAGGTAGATGTTCAAGTGTGAAAATGTGTATAGAATTAATTAACTCATCACATAGGTACTGAGCCTCTATAGGAGTCAGGCCCTGTCTTAGAAGCTGAGGAAACAGTGGTTTACGAGACAGACCTGGGCCTTGCTCTCTAAGAGCTCCAAGCCAACAGGACTGGCACTGATCAGACCTCAGTGTATAGTTAGTTATAAATACACCTGGTAAGGAGAGGAAAAAGGGGCTACAGGAGGGCATCACGGAAGAACCTGGTTTAGATTGGTAGGCTAGGTGTAACATCTCTGAGGAAGTGACATTTAAGCTTGACATCAGGCACAACACACAGATTCTAAATGTGTACACATATCCCTCCTGAAACTCACAGAGCCCACACAGGCATAAATAATGCAGCACTCAGATGCCCCTACCCTTACCCCACTATGCCGCACTTTTCCCTCTAGAAAACTCCTCTGGCATGTCCCTAGGTGGGAAATGGGATCCTTTCACCTGGGGCCCAGATTCTGGGCTCTGGATGAGGTGCACAAAGCATTCTGGGGCAGTGCTGAGTGGGGAGCCCAGGAAGATTCACCAAGGAGGAGACATGGAGAGGGTGATAAGGTGCAGAGAAGAAGGCAGAAGACTGTCTAAATGGAGATGCTTGCCTGGGCAAGGGCATGGACATGTGAACAAGCCTAGACTGTTCCCAGCAATCATGTGAGGCCCAGGGTCACGGGACCTTCAGGAGGACTGAGAGGAGACTTTACATGACTGGGAAGCACTGTGAGGCTTGGGATTTATTCAGGGCGCACCACATAACCACAAAACAGTTTTGAGAGGGACTAGACAGAGCATGTGAGCCAGGTACCAAGTCTGATCTCTCTGAGCCTCGTGTGGGGACAGGACAGGATGGGTAGCCCCTGGAGGAAGGGATCCAGTGAGCAGGCCACCAGTCACAAGGACTTCTGCTCTACCTGTCCAGTCTGGGAACCCTGGCCAAGGTCTGGTGAGGGAGGTGGTACAGAACTACCTTCCCCTTGCTCCCAGCCCCATATCTTGGCCACTGCTACGACTTGCCCCCAAATGGAGATTTGCTAGGGAATGGAGGTCAGGAGCTATAGTCACCCTTACTTTCTACTGACGTTCTATTGATTTCTGAGCCTCCTGTGGCCAGGCCTGAGCTGCATGCCCAGTCACCCAGATGAGGCAGATCTTTCCATGTTCTAGAGTAGTCCTCAGTCTGGGGAGGTTGACCCTGACAAAGCCCTGTCAAGGGACTCCGAGGGCTTACTGAGGGCTTCTTGGGCTTGTTCTTGGAGAATGAATGGGTCAGAAGGCCCCATAGGCAATATGGGCAATGGGTGAGGCTGGAGCCTGGTTTTGTGAGGGTGAGACCAACCCTCACCTGCCACAGAGAGAGCCTGTCATTTCTCCCATCACACTTAGAACATCTTTCTTGGCTTGCAAACCCTGTATGAGCTAGCGCCTGTCTGTCTATTCAACTTTTACTCCCTCCCTCCTGGCTCTGGAAGCTCAAGCCATTCTGGCCTTCTTGCTGTTCCTTAAACCTTGTTCCTGACCCAGGGCCTTTGCACTTGCTGTTTCCTTTGCCAGGAAAGCTGTCAAAATCTACCTTCTCTGATAGGCTTTTCCTTTATGTTTAAAATAGCAGCTTTTTTTTTTTTTTGGAGTTTGGGGGGACAGAGTGTTGCTCTGTTGCCCAGGCTGGAGTGCAGTGGTGCAATCTCAGCCCACTGCAACCTCTGCCTCTGAGGTTCAAGCGATTCTTGTGCCTCAGCCTCTTGAGTAGCTGGGACTACAGGCGCACGCCACCATGCCTACCTAATTTTTGTATTTTTGTAGAGACGGGGTTTCATGATGTTGGCCAGGCTGGTCTCGAACTCCTGACTTCAGGTGATCTGCCCGCCACGGCCTCCCAAAGTGCTGGGATTACAGGCATGAGCCACTGTGCCTGGCCAATAGCAGCATCTTGTAAGCCACTTTCTCCCTGCTTTATTTTCCTTCTTAGGTCTTAAATATATTTTCTTGTGTATCATATCTCTTCCTCCACTAGAAGGTGGATTCCACGATGGCAGGGACTTTGTGTTGTTCATAGTTGTATCCCTAGTGTGTAGCACAGTGCCCAGAACACGATAAGTGCTCATTGAATGTTTTGTCAAATGAACTGAAGCCGGATCCCCTGTCACCTACTTGCCCAATATATCACCTACTTGCCCAATATATCACCTGCTTGCCCAATATAATGGTGGAGGTAGACGTCTGCTGTGTCAGACAAGGGTGGCAGAGCTCACCTTCAGGGTGAGCACTTACCAGTGCTGGAGGGGTACATTGGCAAGTGAGTCCACCTCCTACCTGAGCCTCAGAGCAGCCAGACTCCAAAACCATCATCATCCTGGGCCTGTATGCTCCCATCCTGCACCCTCATCTCCCTCACGACCCTCCCCTCACTCCAATCAACTCCTCCTTACTCCCATTGTCAGATCTGCTCACCCCCTGACGCACACTGCTGCCCTTCCCCTCCTTCACCTCCAGCATACACTCTGATGGCCCCTGCCCCCAGACACAAAGGAGGGGAGACCACAGACTGTGGAGTCAGACACACCCGGCTTTGAGTCACATCACTCCTTTTAAGCCTCGAGTTTCCTTGTTGGCAAAATAAGGTTTTTGTTGGGATGAAGAGCAGTGGCACGTGTGATGATGACGCTAATAATAGCTGCTATTTATTGAGTACCTGCCAGGTGTTAGGCATTGTGCAAGGTGCTTTGAACTTTTTTTTGTTGTTCATTTTAAAAAACGGAGGAAAAAAAAAAACTCTGAGCATAGAGTGTCCCCAGAGCATGAGACCTGGTGCCCAGTGCTGTGAATGACAAAAGTGAACATAGTCCATCTGCACAGAGCTTACTATTCCAGTGTGTGCACACACATACCCAAAGTGTCACACCAGTCAGGTGATGGGGAGCTTGTGCTCCTGTGCTCGATCCTTTTCTGCAGAAGGCCCAAGAGATAGTTTGGGGGCCATTGCGGCAGCAACTGTCAGAGATAAGGGGCCATCCCCAGCCATCCTTAATTCCCCTTTACCAACCTAATGGGAGCTCTCATTGTTCATATCTGGATTGCAGGGCCCAGCATGGGATCTGGCCTAGAATTGGCCTCAGGAAATGCTTACTGAATGAATGAATGAATGAACAAAGGAATATATTTAGCTGAGTGTCTTCATTGCATTTGTTCATTTGCTCAGGTTACCAAGACAAACCTTCTCCCTTACCTACCCACCACCTTCACTTACTACTCACAGCATTTATGGCTGCTGATGGTAATAGTATTAATTTCTCCCACTCATTGCCCCTTTTTTGTGTGTAAGGCCTTTTGCTAAGTTCCCTATAAGCACGGTCTTGTTGGCTTCTCACACCAGCAAAATGAGGCAGCTGTTATTATTATCTTCATGCTATGTTTGAGCAAACTGAGGCTCAGAGAGGTGAAGTGACTTGCCCAGGGCCACACAGTGAGGAAGTGGCCGACCCCATGTTTACCCACTGTGCTCTTCTGCCCCACAGAAGTGCACATTATCTCAGGAGTCTGCATGCACACTTGTTCTTGCAGTTGTCCCCCTCCCAGTAGTTGGATGGCACTACTCTGATCCAGGAGCCCAGATCCCCAGCTTCTGGTCCCAGCTGTGTCATGACCAGTTGAGTAGCTCTGGGAAAATCCCTTCCCTCCCTCTGGGTCTTCGTTTTCCCTCCAGCAGTTCCTCCTGTCTGTAAGCCCTCAGCCAGTTTCCTGAAGAGGGGACAGGGGACTGTATTTGGCTTGGTACTACCCCGCCCACTCTATTGAGAGCAGAAGCCAGAGGAGTGAGCTCTTCTCCATTCAGCAGACTTCAAATTCATTCACATTCTTGAGGGCACTGAACTCTGCTGGGTTTGGACATAAGGGAAGACATAAGACAAGCCTGGCTGGGAAAGGGAGAGGGAAGCAGAGAAACAGCACTAGAGGTGCCTCCACTAAGTACCTAGCCACAGTCTGTCAATTACAGACAAATGGTGTGACACATGTTCATTGTAGAAATAACAGAAAACAGAAATTCAATGAGATGAGAAGAAAATGACCATGATAATCTAGTTAAACGAACAACAAAAAGGACATTACCTTTTGCTATCTGTCTTTTTTTTTTTTTTTGAGATAGCCTGTCACCCAGGCTGGAGTGCAGTGGAGAGATCTCAGCTCACTGCAGCCTCTACCTCTGAGGCTTAAGTGATCCTCCCATCTCAGCCTCCCGAGTAGCTGAGACTGTAGGTATGCGCCACCACACCCAGCTAATTTTTGTATTTTTTGTAGAGACAGAGTCTTGCTATGTTGCCCAGGCTGGTCTTGTACTCCTGGGCTCAAGGGATCCGCCCACCTCGGCCTCCCAAAGTGCTGGGATTACAGGTGTGAGCCATTGCACCCTGACTGTCTTAGCTTTTTTTTTTTCTCCAAAGGAGATTATGGCTATGAGTTTACCCAAATAATTTATTAAAATTTAGATACCTGGGACCCAAACTCAGATTTTTTTTTTTTTTGAGACAGAGTCTCGCACTGTCACCTGAGCTGAAGTGCAATGGCATGATCTCGGCTTACTGCAACCTCTGCCTCCCAGGTTCAAGCGATTCTCCTGCCTCAGCCTCCCAAGTAGCTGGGATTACAGGTGTCTGCTGCCACGCCTAGCTAACTATTTTTGTATTTTTAGTAGAGATGGGGTTTCAAACTCCTGACCTCAGGTGATCCGCCTGCCTTGGCCTCCCAAAGTGTTGGGATTACAGGCATGAGCCACTATGCCTGGCCTTTTTTTTTTTTTTTTTGAGACAGAATGTCAGTGTGTCGTCCAGGCTGGAGTGCAGTGGCGCAATCTCAGCTCACTGCAACCTCCACCTCCTGGGTTCAAGAGATTCTCCTGCCTCAGCCTCCTGAGTAGCTGGGATTACAGGCGCACCACCACACCCGGCTAATATTTGTATTTTTAGTAGAGATGGAGTTTCACCATGTTGGCCAGACTGGTCCAAACTCAGAATTCTGATTTCTGTTCCAAATTTATTTATTTTTGGTGGGGGAACCATCTGGATGTGTATTTTGTAAAAACGGGATGATATGCTACATACTTGTTTATAACTTGCCTTTTCTTCTTCCTAACAACAGATTATGAACATGGTTTCGTTGTCAATGATTTTATTTCATGGTATGAGCTGAGAGAAGTGTAAAAAAAAATTTATTTCAAACATGTTTTCAACAACTCTACAGTCCTTCTTTGTATGGCCACTATACTATCATTTATTGTACCAGTCCCCACTCATATGATATCTAGGTTGGTTTTTGATTTCCCCTATTATAATTATCCCCAGTTTACAAATGAAGACATTGAGGCTTGGATGTGAAGCCTCTCACATGTGTGAAAAGCTAAGGCACAGTCAGAGGGGAGCCGGGGACCACTTGGGTGCCAGCAACAGTCCCTGGCCTCCCTCAGGGAGGGACTGAGGGATCCCGAGAGGAGAGAAAAGCCTGGGTAGAGGAAGCCACCAAGACATAAGACATGTGCCGTGTCAGCAGGGGCCCTTGAGGAGGAGACCACCCTCTTCCAGGCCCCAGAGCCAGGCGTGATGCCGGCCTATGTCCTGCCCACTCAGGCTTCCCTCATCCCTTCCGCTGCCCCCCTCCCTGAGCCCACTCACCGCCTGCTCCATCCTTGCCAGCTTATCAATAGGTTAAGTGGTCAGGTCAGTGATATTGACCATTTGATTAGGACCTTGTCAGATCAATCCCTGGCTCATCTCGTGGGCCTCCTCCTCTGCCCACACACTCCCTCCTGTTCTTCTGCTCCAGGGAGCAGGTGGCCACAGAAGCCTCTCTCTCCCAACACAGCACCCCAGAACCGGGAGCCCCATGGCCCTTTGTGGGCCATTCCTGGTTCTCTGTTTAGGTGCCCAGTTCCTGTACCTTCTCCTTGCATCCACCTCTCTTGCTCATAGTCGTTAGATCTTGTTTGCTGTATGTCCCATGCCCCTCGGAGTCCAATCAGATAGAGGTGCCCCCACTTGGCTGTGTGACCTTGAGCAAGTGACTTTACCTGTCTGAGCCTCCATTTTCCACAGCAGTGTCATGGGATGACACTCGCCGAACAAATGTGAGATGCTGAGAGATCACACCTGCAGAGCAATGACCCACCCCTGGTGCATGACCAGCACTCAGGAAATGCCAGTACTGATGTGTCTGTGGGTGCCAGTGTTTCCATCTGTCTATCGGTGGGGTTGTATGTGGGCATTCTGTGTCTGTGGGGGCAAGTGGCGTCATCATTCTTAGGCCTGTCCCAAGCCCTGGCTTGGGGTCATTCCCTGTGCTGGGCAATGCTTCGGACCCCCAAAGGAGCCAGGCCCTGCCTTGCCCTCAAGGAGCTCACAGTCTGCCATGTACATGGCAAACTGACCCCAGGACACAGCAAACCATTATATACACTGGCTGTGAGGAGACTTGAGGGGCCAGGACCAAACCCTGAGCTTGCTTTCCCTCTGTGAACACTGGAATCTACCCTTTATGTGCACAGCTGCAGGAAATGTAGGCTTTGGAGTCAGACACATCAGGTTCAAATTCTGGCTCCCACTCTTCCTGTGCCTGGTAACTGTGGGCCAGCTGCTGCCCCTCTCTGTTCCTCAGGGTCCCCATCTGTACAATGGGGGAAGACATCTTCTAAATAGCTCCCAGTCTTAAGGCACTGCTGGGAATACAGCTCCTAGATCCCATGGACTGTCTCTCTACTTGGAGGTGTTGTCTGCTTGGGAGAGGGATCCTCTCCCCTCTGTCGGAGGGCATATTGGGGTTTGGGAACCCGGGAGATGGGATGAGAGTTGGAAGCAGATATGCCAGGGATGGTGCTGCCTATGGGCACCACAGCCCCAGGTAGCAGAGGGCAGGGAGACTCAAGTGTGGGCCCTGCTGGAGGGAAGCCCAAGGTGGGGGCACTGCCTGGGGGAAGACCCCAGCCCTAAGGCGCTGTCTGACTCTGGCCCCCCCGAGGCCTGGGGATTCCCTCGCCCACCCCATCACTTACACCAATATTGACGGTTAATGCCGTGTCGCCACCGTGTTCAACACTCAGCGCGGCTAATTGTTTTGACTGGGAATCGGCAAGGCGATTAAACGCCATCGATTTTGCCCTGCGCGCTGCATCGATTTTTAAATTTCCTATTGATCCCGGCCCTAAATCTCCTTAACCAAGACCTCACTGTGGAGATGACAGCCGCTGATTAGCTCCAGGGCGGGGGCTGGGGGGAAGCAGCCCCTGAGCGGGGAGCAACCCCAGCTCCTCCCTCCCCTCAGGGACCAGGGGTTCTGGTCCCCTTCTGCCCCTGAAGATGAAGGCCCAGGGAGAGACAGGACAGATGGAGGAGGAAGTGGGGAGACCCTTGGCCCTTTTTACCCCCCTTTTGCTTCTTGTTTGGGCTTTTCCCTGGTCTCTTTGCCCCCGCTCCCTTCATTCCTCTCTGTCTATTTCTCCCCATCTCTTCTCTTTCTCTCTCCCCCTCCTTCTCAGTCCATCTTTTTCTTTCTCCTCCTCCTCCTTTTGAACTCTGGTGCCTCCCTTAATTCCTCACTCCTCCTTCCTACAGGGCTGTGGAGAGGCTCAGCAAACCCTCTTTGGGGATGGGCCTCCTGACCTCTTGCCTACTTCTCTGTTCTCTCCATCTTGTACACAGGAGGTAGAAGGACCTTTCCAAAGGCAAACTGGATTGTATCCCTCTCCCTCTCTGACGAAGCCCTGGCTGCTTGGACCAGGCACTTGACGCCCTGCAGGGAGCAGCCCCTGCAATCTGGAAGCCTCGTCTTTCCCCATTTTTCTTACTGAACCCTGGACAGGCAAAGTCCTGGCATTCTCTCGTTCCTTGCACCTGGTTCTTTCTCTGATTAAAATTTGTCTTCCAGGTTTGGCTTGGGTGTTGTTTCCTCCCTAAGTCTTCTGTGATCTCACCCAGGATGCCCGCAGCACCCTCTGCTTACCCCAGCATGTTGGCATTGGCTCTTCCTTCTGTCTCCTCAACTTGCCTGTGAGCCCCGTAATAGAGCAGAGACCTTGTCTAATTCATCTCTGTCCCCTGCCACACTTGATTCAGAGCCAGAGAAATCTCAATATTTGTTGATGAACTAAATGCACAAATGAATGGACAAATGTACAAGTCAGAAATATCATTATGACTTTTATTTTTAATCTCCCCAGAGCACATAGGAACTTAATAATGAGTAACCTTTTCAAATTTCTTTCTCATTTGTTCCTCGTAGCAGTCCTTTGAGATACACCATTTAATCAGTTAATTCCTCCATCCACCCATCCATTCACTCCGTCGTCCGTTATGCACTAATTGAGCATCTCAAATTTGCCAGGCCCTCTGCCAAACACAAAAGCTTCAAGACACAGTTACAGTCCCTGCACTTTAAGAAGCTTCCAGTCTGATGGGAAAAACAGATGTTCCACAGTGGCAGGCACTAGTATGCCCATTTATGAGTTGGGGACACAGAGGCTCAGAGGCCAGAAGTGACTACTGAAGGCAACAAGTGGCTGACTGGACCTGAGTTCCAGGCACCTGACTCCACAGTTAGCCAACTGCAGCTCCTGATGATGTGACAGGAGGAGGGTTCCTCCACTGGAGGAGTGCATCATCCTGCATGAGGATGGGGAATTCTCCGGGATGTTGACTGCATTCTCCTCTCTCTCCAGGTTCTCGACTGGACCGGGTTGGTGGCCTGAATGTATTAGCTTCGCTGCGTCTGCCCAAGAGGTAAGGACCACGGCCTTAGAGTTTTGCTTATTGATGCACCTTCTGGTTTCTCACAGAAGTCTCTGCTTTCCCATCCTCGTCTCTGGCCTCACCCTGGGTGTGTTGCTGCCCTTCTCCACTCTGCCCACCCAGAGGTTAGAATCTGACTGCTTTGTTCTCACCCTCCATGCATCCTGTGGCTTTCGGGCCAAACCAGTGGTTCTTGGTGTTGATGACTGTGGGTGTTTCTGCTGATCAGTGTTACGGCTCAGTAGGAGAGAGATGGGGGTAACTCGGTGGCTCAGATCACAGCTTTGGGTTCAAGCACACCTATGTTCGAATCTCTTTTCCTGACTTCGAGGGACTTGGGAAAGTTTGAGCTTCCATTTCCTTGTCTGTAAATGGGAATACTAATAGAACCCACCTTAAGTGCCATCCTGAGAGCAAAAGGAGATAGAGGAAGAAGAGCCAGGTGGCTGAGTGATCCTGGGCATGGCTCAGTTTCCCCATCTGTCAAAGGAGGGTAATTAATAGCATTTACCACATGGAGGTGGCGTGAAGATGAAAGTACTTATTCCTTGAAATCGTGTGGCTGCAGGAAGTGGGAGCTCAAAATATGGCTGGAAGCGTTCCCCTGAACAAAGAAGGTTTTATGAAGCCCCTCCCTGAAGCCCACTGAGACTCCCAGGTAGAAGCCATAGTTCTCCTGCTGCTCACCTCTGTGGGAAGCAGGGGCTCTGGCCATTTGCCCTGGTGTTTGCTCCAGCTTGCTTGGTGAGGCCCTGGCAATGAGCATCTAGGGAGGAGGGTGGACAGGGCTTCTGGGGTGGGACAGCCCTCTACTGCCACCCCTATTCCCACCAGAGAAGCTTAACCCACAGGTCTCAGGACCCCAGGGAGGCCTTTGGGTGCCCTTGTAGGACTCCTGGGTAGGAGTCCTTTGCTGTACCAGGAATCACAGTCTCATTTTAAGAAGCAGATGGAAGCTGTAGCCCAGGGTTTGCAACCCAGCATTGTAGGGACTATGATGGACTGAAAAATGCATGGGGTGGGGGACTGCTTTTTAGCTCCACTGACTGTTCTCATGCACAGATGCAACCCTGACTTGCCAGGGTTTCTGATTTTTCAAGAGAAGCCAGGAACCCAGACTTGTGTGTGAAGTCTTCCAATCTTTAAATGTTGGCAACTAATGCAAAACTTGCAAAATCTCCTCGTGGTCCAAACAACATATTTCAGGCAACCTTTGGCCCATAGATACCTAGTTTCACAACAGTATAGAGCTTCTCCCAGGAAAACACATACCTACATTTGCCCAGTTGTGCTACACTTTGGGATGATCACAGACCCCCTGAAGCTCATTCATGGACCCCTGTTATCGCTGAGAGTGTTTGTTCCAGGATGTGTCATTTCTCTAGAGTGCTTTCTCCAGGGAACCGAAGTTGCAGTTTTTCCAGGAATCCTCACATCCTCGAAAAGAGAGTCAAGGAATTTCCAGGTTGCAGAATTAGTTTGGGAGCTAGAGACTGGCTTTGAGGAACGTCTGAAAGTTGGGCTGAAGTAACAGAGGGGTTTAATTATGTTTCCAGTTGGTAGAGGTCACTGTTAGGTCTATGATTTCAATTATTTGTCTTCAAATAGATGTTCATTAAATATCCATGATTTCATGGACATGTGGGTGACTGACTTGGTAACACGTAACAGGGCTGGTACATTCCAGTGAGGAAACTGATATTTATTAGGGGCCACCTTTGTGCAAGGGCCTGTTCTGGGCACTTTGCTTTTAATCCTCACAGCAACCCTGTGAAGTGGGTGTTGGCACCTGTTACAAGACAAAGAAACTGAGGCACAGAGCGTGAAGGCAACTTGCCTAAGGCCACCCAACATGTAAGCAGTAGAGTTAGAATTTGAACCTGGGTTTGCCTGACCTTAAAGCTCTCATTCTTTTACCTCACCAAAACCCACCATTGTTTTTGGTATCTCCACAGTGTGGCAAATTTTTGCACTTTGGGAGTGAATTTGATTTCGGAGACCACCTGAAGTCTGATTTAGCAGCAGCTCTGATGAATTTAGCAATGATAATACTGGGGCCACTTGTTGGTTTTTCAATAGAAACTAGAGATGATTATACACTAGAGAGATGCTTTGCTGATGGAGTTTGTAAACTGGCCTTGAAGGCTGTTGCCAAAATATCAGGTGGTTCAAGAAAAAGTTCGGCCTCCTGAGGAGACATCTTTGAAGGAAGCCATACTCTTTTAGGTGTATAGTTTTGTTACGAAACAACAACTACAATAAACATCGCCCTCACCTGCTCTGTCTTTCCTTTATAGCCACACTTGGAAGGTGAGTGATGCCCCAAACATGTCTGGAGGCCTCCTCAATGCTCTATGTGGGAGCTGGAGCCCCAGGATGAGTGAGAGACCCCCTCCCAGCCCTGGGGTTGTGGTGGCCTCTGCTGCCTATGCTCCCGTGTGACTCCCCCTCCTCCTCTCCCTTCTGGCCCTTCCTCCAAATCTCCTCCCACCCACAGCAGGGCCTTCTCTCCACTCTGGGTTGGCTTCACTTCTCTACCTCCTCAGCTCCCCATCTAAGGCTCCTCAACTCTGAGGGCCTTTCTTGACCCATGGGCTGGATGATGCCTCCTTTTCCCTCCTGAGCACTATCACCGTATCTGATTATATTCTATATGGTTAATGTCTGCTCTCAGAAGCCTCTGGGTGAGGGGACCTCTCTGTTTGTCTAACACATCTGTCTATACTCAGTCCCTGGCACAGTGTAAGTGCTCAGCAAGCATGAGCTGAATGAATAAATAAGTGAGCAAACAGACACATAAACCTAGATCCATCCATTTATTCCTTCAGCCAACATTTTCTGGGATTCCTTGTGTGCTAGGCCTCGTGCCACCATCTGGAGATGCAGAGAGGCGGGAGACCCATGTGGCCTTTGAGGGGCTTTCAGGCTCGTGGGGGTTCAGGCACAGACACCACCAATCTGAACCAGGGGACTGCAGGATGCTGGGTTAGGGGAGAGAGGGATAGGCTGGCTGGCCTAGGGGGTCCTCAGGAAGTCTTTGGGGGTAAGGAGAGAACTCCTGAAAGGTAAGGAGAAGCCGAGGGCTAAGTTACATTTCGAGTGGATGGGAAGGGGTGTGGACTGACTGGGCTCCTACTCACTATTGGGGACTGTGTATGCTGGCCTGGCCTTAGAGTCCTCACAGCCAGCTACAGTCCCCTGGGTATCTGGTGCCCTCCAAGTGCCAGGGCAAGAACAGGGCTGTGGTACCACTTTGTCTCTCCTTCCCTTCTGTCCTTCCATCCTTCCACAAAAAGACACAACGGCCTTCAATGTGGAGCGGTCCCAGGGTCACAGAGGTAACCCAGACATAAGCAACAGGCATGTGCCCCAGGGTGCTCACACACCCTGAGGGGAGTCCTGAATGCCTCGGAAGCAGAAGCTTTGCTCTAGGTGAGCGGCTTTCATCCTGGGTCTGGTGAGGTGACGTGGAAGGAACAGAATTCAAGGCTGCATGAGGAGGATGTTTAGCCGCACATGAGGACATTCTCCCATGGCCAAGAGTGTAGGTATGGCGGGGGGGCTGCCCTGGGATGGGAGGCGCAGGCCTTAAGGGCAGTTCAGGTTCTTCAGACAAGCCGGAGAAGCCAGGGCGTGGTGTCAGGGACTTGTCCACATGCCCCAGGCCCAGTCTGCCTCCTTCTGAATTACACCCCTGGGGGCTTTGGCTAGTGGAATAGGGTGTGTGCTATTCCAGATGTGGCTTGAAGGATGGCTGGGCTGGGACAGAGCTTTAGTGTAGAGGCAGCTCTGGGATGCTGGTGGGCTATGGCCGTGTGGTGGGACCTATAGGGTGGTCTGTAACTGGCAGCTGTGTGATCTGGGTGGTGGGCAGGGGCACTCCTCGCTGGATGTGGAGTCCAGATGTGAGGGTCTGTTTAGCATTCTGGGGTGCTGGGAGGTGGCAAGAGATTGCTTGATCCTTTTGGCTGCCTGTGCTCTGTCACTGGGTGGGTGGAGACAGCTGTGGACTGGGAATATTTGTCAGCCATGGGGTGGGGATTATAGATGTGTAGGAGGTAAAAATGGCTTGCATCTCTGAGCCAGTTCGGGGACCAGTGGGTCCCTGGAATCCCTGACAGTCCCACAGCAAATGAAGGTCAAGTACCCACCATCCTGGTAAGCATGGAGCCCCAGGTGCCGAGAGCAGGCACTCGGCTCTGACTTCAAATAGAGAGACGTTCCTCAGGGCTCTTCGAAGCACTGGTGAGGGCTGGTAGGCAGAGAGAAGGCCTCAGAGAACGGCCCTGGGTGTTTTCAGCTGCGCTTGTTAGAAATCTTGATGCGCGCCCCACCCCCACCCCGTGGTTGTTGGGCTCACGCTGCCCTGCCAGGTCTCTGCCCCTGGCTTTCCTTCCTTTCCTCTTCCTCTCCCTTTGGCTCCAGCCCCAGCATCATCTTTCTTCCTTTTCTTAGTCTTCATTATGTGTCTTGGCCTCTCCATTCCTCCCTGGTCAGCTCCTTTTTTTCTGAGCTGGATCTCTGTGTTGAGTGTTGCCTGTGGGTTGAGTCTTAGCTTTTGTCTCCAGAGAGAGCCACACTGAGATCTGGAGGCTGGGGAGATCCAGAGATCCGGCCTGGGGTGGGTGTGAGGTGGGGTAGGAAAGAGAGGAGGATAAAAGGTGATTGAGGGAAAAACAAGAAAGGAAGTATTCACCCACTCCTAGCACTCCAGGACAGCTTCTGAGGTCCTTTACACAGTGATCCACCCTTGCTTTTCTCAAACTTTCAAGCAATCCTCCTGCCTCAGTCTCCTATGTAGCTGGGACTACAGGCTAGGACCACTGTGCCCAACCTTGCTTTTCTTGGGGACGAGGTGGATAGGAGGGCCAGAGGGATTGTCTAAGAAAGGGGAATCCAGAATACACCAGATGGGAGTGGAGGGAGAGGGAGACCCAGGGAGCATGCACCTCATGACAGAAACACAGAGAGGGGAACAGAGCAACGGAGAGGAGCAAAGAGGAAGAGGAAACAGCAGAAAAGTCAGAGGCAGGAAAGCAGAGTGAGGGACTCAGAGACAGAAAGGAACAGAGAGAAAGAGAGGGCGCGTGCATGCGAGCTGAGCGCATGAGAGTGCATCAGAGAAAGATGAAGGCAGCCGGGCTGAAGGCAGGGGACAATGAGAAAGAAAAAACAGTGCGGGGCAGCTGCAGCTGAGGCAGGTGGGCAGGACTGTGGGGCAGGAAGGAAGGACCTCACACCTGGCCCCCCACCCCCCAGGCTGGCCATGCCTGGCAGAGTACGAGGAAATTGGCCAAGGCCCTGGTGTGTGTGGACTGTGTGTGGAGGGTGAGGTGGCGGTGTGTGGTAAGGAGGGATGTACTGCTCTCCCTACCCATGTGATCAGGTCCCAGTCGGCTCTGGCTGGTCCCTGAAGCTACCTGAGATCATCCCTGTCCATTCACCCTGTCCCCTCCCCACCGTGGCTCACAGGGGCCCAGAGGAACGTGGAAAAAGGCTTGAGCATCCCTGACTTCTGGCCTGGGGAATGGGGAGAAAGGTGTGTGTGTGTGTGTGTGTGAGAGACATCACTTTGGACGTGATCCCCTTTCAGTTTCTCTCTAGCTTTGCCATCTCAGAGTCTCTAGTGGGTTACCAACTCCCCTCCACCACTATCTGCCGTCTGCCTTTTATCTCTCTGGTCTCCTTTCTCTCTCACTCTCACTCAGCCTTTCTGTTCCTCTCTGTGCATTGCCCCCTTTCTAGTTCTCCCTGCCTCTGGCCCCCGTTCTCTCTTTATCTGCGTCTTCTCTCTGTGTGGCTCCATCACTGGGTTTTCTGCTCTGTTGTGTGCTCTTTCTCTGTTTCTCTCTCCGTCTCTCCAGTCACTGTCTCTGCGTCTCTCTCTGTCGTGCTCTCTGCATTTGCCCTTCCTCTGCTCTTTTTCTCTGCCTTTGCCTCCTGGTTTTGGTGTCTGTGTCCCTTCCAGTCTCTTTCATCTTCTGTCTCTGCTTCTCTGTGCATCTCTCTGCGTGTGCCTCTGTCTCTCACTCTGCCGTTCTCTTTCTCTTGTCGTCTCTCGGGGTCTCTGGCTGTCCATCCCTGCCTCTGTTTGTGTCTCTCTCGCTCCCCCTCCCTGTCCCCCCCTTTTTTTCCTGTTTCTAACACCCACACTCACATCCTACCTCTGGAGTAATTGCTTTTGTCTGGGTTGGACTGGACTTGTGGTGGGGGGAGGGCGGGGGGAGCGGGTGGCGCTGGGGGGGTTGGGAGGGACGGAGGTCGCTTGGTGGAGTTGAGGTGGCATCCACCAAAGCAGGGGTGTTGAGGAGCAGAGGTACAGCCTGCCCAAGGTGCCGGGGGAGGGACGGGGGCCTGGGCCCATCCTGGCAGGGGTCTGGGGTCTCTGGCAGGGAAGGGAAAGAAGGCAGGCAGGCCCTGACATTGGGATTTGGAGATGATGTAGTGATAAAACCGGCTAGCCAGTGTCTCCGTGGCAGCCCCTGCTGCCTCGCCACCCTCCCCCACTCAGAGACTCAGGGTTGTAGCCTCTACACACATACACCGTGCCGTCTACACCAAGTCACCATGACACACACAGGGACACACCCAGAGCCTCCAGCCCACTTGTGGAAACACACTCGACCATCGGCACACAGGGACACACAGCATCACATAGACACACAGAGAAACCGCATGGACTCTCCGACACTCATGAGGAGAACCTGCTTCCAGTACACATAGAGACCACCGCGCAGATCCCTGAAGCACACGCAGCTGCCCACAGGCACAGGCACAGATCCACACGGGACCCATGGAGGCTCACGCACAGCAGCATCCGTGCTCAGACACACTCTGTCAGGGGCATGCGCACGCCAACACACACAGGCTTCCCAGAGCACATGGGAACACATAGCTACCCCATTAACTGGGGACAGAGGAGATCCCTGAGGTGTTCCTGGGATACATCCCCAAGGGACAGACAGAGACTTAGCGTCAGGGAAACACTCATGGAAGTGCATACACAGCCACCCAGTGCTCCTGGGACACATCCATGAACTCATGTTCACACACAGACATGACTCGGGCCAAGACGCTCGGGTATGTGCAGTCCTAGAATCCCCCAGCAGAGCCTGAGGACACATGCACACCCTGCGTCCATGGCAGCTCGCACACCACAGACCTCTCGCTGGAACCTCCTGTCCGAAGCCGCACAAGCTTCCCACCCCAACCACACATGTGCAGGCCAGACCCTGGGGTGAGGCCAAGGCAACTTCTACCCGCAGGGACCCAAAGGCGGGGCAGCCAGCAGCTCTGGGGGTGGGCGCAGGCCGGCCTGAGGGTTCGCCCCACTGTTCTTTGTGTCCATTCACCGTAGCCTACTCCAGCACCCACCCCAGACCTTCCCCTGCCTCATGGGCTCAGGACAGTGTCTCTCTGAACCCACAGGTGCCCCCTGCCCACCTCCCAGAGCTCTGTCCGTCACACACCTTCAAAGGGCCCCATCTTTCTGAGCTGCTCCCAATTGAGGGGATGCCTGCTTTCTCCCAGAAATTGTCCCTCAATTTCTCCCAGCCCCCTTACCTGAAACTATGGCCCCCATCCCCATCTGCTTCCTTGCCCACTCCCATACTCACCCCCTCTCCCGGCTGTCCAAGCTCTCAGCCTCCCTAAGCTCTCCTGCTGTAGGGGAGTGGTGGGGGGTGCCTGGCCCCTCAGAGGCCTGGGTAAGGGGTACATGATGGTGGGGGACCTGGGTGCGGCTCCGGGAAAAGGAAGCAAGGCAAGCAAGGGAGAGAGAGAGAGGCAGAGGCAGGCAGCCAGCCAGCCGGCTTTATATCCCTGCCGTATTGATCCACCATGTCACAGCCCCGGTCGATAGCCAGCCGAGAAAGAGAGAGGGAGAGAAGGGAGGGGAGGTTTGGGGGAGGGCAGCCGGGACCCCTATAGTCCTCGGCCCATCTGGGGCCTTCTTGGCAGGCTGTGGGGGCATGTGTGAGCCCATCCCACCCCCTCCAAAAGAGGCCCGCCTTATTCTCCCCCTCTTCTTCTTCGCTGCGGCCCTCTCCCCGAGAGTCACCTCAGCCTTCATAGGAGAATTTAAGCACAGAAGATCTGCCTGTTTCCTTCTGTCTCTTTGGAGGCTCCATATCCCTGTGGGCATGGGGGCTCACAGCTGTTCATTGCCTCAGCTACCCGTTGCGCCCCACAGTCAGGCTGGGTGGATGGGAGGCCCTGACGCAGTGTCATGGGTGGATTGTGACCAACCAGAGTGTGAATCCTCCTCCTTCACTGTAGCCATGGGCAAAAGGGGAAAACTGTCTGAAGGCCTCTTCCCCAGCCACCGCTAGCCAGGTACTCAGGAGCACCCTGTCTATGTTGGTTTCCTGCCCTTTCTGACGGACGTTAAGTTTCTTCCCACAGCTGTGCCAGGCCAGTGCTCAAGGTCACATTTAGACTTTTTCTCTTCTGGCTTCCTCCCCTGCCCACTGGCTTAAGAGAGGAGAACGCTTAGCCTCACTTTTTCCTCAGCCTCCTCTTCCCTCTCCATAGAACCTTCTACCATCTGCCCCCACCAAACCTCCCCTGACCTGGGTGGGGGAGGGCAGGAGAGGAAGATGTCTTCCCTTAGTAGGAAGAGAAGTGAGGGGAGAGACTCTGGGACAGCGCTGAGAACCCTGGGCCTGGGCCGTCTCCCCTCTCTGGGCCTCAGTTTCCCCCCACCCCCATCCGACCTTGCCCAAGCTGGAAGGTCTGTATGGCTCTGGGATCCGTAGGGATTGGTACAGATGGGAGGCAGGGCCATCCAGAGGGTGAGAGCAGGGCCAGAGGGGTGCCTGTTGCCCCTCCCTCAGCCAGGACTGCCCTGGTCCCAGGTGCGTCCCCCCAGCCCCCAACTCCCCAGGGCTCCAGTTCTTTGTCTGTCCAGATCCTCCTCTCCTCCCAGCCCAGCCTCCGAGAGGTTGAGGAATCACCTTAGCCTTGACCCGAGGGGGAGGGCAGAGGAGGGGCAGGCGGCCCCCACCCCCGCCTTCTGCCCATGGCCATCCCCACAGCCCCTCTCCTCCCCGCTTCCCTGAGTACCAGGCCATCCCGCCAGTGTCAGGCCGATGCTCCCTTTGTTAGGAAGGGGGAGGGGAAAGAGACAAGCTGAGGGGACGTGGCCTGACCCCCGACCTCTCCCCCTCCCTCCTCCCATCTGGGTCCCCAGGGGCTCAGAGCCACCTTGACAGACAGTTCTGACCATCAGCCAAATGGCTCCGGGAGTGAGCAGGGGGCCAGGTAGGGGGGAGGGGAGGAAGGCCTGGCCAGGGCCCTCAGCCCACCATGGATATGTGTGTGTGGGTACTCTGAGGTTGGAAGGAGGCCCCTTGGAGGGGTGGCAGGGGGAGATGGGCATCCACAGAGGACAGGCTCTAGGAGGAGCCTGGTTGGATTGGGGGATACAGAAGCAAAGTGGGGCTCATCCCAGAGCCAGCAGTTCTGGGCACCCTGTGGATAGGGGCCTGGCCCAGGCAGATGCCCCCACCCCACCCCCACCCGGCCTGCGGCATTGGGAGTGCAGCGAGTTTTAAAAAAAATTAAAAGAATAAAAAAACAGGAGCAGGAGAAGCTGGGGGAAAAATATATAAGAAAAAATATAATAAGAACTAAGCGGTGGCTGCAGGAGAGAGAAAGGGCAGGAGGCAGGGAGGGGGGTGCAGGGGGGAGGGCGGCTCGGGCCCTGGTCGCTGCGAAGGCCGGCCGCCGGCCTCTGCGCTGAGCCCTCCGCGTCCCCCCTGCCGGCCCCCTCCAGCCCCGATCGATCCAGTTTCTTGGCAATAAAGCATTTTTATTGTCAGCTGCCCTGAATGCCAAATGTGAGCCTGGTCCTGCTCCCCTCCGAACCTGCTTCCTCACCACCCCTCCCCCAGCCCTCTCCACCCCCTCCCCTGCCATTCCCCCCACCGCAGGATCAGCATCGTCCATCACCAAGACCCCCTCCTCTTCCTCCTCATCCATGTCAGCCGCAGTGCCCGCACATCTTCAATAATCCACCAAGCCTTCCACCCCCCATCTAGGCCTCTGTGCTCCCTTCCCTAACCCCAAACCTGCAGAGGAGCAGAAAGGTGGCCATGGGATGGGTGGTCTTGGGGGGCACAGGGATGGGTAGGAGGAGGTACAGGAGGGTGTTGGGGTCACCAGGCAGGGAGACGATGGCCACAGGTTGAGGGAGGCATTGGCCAAAGTCAGGATAGCCAAAGCCTGTCCCTCAGCAGCCAGCAGGGGACAAGAACAGGTAGGGTGTCTGTGGGGACCAGGCACTGAAGAGGGGAGACAGACTGCAGCCTCTCTGCCCCTGGTTACAGCACTTCAGCTCTCAGTCCCCCAGGGCCTGTCTCTGCCCCTTCCACACTGAACTTGGCCCTTTTCTTTGGGAGGCAGCTGGGTGCAGGAAAAGAGAGAGGGCCGGGAGCTGGACACCTTCCCATGTGTCAGTCTCAGCTCTGCCCGGAGCAGCCCCTTCAGGGATGGGGACGACACCACACACCCTGCTGGACTGCTGGTGTGAGGGGCAGGGGAGAGGGTGTTGGGAAGCAATTTACAGGAGGCCCTTGTGGCCCCACCTCTGCTTGCTCTTCCCCCTCCCTCCCTCTTTCTTTTCTCTCCTGTTTTCTTTGTCTCTCTTTCTGCTGTTCTCTCTCTCTACCTCTTTATCTGCATCTTCCTGTCTCTGTCTCTCTATTTGACTCTGACTCTCTTTCCTTTATTGCTGCCTCTCCCTCCAGGGATTTAAAAACCCCCATACACTTCTCTGTTCTACCTTGATAGTCCCCAGTTACTCTTTCCTTACACCCCTCTTTTCTCTGCCCTGCTGTATGCTTTTCACTCTGTCTTTTTCTACCCTGCCTGCGCCCCACATCCCTTGTCTAGCCCCATCTCTCTTGGTTCATCTCCCCTCCCACAGCCATAGAAAGAAGTGGAGGCTCAGGTCCTTGGAACATCAGCAGAACACGCAGAAAAAGGGTCTTAAGCCCCTCTTCTTTCTCTTGGCAGTGTCAGTGTCTAGGGAAGTTCAAACAAGTCTACACTCGCAGAGATGGAGCTGGGAACTGAGGGGTGGGGCCCATCTGTCTGCCACAGACGCGCTGTGTGGCTTTGCTCAAGTCATGCTGGCCCTGAGCCTTGGTTTCCCCTGAAAAGCGAGCTACTCCAAGGGTGTTTACGGCCTCCCCTGTGGATTATGTTGCCTTGAAAGCCCAGGGTCCTCTGTCTCCTAGGGAGGGAGTTGAGGGCAGGATCTTCAGGCTGGGGAACATGGTCGCCCCTCCTCTCTCCTTCTCATGGTGGCTTGGGAAGGTGAAGCTGCAGACGTGGGCAGGTCTAGGGTGCCAAGATTTTTCCTCTCGGTCTGGGTGGGAGCGAGGCCCAACCAGGGTCATGCTTTAAGGAACATGGGGCGTGGATTCAAGACGCCTGGGTCCATGTCCATTGTCAGCTCCCCAGAGCAGGGGCCGTGACATCACTGGTGTCTGGTTCATTGCTTGCCACACAGACAGGATTCAAGGGACATTTGTGGAGCAAGTGAGGAAGAACCCGTGCAACAGTAGAGGCTGGGGTGGGGTGGGGTGGGGAGGAGCAAGTCCTGAGTGGGAGGCACAGCCGGAGGAGCAGAGGGATTCAGACATCTTTGGGTTGAATTGAGGGGAAGTTGACAGATGGGGGCATTTGGAGGATGAGGAGGATCTCAGGATGACCCTGGGTGTCCTTTCCAAGCCTCTCTCCTTCACCTAGGACCAGTCACCTCCACCCAACACCAACAAGGTCTACATTAGTGCAGCTTTCACAGTTCCCCACCTCTGGCCTCACAGCTACCTGGTTTGCGGAGGGGAGTGAGGATCTCTGTGTTAGAGAGATCCCTCTGATGTGGGAAGACGGCATTTGTGTTTCAAAGGCGTGTACAGACCCACGTATTTACCCACATGCTATATGCTTGCTTATGCCTGAAACAGTGCTTACTTTTCACTAGTTATGAATTTTTTGGCATTACCGTCAAACAAAAGTTTTCCAATTAGTACAAGGCCTTCCTAATAGAAGACAGAAAGGTCCCTCTGGGCCATGTGGGAAAGGCCAGGATGTGAGCACAAGAACCAGGTGTCAGCTGGGGCAGGGCTGGGTGGGTCTTGGGGTGGAGATGAGGTTGGCAGGATCAGCTGAGGAGTATGAGATTCAGGCCAAGACCAGGAAACCTGGAAAGAGGTGAGGGCTTTGGGGGCGAAGGATGAAGAGGGGGGCAAGAGATCAGGGGATGCTTCTCCTGCAATGACCATTTTGCCTGCCTCAGTGTGAGGGGTACAAATCCCGGCTCTTCCATGGACTCACCATGACACCCTGGGAAGGGGGCTTCTCCTGTCTGAGCCTTATTTCCTCCTCTGGGTCATAACTACTACCTCATAGGGGTCAGGGAAAGGGGAAATACAAAACACAATGTCACCTGATAAATGGCCATGCCCTTTCCTGTTGCTCTTCTCTCTGACTCCTGCCCATCCTCTAGGTTCCAGGTCTTTAAGCTTTTGTATTTGCAGAGGATTTTTTCCCAACGCACTGTCAATATTCATTGACTATTTGGATCCTCACCACTATCTTGTAAAGGAGGAATTATTATCTTGATTTTACAGAAGTGGAAACTGAGGCTTCGAAGACTTAAGTACTCTGCCTCAGGTGCTTGTCCCTATGCAGGATCCATTTAAGTCATTCATTCCACCTGTCTGTTGAGCACCCACTATGTGCCCAGCGTTTGTTGGGCACTAAAGATGTAGCAGGCAGCAGAACCAGCATGGTGTATTTTCATGGAGTTGACAACTAGAGAAGATGCAGATCTTTAAGTGTAAACATCAATCAAATACAAAATCAGGAACTGATAAGTCTATCCCAAAGAATAAACTAGAATAGGGAGCCAGGAGAGAGGGCAAGTTATTTAAGCCAAACCTTAAAAGACGAGTAGGATTTAATGGGGCAAAGAGCACAGGAACAGTGTTCCAGGCAGAGGGAATGGCACATGCGAAGGGCCTGGGGTTGCAAAGAGCATGGTTTAAAGAACAGAGAGGAGACAGCATGGCTTGGAGCAGGGTAGGCAAAGAGGTGAGTGATGGGGGAAGAGATGAGAGGTGTCAGCAGGGGTGAGATGACATAGGACTTTATAGGTTGGGTTAAGGTGATTGAGTTTTATTCCCAAATGCATGGGAAGCTCCTGGAGAATCTTAAGCAAGGGAGTGACACCACCTGGTTACGTTTTAGAAAGACCCCCTTTGGGGGCCAAGGGGAGACGAGACTATCTGAGACAGGCATGGAAGAAGGGACACCTTCGGGGAGGAGACCACTGAAGTCACTCAGGCCAGAGGTGGTGGTGGCCTGGACTGCAGTGGGAGGAGTGGAGGAATCAGACAGCGCTTTTGGAATTGGTGACAATATCAAGGCTCAAAGAAGTGGAGAGCAGAGAGTGAGAGTCTGACCCTTCCAAACCTGAGCTTTTCCTCTTACCAGGTCAGGTGCTACTTTTTCCCTAGGAGGCTGCAGGAAGCCTCCATGAGGCAGATGCCTGGGTTGCTTATATTTAATGTTCTCCATGTGAACCCTAAAGTGCCTGGTTGGCACTGAGAAGTTTCTTGCCAGACCGGGATCTTGCACAGATGTGAATGGGGGGGCCTTCCCTTAGGAGACTCCACAGAGGAGGTGAGCTCTGAGTAAGGTGGTGTAGGGAGCGAGTAGATTTGAAGGTGTTGGCTCCCCTCACAGCTGGTCTTTCTGTATGAGCTCGGAGAATCTGCTAGGGCCCCACAAAGTGGAGCTGGGGAGCATTGTGCAATCTGCATCCCAGAATTGTTGTGAATCAAGGTGGGCAGGTGATGTGAAGGCACTCAGTGAATGGTTCATATTGGCAGAAGGCCATAACTGGGGACGGGGATGGGAGATACATGGATGTCTCAGACAGCAAAGCCCAGGTCCAAGGCCAGTGTTTCTGCTGAGCCAATGGGACAGGGTGGGCAAGGGTTTGAGGGAGAGGAAGAGAACAGTGGATGGCAATGTGGACTTTGGAGTCCGGTTTCCTGGGTGCCAATCCTGGTTCCATCTGTGTCTCCAGCCAAGTGATTTAACTTTGCTGGGCATCAGTGTTTTCCTCTGTAAAATGGGGATGTTAACAATGCTTTTTTGTAGAGTATTGAGAAGATTCAGTGAGAAAATGCTTCTAAATATTAATAGTAGGTGGAGGGCTTCTCTTTAACTTGTCTAAAGCAGAACTCTTTTTTTTCTTTTTTTTTTTTTTTTTTTTGAGACGGAGTCTCGCTCTGTCACCCAGGCTGGAGTGCAGTGGCGCGATCTCGGCTCATTGCAAGCTCCACCTCCTGGGAAGCAGAACTCTTTTTTTTTTGAGACAGAGTCTCGCTTTGTCACCCAGGCTGGAGTGCAGTGGCGCAATCTCAGCTCACTGCAACCTCCGCCTCCCGGGTTTAAGTGATTCTTCTGCCTCAGCCTCCCGAGTAGCTGGGATTACAGGTGTGTGCCACCATGCCCAGCTAATTTTGGTATTTTTAGTAGAGACGGATTTCACTGTGTTGGTCAGGCTGGTCTCGAACTCCTGACCTCAAGCAATCCACCTGCCTTGGCCTCCCAGAGTGCTGGGATTACAGGCATGAGCCACTGCACCCAGCCTAAAGCAGAACTCTTGATTCCCTCTCCCAAGCTTTTCCAAGAGCTTGTGTCCATCTCAGTAAATGGTTGTCACAACAACAACCTAGACTTCTTCCTTGATCCCTCACTTTCCTTCAAATGTCCAGAGCTCAGAGTTTGCTTCAACGATGACAGGCACTGTGTCTCATGCGATCTGGGCTAATACAGTTCCGTTAAGTTAAACTCCTCTGAATCAATGTAGAGCACCTTCTGTAGGCAGGGCCCTCTGTGGATGCTGCTCAGGGTCCGCACAGTTCTGAGAGAGGCACAGAGAGGCTGAGTGGTTTGCTCAAAGTTGCACAGCTAGGACTCAGCAGTCTTTGCAGAGGCTGAGAGAGGCCAAGGCAGCTTCTAATTCTTGAGCCTCCTAGTGTACTAAGAACGAAGGAATACTGAAATGGATTTACAGACCTGTGCTTTTAGCAATGACAACAATAAAATGCCACGTTAACTGATATTTATAAGGTCATTTCAGGATTTATTAAAACAAAATGCATACTATCTTACTGGTGGTGTGGTCTGGCAGTGTCATTCAACTATAAAGTAAAAAATACACATTTTGTTTTAATTTCATCCCCTCAGGAATGTGACACATGGGCCAAGTGACACATAGGCCACACCTAGCCCCACAGCTGGGACTTAACTACCTATTTATGTGACTCTAAAGTTGACACCTTTTCAGCCATCCTCAGTTGCTTTTGCAGAGATGCAAGAGGCCCAGGACTTCACAGACTTTGGAGGAAGAGAAATGTGCATGGGATCAGTGTAACAGCAAGGCCTGGGGCAAGGAGAGCTGGGCTCTGGAATTGGCTTGCCCATGACTGAGTCTGGGCAAGTCCTTGCCCTCTCTGACCCGCCTTGGGGTGCTCCTCTGAAAAGGGGGTGGATAATAACAGCCCCTGCTTTAGTGAATTGTTGGGAAGATGCCAAAAGATGATGCAAAGAATACACATAACATATGCCTGCACAGAGCAGGTGCCATGTAGCTGCTCTTGTTACTTAGTAGAATAGTGGGATGGTCTAGGGGCCTGGAGCATCGAGGCTTGAGAGCTCCTCAGGAGCATGGCCAAGCTGAGCCACCCTGTGTCCCTAGCTCCTGGCACAAGGTCTGGCACAGTGGGCCCTCCCTGAAGATGTGGAACTGAATCGTGTGGAAGAGGCGCTTGCCCAGGCTGAGCAGGAGTGGAGCACCAGGGGAGGACAGGGGAACTGAGTGGAGGGCCTGGCCTTTGCCTTCTTCTCCCGCCTTGTGAGGCCAGGTGGGCACTCCCATTAGCTCCCTTTTGCAGGGTGTGGAGGTCATTGCCCCTTTGTCAGCTTCTTCAATAAATCAATACCAAGCACCTCCTGGGTTGCAGGTGCTGGAGACACAGCAGTGAAGAGGACAGACACAGGCTAGTATGATTATTATCATGGTTCTAATCTGAATGGTGAATGTGGGTTCACATTAACTCATTATTAAAAATAAGTAAAACAATAAGTGAATGGATAGAGAAAGAGGGCTCCATCCAGCCCAGTGATGGGAGTACGCTGTGAACCAAGGATTATGATTAATCCAATTTTGTGCACCTGGGATCCTTCTAAAAGACAGGATGAGACATAATGGGACACACATGCTCCCTGTGCTGGCATAAACATTCAGTTTGGGGGAAAAGAGGTAATAAACAAGCACGTGACACGAGGCTTGAAGGTGAGACAGCAAAAAGTGCTAGAAGAAAGTGCAACCTGGTAGAGGACGTAGTGATGAGAAGTGCCATGTGAGACAGGATGTCAAAAGGCCTCTCTGTGGAGGGGGTGTTTAAGTGTAATTCTGGAGTAAGTAAGGGGACGAGCCTTAGGAACACCTGGGGAAGGACTGCACTGGGCAGGAGGAAGGGCAAGAGCAAAAGTCCTGAGGCAAGAAGAAGCGCGGGCGTGGATTGCAGGAACAGAAAGGCAGACAGCTTGGAGGAAGTGAGTGAAGGGGGTGGGGAGAGAGGAGTTGAGGTGGGCAGGGGCCCTTCAGAATGAGGCATCTTGAAGCTGGCTCGCTTTGCTGGCCTTCTCTGTGGCCTCCCAGGCTTGGGTCGTTAGTACCCTGGACAGCGGCCTTGGCCCTCCTGAGCGCTTGCCGTGATGGGCACTCCCTACTGAGCACACAACTTATATTAAGTCTGTTTCTGGGCAGTGAAATGGGGATGGGGAAACAGATGATATTGCAATGATTGGCCCCTGCCCACAGGAAGCACACAGTCATTGGACAAGACGTTAATGTACAGTTTAATGAATTTTTTCTTTTTTTTTGAGGCAGAGTCTTGCTCTTTTGCCCAGGGTGGAGTGCAGCAGCTTGATCTCGGCTCACTGCAACCTCAGCCCCCAGGTTCAAGCCTTAGCCTCCTGAGTAGCTGGGATTACAAGCATGCACTACCACACCCAGCTAATTTTTTGTATTTTTAGCAGAGACAGGATTTCACCATGTTGGCCAGGCTGGTCTCAAACTCCTGGCCTCAAGTGACCCAGCCTCAGTCTCCCAAAGTGCTGAGATTACAGGTGTGAACCACCACCCCTGGCCAGTTTAATGAATCTTGATCGAGTGAACATCTGTGCATTCACCACTTGGGTGGAGATGTCAAAGGCACCCAGAAGCCCCACCCCGTGTGTCCCTTTCCAAACATACTCCTTCCTCTCTGCTGGAGGTAACTACAATTCTCACTTTTGGGATAATCATTTATTTGATTTTCTGCATGTGTATCATTTAATATGTTCTAATTTTAATTAAAAAAATGAGTACAGGCCAGGCACAGTGGCTCATGACTATAACCCCAGCATGTAGGGAGACTGAGGAGGGAGGATCGCTTGAGCCCGGGAGTTCAAGACCAGCCCATGCAACATGTTGAAATCCTGTCTCTACCAAAAAGTACAAAACTTAGCTGGGTGTGGTAGCATGTGCCTTTGGTCCCAGCTACTCAGGAGGCTGAGGTAGGAGGATTGCTTGCTGGGGGGTGGCAGTTGCAGTGAGCTGAGATTGCACCACTGTACTCCAGCCTGGTTGACAGAGTGAGACGACCCTGTCTCAAAAACAAAAACAAAAACAAATAAAAAACCCCCCAAACCCCAAACCCCCACCAAAAAACAAGTACAATCTCATTATTAAAACTAAAGTGCTGGCCGGGCACAGTGGCTCATGCCTGTAATCCCAGCACTTTGGGAGGCCCAGGCAGGAGGATCACAAGGTCAGGAGATTAAGACTATCTTGGCTAACACGGTGAAACCCCATCTCTACTGAAAATACAAAAAATTAGCCTGGTGTGGTGGCACGTGCCTGTAATCCCAGCTACTCGGGAGGCTGAGGCAGGAGAATCCCTTGAACCCGGGAGGCAGAGGTTGCAGTGAGCCAAGATCACACCACTGCACTCCAGCCTGGGTGACAGAGTGAGACTCTATCTCAAAACAAACAAACAAACCAAAACTGAAGTTACTACAAAAGAGGTTATAATTAGTTACCTTCCAGACCATTTTTTCTGCATTTGCTTAATACTTGTACGCCCATAGAAAAGATACAGTTTTTAAAAATAGATGTATGTGTTTTACATCAATGATATCAAGTTGTATAAATTGTTCTGCAACTTGCTTTTTCACTTAACAGTGTCTTGGAGAACTTTTCATGTCCGCAATCCATAGATCAGTCTCATTCTCTTTCATAACTGCATAGTATTCCTGAGTATGAATGTATTATAATTTACTTAGCCACTGTCCTATCGGTGGCATCTAGACTGTTTCTTATTTTTCTCAACCTCAAATCTTGATGTAGTTAGTGAACATGTTTGTTCTTAGGGCATGGTAGCAAATATTAAATTTAAGATTAATTAAGTTCCTGGCCAGGCGTGGTGGCTCTTGCCTGTAATCCCAGCACTTTGGGAGGCCAAGGCAGGTGGATCACTTGAGGTTGGGAGTTCGAGACCAGCCTGACCAACATGGAGAAACCCCGTCTCTACTAAAATACAAAATTAGCCAGGTGTGGTGGTGCATGCCTGTAATCCCAGCTACTCGGGAGGCTGAGGCAGGAGAATCGCTTGAACACAGGAGGCAGAGGTTGTAGTGAGCCAAGATTGTGCCATTGCACTCCAGCCTGGGCAACGAGAGCAAGACTCCTTCTCAAAAAAAAAAAAAAAAAAAAAAAAAGATTAATTAAGTTCCTGTCAGCCAATTTTACTGCCCCCATTTCACAGATGAGGAGCTTGAGGCTTAGAGAGAGAAGTCACCTGCCCAGGGTCACACAGCAAATGAATGGAGGAACCAGATTCCAAACCCTCATCTGATTGACTACCAAACTAGTCATTATGTTCACCTGTATAGATGGTTAACCATCTGCAGGGCAGTTGTCCTTACCCAACAAACATTCCTGGAGCCTCAGCTAAATGCAGGCCCAGTGCTGGGTGCTGAGTCTACAAGAACATGTCAAACTGAGCCCTCTTCTCAAGGAGCTCACAGTCTGTAGGTACAGCCTCATTGGGAAGTGATTCAGTGCAGTACAATTAGTGCTAAAGCCCGGGGATACTACCTGGAGCTGTGGCAAGACTGAGGTCAGGGAAGGCTTCCAGAGAGAGGATATTTGAGCAGAGGCTGGTGTGTACAGAATTTGTGGCAGACAAAGCAGGCATGAGGGATGGGACACATAGGGGAGCCCAAGTTATTGAACAGAGGAGAAAGGTGAGCTCTGAGGGTGAGATAGCTGAGGAGGTTGAGAGGCACCATATCCACTTGGGTTTGGAGAGCCAGCCTTGGATTTTATTCTGTGGACCATGGGTGCCTGGAAGGATTTATTCATTCAACAAGTAAGGTTCAAGCATCAACTATATGCCAGGCACTGTTAAAGCACCAAGAATACCACAGTGAACAAGACAGAAAAGGACACCTGTCTTCAGAAAGCTTACATTTTAGAGGGTGAAAGAGACAGTAAAGCAAATAGGCGGCAATTGAATTTCAGAGTGCTCTGAAGGAAATAAAACTGGGAATGGAGTGGAGCATGACTAGGGAGGGTTTCTCTGAGGAGTGGCCTTTGAGTGGAGTCTTGAAGGATGAGAGGAAGGGGAGGAGGTGGGGAACAGCATTCAAGGGGGCTGGCAAGGTTGAAGGCCCCATGTTGGGGACAAAATTAGCTTCCTCCAGTGTGGCTGAGGTGTGGTACTCCTGTGGCCAGCGGGGAGGTCCTGTAGGGCCCTGGAGGCCACAGTAAGGGGACTGGGTTTGTCCTGGGGGCAGCAGGACTGGAGGGCTCTGGACCAAGGCCATGGGCTCTTGCTTTTCAGCCTTTGGACAGCTCCCTGCGCTGGGATGACAGCGGCGGCCTCTGAGCCTGCAGAGTTGGTGCTGCGCCCAGTGGGAGCTAGAGAACAGGAAGTGCGCATGTGGGCTGTGGAAAGCCTGGGGGCAGCAGCAAGGGGGCTAGGGACTCCTGGGCCAAGGGCAGAGCCTCATTGAGGAAGACCCAGGGCCAGGCGCCTGCTCCCACAGGTCATTCAGAGACCCTGGTGAGCACATGGCAGTGGATGCCAAGGGACCCTGTTCCTGGGGGATCTGCAGTCTGAATGAGACTCACACAAGCCAGGTTGAGGAGCAGTGAGCTCAACAAAACAGCTGAAGCACAAGCTTTGGGGTCAACAAGCCTCTGGGTTCACTCCAGCCTCATTGTGTGACTGTGGGCCTCAGCTTCCTCATCTTTAAAGTGAGGATGATAATGGTCTCTCCCTCATAAGATGACAGTGAGGAGTAAGTGGGTTGCCGAGTATACCCAGCCAGGGCCTCTTTAGAGTAGGTTGGCCATGCTTTACCTCCCTATTTGTCAATGGCCAGTTGAGCCGTCAGTCCATCTCACCCGTTCTTGTTTCTTTCAAGCTACAGAATGTTAGAGCTGGGGCCGGGCCACAGTGGCTCATGCCTGTAATTCCAGCACTTTGGGAGGCTGAGGTGGGTGGATCACTTGAGGGCAGGAGTTTGAGATCAGCCTGGCCAACATGGTGAAACCCTATTTCTACTAAAAATACAAAAATTAGCTGGGCATGGTGGCGCATGGTTGTAGCCCCAGCTACTCAGGAGACTGAGGCAAGAGAATCACTTGAACCCAGGAGGTGGAGGTTGCAGTGAGCCAAATAAAGTAAAATAAAATAAAAGAATGTTCAAGCTGGAAGAAGTCTTAGAGTGCTTCTCCAGCCCATCTCAGACATATATCTGGGGAAACTGAGGTCCAGGGAGTTCAGGGGGCTGGCCCTAGGTCACTAGAGGGCGAATTTCAGAACAGGGACTGGTTGGTCTTCTTTTATTTGTTGGTTTGTTTTTCAGAGACAGTCTCGCTCTGTCACCCAGGCTGAAGTAGAGTGGTGTGATCTCAGCTCACTGCAACCTCCGCCTCCTGGGTTCAAGCGATTTTCCTGCCTCAGTTTCTCAAGTAGCTGGGACTACAGGCGTGCGCCACCATGCCCAGCTAATTTTTGTATTTTTCAGTAGAGATGGGGTTTTATTGTATGTTGGCCAGGCTGGTCTTGAACTCCTGACCTCAGGTGATCCGCCCTCGTCGACCTTGCAAAGTGCTGGGATTACAGGTGTGAGCCACCACACCCGGCCAGTTAGTCTTCTTTTATCTTCTTTGAGCCACATCACAGTGCTTCTTTTCTTACATGAGGCGAACTGGGAATTCTGGTGGATGTGGAAAATTGGCTGTGGTGGGGAGATATGATGAGGAATGTTTGTATCCATGTGAATTTGTTAAGCATCTGCTGACTTCTGGTCCACAGACCTTGCTTCTTGGAAGATGCTGCTTCCTGACTTTCCCCCTGGAACTGACCCAAGTGTCTTCCCCCTGCTTCCCTTCTCACTGTGTCTTTCAGTGATGGCCTCGCATCCACCCAGCCACCCCAGCCCAGCACCCACTTCTCATATCCTGTTCCTGTAGACTCCAGCTTGAATATGTATCCTCATCCTAATCCTCATGGCTCCTTTCTCCCCTGCCGCCTTGGACCACTGTCCCAGCCTCCCCATTGGTCATCCTGTCTCCAGATTCCATGCTACCAGCCGGTCCCCACATTTGTCCCCAGTAGAACTTCCTTACACAGAATGCTTCTGCGCAGAAGCCTTCCACCTGCAACTTCAAATCCAACCTCAAAGGAACTTGAGGACAAACTTGGGAAAGCCAAGTTTGTCTCCACCTTGGGGTCTTCAACCTTGGCAACCCCCTTGAATGCTGTTTCCCACCTCCTGCCCTTCCTTTCATCCTTCAGGACCTCAGGTCCTACCCTGATCTTTCTTACCTGAGCTTAAGCTCTTCCACCTGCCCCAATCTTCTGTGCCAGGAAAGATACTTTAACATACCTGGACCTCATTCTTGACTTCTCCGTGACTCCCATGCCCCACATTCAGCCAATCACCAATTATTGCTTCCTGTCATCATCACCTGATGGTGATGTGGAATTCATCAGCTTCCTCACGCTGACCCCCACACTCCATCCTCTGGTTCTTCACTGCGGCCTCCAAAGCAGCCAGGATTGTCACAAAAGTGTTCATAGAACCATGCCACTCCCCTGCTTGAAACCTTCTCAGGTGTCCCACTGTTCTTGAAGTCCCAAATTCTTACCTTGGCCTGCAAGGCCCTGTGCGATCTGGCCCTGGCCGCCTCTCCACCTCACACCTCGTCTCCTATCTTCTCTTCTTTGTTCACTCTGCTCCAGCTCTATAGGCCTCCTTTCTGATCCTGGAATTGCCACACTGTTTGTTTCCATGGGGCCATCGCCTCCTCTGTTCCCATTGCCTGGAGTGTCTTCCTTCACATTCTTTGCCTCGAGAATACTGTGTCTAATTGCTATGTAAATGTCACTTCCTTGGGACAGTTTTCTGCAACATGCCATCCTTTGTTTACATCAGGTATCCTCCTTCTACTTTTTTTAAGAGTCAGGGTCTCTCTCTGTCACCCAGGCTGGAGTGCAGTGGCATGATCGTAGCTCACTGCAGCCTCGACCTCAAGCAATCTTCCCGCCTCAGCCTCTCGAGTAGCTGGGACTACAGACGCACACCACCACACCCAGCTAAGTTAAAACAATTTTTTTTGTAGAGATGGGGTCTCGATATGTTGTCCAGACAGGTCTCAAACTCCTGGTGTCAAGCAACTCTCCCACCTCAGCCTCTCAAAGCGCCAGGATTACAGGTGTGAGCCACCATGCCCAGCCCCTCCTCTACCTATTCTTGAAATCACTTTTCCTAACTTAGAATTACATATTTATTTGATGGCTTTTTATTTTTTATTTTATTTATTTATTTATTTATTTTAGAGATTGAGTCTTGCTCTGTCACTCAGGCTGGAGAGCAGTGGTGCCATCATAGCTCATTGCAGCCTTGAACTCCTGGGCTCAAGTGATCCTCCTGCTTTACCCTCCAGAGGAGCCAGGACTACAGGGGTATGCCACCATGCCCTGCTAGTTGATAACTTTTAAAAATTATTTCTCCCCCAAAGACTATAAGCTCTATGGGTTGCTTTTAACCACTGTATTCTCTGAGCTTAGCAATGGCTTGGCACATAATAGCATTTATTGGATATTTATTAAGTGATAAATTACCAAGGTATTTTTATCCACTCCAGTCTTCCTCTCAGACTGTTAGCTCCTTGAGGTCAGATTTTAGATCTAGCTCACCTCTGGGTCCTCAGCTCCCAGCACAGGGCTTGGCACTGAGGGACATGAGGAAATGTTTGAATTGAAGGAAATGGGGAAGGGTTGGCCCACCTTCAGCCAGGAGCTGATGGGATCAGGAGTCCAGTGCATTGCCGAATATCAAGAAACTGACTCGAAGGCTGTGGGCGTTGGACTGTGAGCTGCAGAGGTATTCCAGCATTGCTGACTGGACAAGGAGTGGCTGGCTGTTGCTGTTGTCTCCTGAAGGATGGGGAGCATTTCACGCCTCCAAGAAGGAGCTCCATGGCTCAGTACAGAGAGATCAAGCTGTCAGGGGGACAGACCTGGGCTTAAATCCTGACTCCACCACTCATGCTGTGTGACTTGGGGCAGGAGACTTCACCTTTCTGAGGCTCAATTTGTTAGTAAAATGAGGATGATAGCAGACCTTTACCTCCTCAGACTGTCATGAGGACTTAGAAATAATATATTGGTTCAAATAGCACAGAGTAGTCCAGGCACAGTGGCTCACGACTGTAATCTCAGCACTTTGGGAGGCTGAGGCGGGTGGATGGCTTTGAGCCTAGGAGTTCTGAGACCAGCCTGGGCAACATGGCAAAACCCATGTCTCTACTAAAAATACAAAACTAGCTGGATGTGGTGGTGCACGCCTGTGGTCCCAGCTATCTGGGAGGCTGAGGTGGGAGGATGGCATGAGCCTGGGAGGCAGAGTTTGCAGTGAGCCAAGATCATGCCACTGCACTCCAGCCTGAGTGACAGAGCCAGACAGTCTCAAAAAAAAAAAAAAAAAAGGAAAGCATAGACCACAATGCTGTGGGGGCTGCTGCTGCTAATGAAGACAAAGAGGAAGATATATTTTAAGTCCCTGAATGCTGGATACTCCTAAGCAGAACTTGACTTTGACTTAGGGCTGCTGGAGAAGCAAAGGGGCACTTCGGGTCTAGAGGGCAAAGCAGGTGTGTAAACAGGAAATAGGCTTGAGGTCATGTCTGTAATCCCAGCACTTTGGGAGGCTGAGGTGTGTGGATCACATGATCTCAGGAGTTCGAGACCAGTTTGGCCAATGTGGTGAAACCCTGTCTCTCCTAAAAACACAAAAATTAGCCTGGCCTGGTGGTGTGCACCTGTAATCCCGGCTACTCGGGAGGCTGAGGAGGCGTGAGATGCGCTTGAACCCAGGAGGCGGAGGTTGCAGTGAGCCGGGATTGTGCCATTGCACTCCAGCCTGAGCGACAGAGTGAGACTCTGTCTCAAAGGAAAAAAAAAAAAAAAGAGCCTGGACTTTAAAAATAAAGCTAAAGCTTAATTTAATTTTTTTTAAAAGGGGAAATAGGCTTGAGCCTAGAAGCCAGGAAAGTGGGCAAGAGTGGCAAGCAGTGTCTCGGGTGGGCCAGAGCTGAGGCTGGGCATGGTTTGAGGGTCTCTGAGGCCCACTGGGGGACCACATGGCCCTGCAGCAGGAGCAGACACACATCTCTTTGTGTATGTGTTTGTCTGCCACCCCTATCATCCTGTTTTCCTGCCACCCCTATCATCCTGTTTTCCTGCTTGTTTGGGTCCCTAGGTTAGCTTTCCCTAACCCCCCAGAGGCTGCCCCTGGCCTGGGCGCTGCTGAAGCCCCGTGTGCTTAGATGCAGCAAGGGGACTGGGCAGAGGGAGGTGGGTATCATTGAGTCTTGGGCCCAAGTTCATCTCCTGGCCCAGCCATGGACTCAGAGTATGGCCTGAGGCTTGGTCTCCCTGTCTCCTGCCAAGCTAGGGGTCTGAGGAGCCTCTCTGAGCTCCCACATGCCACAGCCCTACAGATGAGGGCAGTGCCTATGGGGAAAGAACCCTTGGGTTCCCTCACAGAGCAAGGATGATGCTGGGGGCTGAGTAGAGAGATCACCAAAGCAGCAGACATTCAGAGAGAGGCTGGGGAACTGAGCCACAGAGAGGGTCCCCAGGGGTGGCCAAGAGGAAGAGGCCATGGCTGGGGGGCCCTGAGGGGTGAAGAATCTCGCTCTGCTGTCCCCGGTGGGCTGGCTGCTCCCCCCCACCACTCCCCGCCGGGCCCCCGGGGGACCTCGCTCTAATAATGTATTTGATCGACTCGCCGGCCGCGTACAAGCGATTATTGTCTTGTCGGGAGTCAAACGTATCGATCCGGCGAGAAATATGAGCGGAGCAATGGGGCCCGCGTGTCAGTTACCAGCCCCGCTGGCCCTGGGGAGCCCCCTACGTCTCCTTTAATTACCGCTCAGCCCTGAGCCCAGCCTGGCCTCCCCTGTACCGCCTCCCTCCCAGCTCCCTGCACCTCAAGTGGCCCCCACTGCTCCCTAGCTCCCATGCCCTACCTGCCTCCCTCAGCATGGCTCGAGGCCTCTTCTGTGGCAACGAGGCCACCATCTCCCCCTGCCTTGAGCCTCCCTGTTCCAGCTGCCAGTGTGTTCCAAACTCTGCCCCTCTATCCTCTCTCAGGCAGGCCCATCCTCCTTCAAGATCCCCTCACCAGGCCCAGCTCTGGTCTGAGGCACTGAGAATGGAGCCAGCATGGGAGGCGAGAGGTGTGGGGTTGTTTCATCTCTCAGGGAGCGTATACAGCCTTCCCCGGCTCCAGGACTGAACTGCAGACCTGGCCGCACTGGAAGTGGGTGGTCCTTCTCTGCTGGCTCTAGGGGGCTGGAATGGGGTCACATCCAAAAGCGTGTTCCTGACGTGGATGATGTTGAGTCTGTCCAGGGTGGAGCATAAGGGTGGCTGGTGAGGTTTTGCCCCCCCCCATAATGTCCTATAGCCCCATTTCCAAGCCCCCCAAAACAAATCCTAACTGAAAACAAAGCTTACTGCGTAAATGTCGCTTTGAGACAAGGCTCCAGTGTCCACTGCTACCAGGCTGCTGTCGGGAAGACCCTCATGTATAGAAATCCTGTGGCCAGTTGCTGTGTGGTCTGTGGATCTCCTCTGTGAAATGGCCTTTACGATACGGGATGTTGTGGAGTGTAGATGCCGGGAAACGGTCACCTCTCGTGTGCATATATGAGAACTGCCAGTCCTTCCTGTTGTGCCCACCTGCTTGCCTGGGTGTGTCTGGGTGCACAGGGCACGTGTGCAGTCAGGGGAGGGCACTCCTGTAGTTGTGCCTGTAGTATACCCTTTCTGAGTGTGCCTGTGTGTGAGTGGGTGCGAGTGGCCAGGAAGTATGCTTGGGCACATATGTGTAGAAGTGCCCTTGTGCCCATGGGTCCATGTGAGGGAGTAGAGGAGGTATCAGTATATGGGAGTGACCATCGTCAGCAGGGAGGGCTGGTGTTGGGGCCTGTGCACATAGATGTGTTCATGCACGTGTGTGTGCACACGTGTGTGTGTGTGAAGTGCTGGGGTTCATCTGTAGAAATACTTGTGTGTGTGAGGGTGAGTCCAGGCGTCTGTGCATGCACCTGTGGTTTAGGGGGCCCCCCAGCCACGGGGCGCAGGATGTCCTGCGGGGCCCAGGCGGGCATGTGGGGTGTCTGGAGACGCCAGGCAGCCCCACAGCCTCAGACCTCGGGCACCAAGAGGAAGAGGGCAGCGGACTCGGGCGCGCCTTTGTCTGAGCTGCGGTGCGCCGGGAGTCCTGCGCCTTTGTGTGACCCTCGCAGGTGTGCGAGCGGAGGTGTTGGGAGGGTGTTGGGGAGGGGAGCGGAGGGAGGGGCTCCCTTCTCCGCAGCCGGCCCCGCCCTCCGGCCCATTGGCTGGGCGCTGCCGCCCTCTGGCGGGCACGGAGGGAAGCGCTGAAATGGGAGCGCCGCAGCGCGAAGAGCCAGCCGGCAGCCCGGGGACCTGGTGCTCCCCTCCACTGGAGCCGCCTCGGGCGCCCGCATTTGGCCGGCGACTTATTGTAGCCCCAGGCCAAGTCCCCGACCCACCGTCCCCACTACCACTGCCCACGGGCACCACTTCCTCCCAATGGTGGCACCCAACAGCTCACCTGCAGATAGGCGCAGGGCTTGCTTGATCTTCCCTGCCGCGGCGTGCTTTTAAGCTTCAACGCTTCTTGGCTCTGGGCCTTTGGGAAAGCTACTGCTCACCTCTCTGATCCTCAGTCTTTTCATCTGTAAAATGGGGCAAATAAGAGTGACCACCACATTGGAGATGGCACCTGTCAAGAGTGAGGCACAGGGTCAGGCATCGGCAAAGCCCTCTCTCCAATAAGCTGCTGGCTAGTGTTTTATTGTTGTTACTGCTGTGGACCCACCTTCTCTCCCAGACCCCCATTCCCTGTTCCAGACTTGTTTGCCTCCATGGGGGCGACAGAAGTCGGGGGGCAACTGTTGCAGGCACCTCTTGGATCGCAGCCGTAGGAGTCGGCTCTTCCAGCCTGCTTATCCTCTGCCCCACTAGCCCCCACCCCCCAGCACACACACATGATTTGGGGTGGGCCGGGCTGCCGGGGCGGGTCTGTGGGCCAGGGTATTTTCCCTTCTGAAGGGGGCGGACCGGCCCTGTGGTTTCCTCCCTGAGTGACTTCCGGCAGGGAGGGCTCGGCCCCCAGAGAGGGTGGGGAGATGACACAGTTGTTCCCCCAGCCCTGGCGGGGCGGGCAGCATGGTTCACTCCAGCATGGGGGCTCCAGGTAAGGGGGCTGGTGCCTGTGCCACTGCTCAGAGGACAGGCAGCACATTTAGGTTTGCTCTGCGGGCCCTGCCTGCCCCTCCTCCTCAGCTGTCTCCATTGTCCTTCTCCTCTGTACTCTAGCAACTCCCTCTCTCCCATGCCGGGTCCCCGCTAACCCCCACAGCTCCTCTTTGCCCTCTCTTTCCACATCAGGCACCGGAACTTCCAACATCTTCTCTTCTCTGTTGCCCTGTTCCGAAGGGTCTGGGGACGGGAGGGAGGGAGCTGGGTGTTGGTAGCGGGCCCTCATGTGGAGAACCAGTGGGGTGGGTGACATGGGCAATCCTTGGATAAGGGCTGCAAAGGGATTGGAATGCCAAGTTGCTGGACTTGGGGGATGTCATTCCCTTTTGAGTGTGTGTGTGCACATCTGGTACAGGTGTGCGTGTGCATGTGTGTGTGCAGTAGTTCTGAGTGCTCTGAGTGGGACTGCTGTGTGCTTGTGAGTGTAGGGGGCTGTTGTGTGTGGCATTGTGGGGTGATGATTGCCTGGCTCCCTTCTTCACTTCATTCACCTCAGATGTCACCTCCTCAGGGCAGCCTTCCCTGACCTCCCCATCTAAACTGGCACTGATCCTGTCACTCTCAGTCCCCTCACCCTGCTTTATCTTTTCTTCACGGCACGTATCACTGCTGGGAATTTCATTATGTGTTTGTTTGTGTGCTTATTAAATGCCTTCTCCACCAAATGTCAGTTGGCTGAGTGAACATTGTGCACCAGGCACTGTACAAGGTGATTTATAGCTGTTGGCTCATTTAGTAGAATGTGTATATGTCTGTATGGTGATGGCTATCACTCAGCAGTGTTGATGGGAGTCTTAAATGAGGTAATACATGTAGCATGCTTAGCACAGTGCCTGGAACATGGCAAGCACTCAGCCCTTCATGCCTGTTTCATTTGTGGCTGTGTAGGCATGACCATGGGCATGAGTCTTGGTTTGGTGGTGTGTGCTGTCCTATATGCGCCATTGTGTGCGGGCACCCGTGTGTCCTCCACCAACATGTATCTATTGAGTAGTTCTGTGTTGGGTGTTGGAAGTACAGTGGAAAGGGTAGCTCAGGTCTGTCCTCCTGGAGCTCCCAGTTTATTGGAGAAGACAGACCTGTCACCAATGACAGTACAGACAGGTCAGGGCTGGGATGGGGGAGGTCCAGGCAGAGGGATCAGGGCTGGGATGGGGGAGGCCCAGGCAGAGGGGTCAGGGCTGGGATGGGGGAGGCCCAGGCAGAAGGGTCAGGGCTGGGGTGGTGGGCACAGGCAGAGGTGTCGGGGTGGGATGGGGGGACAAAGGTAGAGGGGTTGGGGCTGGGATGAGGGAGGCCCCAAGCAGAGGGGTCAGGGCTGGGGTTGGGGAGGCTCAGGCAGAGGGGTCAGGGCTGGGATGGGGGGACATAGGTAGAGGGGTTGGGGCTGGGATGGGGGAGGCCCAGGCAGAGGGGTCAGGGCTGGGATAGGGGGACATAGGTAGAGGGGTTGGGCCAGGACGGGGAGGTATTAGGGGATCGTAGGAGCCCTGAAAACATGTGATTTAGTTGGTAGAGTGTCAAGGAGGGCTTCCTGGAGGAAGGGGGTGTCTGAGCAGGGATATGAAGAATGAGTGGGTATGAGCAAGCAAAGGCGGTGAGGAGAGGGGTGGGATGAAAGGAAGACTATTTGCAGGGTGACATGTTTATTTGTTGAGGTGACTGTGTATGCAACTGTGTATATGTGTGTGTGTCCATACAGTGTAGACACAGAGATCCAGGGTGTCTGCTCCCACTGACTCGTTCCTCTCTGGGGTTAAATGGGGACCTCAGAGGTGCTGGGCAGTAGGCTAAACCCTTTACTTGGGATTTCTCACAGAACAGCCCAGTGTGGGAAGACTGGGGTGAATTTTCCCTGCCTGGACATGAATTAATACACTGTGTGGCTGTGGGCAGATCACTCACCCTGCCTGGTCTCAGACTCCACACCTGTGAACTGGGTTCAGAGGTCAGCCCTGGCCATCTTCCAGGATAAGGTGACTCTGGGTGTATGTGTGTGCACTTGTGTTTGTGTGTGTGACTCTGTGTGAGCATGTGCATGTCTGGGTGTGTATCTCTGGCTGGACTGATGTGACTTGGTGTGAGAACATGTGTAAGTACATGTGTGCGTACACATGTCTGAGTCTGTGAGTGACTGGGTGTAGTATGTAGGGGGAGGGTGTATGTCTGTGTTCGACTCCGGGTGTGTGAGTTTGTATACTTTTTACGTGTGTCTGGCTGGCTGTGTGTCACTCAGTGTGAGAGTGTGTGTGAGTGCATGTGTGTACGCACGTTTGGGTGTGTGTTTTGCATATATGCCCGTGGCATCATGTCTGGGCATGTGTCGTATCTGCAAACCTGTTCACATTCCTGTCTGGAATCTGTGCACATCTGTTTCTTGTATTGTGTTGGCCGGGGCCTTGCCTGGCTGTGGCCATGGGGTGTGTACTGTTGGCAGCTCTTGCCTGCTGTCAGCGCAGCTGTGGGGCCACCTCTCTTGTTGTGTCTGCTGCCTGTATCTCCATCCCTCCCTCCTGACAACTCAGAAATGTTCACTCCCTTGAGGCCACCCAGGGACAGCTGTGGGGTGGGGAGGGGTGAGGTGCTGCTTCTGGGGAGGACGGGGGCTCGGCCAGCTGGGCCCACAGAGGTTCCCGGCAGCACCAACCTGCCCACAGGGGCTCCCAGGCCATACCCCTAATTGAAGCAGGCTGCGGAGGCAGGGGACCCAGGGGACAGGACAAGTGGGGCCAGGAGGGGTGAGGGGCAGTCCTTGGGCCCTCTATATTTAGCCCCGTTTTCGGTAAGTGCTAACGAGAAGCTGGCCTAAGTCTGCTAAAACTGGCGGGGGGAAATGCAGAGGAGAAGTGAAAGTCCGGGGAGGGAGGAGTGGGAGGGTGGAGAGGACCAAGAGTCCCAGGCCTGGGGCAGTCGGGCAAGTGAGTGTGAGCTCAGGGCTGGGCAGCCCTGGTTGAGGGGTGTCTGACCTGAGGAAGGTGGGATTCAAGGGGCAACATGGCTCCAAGGGGCCTGGTAGGGCTATGCATTGCTTTTTCTCTTTCAGTTCCCCTAAAATATTACACATTACCTATGATGAGGGGTGGGAATAGCCATACATAACCAACCAATCTTTTGTGTGTGAATGAGGCTTTGAGAGGGGCTTCTGAAGGTGCCAGGGGATGGAGCACATTAGAATCACCAGGAGGGGGCTGGGTGCGGTGGCTCATGCCTGTAATCCCAGCACTTTGGAATGCTGAGGTGGGCGGATCACTTGAGGTCAGGAGTTCGAGACCAGCCTGCCCAACATGGTGAAACCCCGTCTCTAATAAAAATACAAAAATTAGCCGGGCATGGTGATGCATGCCTGTAATTGCAGCTACTCGGGAGGCTGAGGCAGGAGAATCGCTTGAACCCAGGAGGCAAAGGTTGCAGTGAGCTGAGATCATACCATTGCACTCCAGCCTGGGCGACAGAGTGAGACTCTGTCTAAAAAAAAAAAAAGAGAATCACCTGGAGGGGCTTTTAAATATCTGGATGCCCAAGTCACACCCTGTACCACTGAAATCAGAGTCTAGGGTGGGAACAGGCATCAATATTTTTCTAGAGTTGAGTGATAGGCGATGGGCATCTCTGCCTGGGCTCAGGCTGAGGCTGAGGCCGAGCCATTTGATGGACCCTCCAAGTCTATGATTGCTAGTGCCCTGGAGTCCCTGTTAAGGCGTCATTTGGCTTTTAGTCCACGGTGGAAATGGAGCTCCCTGTTCATTCCTGGTGGAAATGATCTGACCCTTCTCTCAGATTGAGCTCTGACAGGGGAGGTGGAAAGAGAAAAGACAAAGGGCAGCAGTTGGCCATTTTGTTGTGACCCAGCCAAGTGTGGGGCAGGGAGTATGCAGGGATATGTAGGAGTGGTTGGGATAATTTAGGGAGAATAAGGGTAACAGAATGGTGAAAAATTTCCCTCAAACCACTCTTGTCTTTCCAGCCACAGTCTCTGCAGAGGAAATCATACCTTAAAGATTTAAGTTAGGGTTTCTTGGGGATGTTGGGTGACAGTAGAGATAGGGGTTTGTTTTAGACAGGATTGGGCCCTGGTCAGTTAGGGGATTCTTTAATGCATTCATTCATTCCAAAGACGTACTCCTAGGCCTGTGCAGCAATGACTCCAGCCTGGGCTCCTGAGGAGCCCACAGTTGGGGTGGAGGTCTCTGCCCAGGATGATCAGGATGTGGTGGAGCACAGTACAGGGTCAGTGAAGCCCAGAAGAGAGAGACACTGACCATCTGGGGAATCAGAGAGTACTTCACAGAGGAGGTGACATTTGAGCTGGACCTTAAAGAGGAGCAAGAGTTTGCCAGTAGAGAAGGAAAGGGTCACCCAAGTGGGAGACGAGCAGAGGCAAAGGCCTGGGGGAGGGAGATCAGGACCTTGGGGCCACTGATCCACATGTCTTCTGCTGGGGAGTGTTTAGGAACCTGAGATCAGATCTGCCCTTGAAAAATTCCTAGTCTGATAGGGGAGACATAGTGGGGCCCGGCTAGCTACAGTCAGCCTCTAAGACAGTGACAAGGGAAGGTGCTAGGGTATGGGGAGCTGGAGAGAGACCTGGCTGGGAGCTGGGGGCATCAAGGTGGTGGTTTCATAGAAAACAGAGCTTATGGCCGGGCGTGGTGGCTCACGCCTGTAATCCCAGCATTTTGGGAGGCTGAGGTGGGCAGATCATGAGGTCAGGAGATTGAGACCATCCTGGCTAACACAGTGAAACCCCTTCTCTACTAAATATACAAAAATTAGCCAGTCGTAGTGGCGCGCACATGTAATCCCAGCTATTTGGGAGCCTGAGGCAGGGAATTGCTTCAACCCAGGAGACCTCTGGAGCTTGCAGTGAGCCGAGATCCCACCACTGCACTCCAGCCTGGACAACACAGCAAGACTCCATCTCAAAAAAAAAGAAAAGAAAACAGAGCTTATGCTGGGTTCTGAAGGATGAGTCCGGGGGTCGCCAGGTGGACAGATTGGGGAACAGTGTTCCAGACAGAGGGAACAGCCCATGCCAAGGCCTCAGGAAATGTTTTAAATGGCAAAGTGCAGGCATGGTGGCTCATGGCTGTAATCCCAGAACTTTGGGAGGCCAAGGCATGAGGATCATTTGAGCCCACGAGTCTGAGACCAGCCTGGACAACATAAGGAGACCCGTCTCTACAAAAAAAAAAAATTTTTTTTTTAATTAGCTGGATGTGGTGGTGCACAGCTGTAGTCCCTGGATGTGGTGGTGCACACCTGTAGTCCCAGCTACTCAGGAGGCTGGGATGGGAGGATAGCTTGACCCCAGGAGGTCGAGGCTGCAGTGAGCCGTGATTGTGCCACTGCATTCCAGCCTGGCCGACAGAGCAAGACTCTTGTCTCAAAATATAAATTAAATAAAATAAATAGCAGGGAGACAGTAAGACAAGGGTGAGAAGTAGTAGGAAACAGAGACTGCTAAAGAGAGGGACATTCAGCAGTTACAACCCGTTCTGGGCTTGTGATGCTGGGGACCCAGTGATGAGTCAGACCAGGCCTGTCGCATTGGTCTTGTGGGGAAGGAACCTGGACACAGACAGCCACAACTGGGGGCTCAGGGATGGGACAGCAGGAGGGCAGGGGCTGTGAGAGGCTTAGTTTGCTAGGGCTTCCACATCAAAGTACCACAGACTAGGTGGCTGAAATAAGAGAAATTCATTTTCACAATTACGGAGGCTGTAAGTTAAAGACGAGGATGTCAGCAGGGTTGGTCTCTTCCAAGGCCTCTCTCCTTGGCTTGTGGTCCACTGGTCTTCTCCTGGGTCTTCATATGGTCTTCCCTCTGTTCCCATCTGTGACCTAATTCCCTCTTTTTCTTCTTTTTTTTTTTTTTTGAGATGGAGTCTTGCTCTGTCACTCAGGCTGTAGTGCAGTGGCACGATCTCGGCTGCCTGCAACCTCTGCCTCCTGGGTTCAGGTGATTCTCCTACCTCAGCCTCCTGAGTAGCTGGGATTACAGGCACACACTACCATGCCCGGCTAATTTTTGTATTTTTAGTAGGGGTAGGATTTCACATTGTTGGTTAGGCTGGCCTCAAACTCCTGAACTGGTGATCTGCCCACCTCGGCCTCCCAAAGTGCTGGGATTACAGGCATGAGCCACCGCGCCCGCCCCCTCTTCTTATAAGGATGCCAGTCAGATTGTAGTAAGGTCCACCCTAATGACCTTATTTTACCTTAATTACGTCTTTAAAGACCCTATCTCCAAATACAATTACATTTTGAGGTATCAGGAATTAGGACTTCCGTGTATGAATTTTGGTAGATGCAACTTAGCCCATAGCAGAGGTTAAGGATGAGTGTGGACTTTCTGGGCTGGCAGTGGGGTCCGAGGCTGCCCTGTTCTGTGGACGGGAGAGGGATGCCCAGCTAGGTGGGAGTGTAGAACCTGCACAGCCTGCTGTCAAGCAGACCCCCAAGCAGGGGGAGATGCTCGACATGGGTGAAGAGCACTGTGCATGAGCTGCAAGAGAAGAGCAGTACAGGGTGGTGGGCCAGCCCCTGGAGGCCAGGTTGTTTATTTCTCCAGGAGATAGGGAGGAGCCAGGAAAGGATTGCCCTGAGGCAATGTGGAGCTCCGCTGGAGGGACGGAGGCCAGAGGAGGCTGGGGCTGCAGTTTTAGGGATGCTAGGAGGGGTGGGATTTAGGACCGGGTTAGAGTTAGTGGCTGCCTGAAGTAGGGCTAAGGTCTGGGTGAACTAGAGCTAGGATCAGGCAGGATTCCCGCCTTTACTGCTCCAAAGTCAGGACACACTTGCTGCCCAGCTCCCTTCTTGTCCTTCTTATATCTTGTATCAGTAGCCATTTAATGCCCTGTCCCCAGGGCCAGGAAACAGGACCTGAACTCTGGTAGCGTCCTGGGCACCCACTCCCCACCCCCACCCTCAACAGTCTACATCTTTTTTTTTTTTTTTGAGACAGAGTCTTGCTCTATTATCCAAGCTGGAGTGCAGTGGTACAATCACGGCTCACTGTAGCCTCAATCTCCTGGGCTCGAGCGACCTTCCCATCTCAGCCTACTGAGTAGCTGGGACTGTAGGTGCCCACCACCATCATGTCCGGTTAACTTTTTTATTTTTTGGAGAGACGGGGATTTCACTATGTTGCCCAGGCTGGTCTCAAACTCCTAGCCTCAAGTGATCTACCTGCCTTGGTGCAGTGTGCATCTTAATGGGACTGTGTGCTGGCGTTTTGCTTTTTAGCTTTTAAATGTTTTCTTGCTTGTTAAAACATAACGTATATAGAGTAAAGTGCTCAAATTTTAAGTGTATAGCTTGATGAATTTTTGCTTATGTAAGGACCCTGTAACCACCAAACAAGATCCTTTCTTACCTGGTGCAGGCTTCCTCATGCCCTTTCCCAGTCAGTACCCCCAAGGTGCTCACTCATCTGACTGTGATCATCTGCTATCAGCTTGCCCGTTTTTGAATTTCCTGTAATTGGAATCATAAATTATGTCTGCCTTTGTGTTTGGCATCTTTCATTCAGCCTCATGTCTCCAAGCTTCGGCCATGTGTATGAAGCAGGAGTTTGTTCTTTTTCATTACTGTGGCATATTTCATTGTATGGACATACCACATTTTATTTATCCATTCACCTGTTGACGGCCCCTTAGGCTGTTTCCAGTTTGGGGCCATTATGAAAGACTGCAGAAGAATTCTGCCCATGTCCTTTGATGGGCAGGACACGTGTTTCTTTTGGGCAGATGCCCAGGAGTGGACGTGCTGCATCTTAGGGAGAGGGCATCTTTTCAGCTTTTCTGAGTGGTGCTTGTATCAATTTACACTCCCACCAGCAATGCATGACCTGTTTTTTTAATTAGGAATTTAAAACTCAAGCAGCATTTCACATTGAATAATACTCAATTGCAAGATTTCTAGACTTTTTTTTTTTTTTACAGTTACTGAGTTCTTCCTATTTCTTATCCCTTACTTTAGCTCCATTCTTTTTTTTTTTCTTTTTTTTTTTTTTTGAGACAGGGTCTCACTCTGTCACCCAGGCTGGAGCGCAGTGGTGCAGTCACAGCTCACTGTAGCCTTGACCTCCTGGATTCAAGCGATTCTCCTGCCTCAGCCTCCCCAATAGCTGGGACTACAGGTGCGTGCCATCATGCCCAGCTAATTTTTGTGTCTTTAGTAGAGATGGGGTTTCTCCATGTTGCCTAGGCTGGTCTTGAACTCCTGGGTTCAAGAGATCTGGCTGCCTCAGTCTCCCAAAGTGCTGGGATTGCAGGCGTGAACCACTGTGCCTGGCTTAGCTGTCTTCTTTAAGTATCTTGGTGCAGAGAACACTAGAGTTGGACAGCTCCTTTAGTAGGAGTGGGGTCATGGTTTAGGCAGGGATTTTGGAGTGAGTTGTGGGAAGAGTTTGGATCAGGGACAGGATCTCAGGACAGTTGGGAGTCAAGGTCAGATGAAGGACTTGAGCCATCTGGGCACAACTTGGGATTCAAGGTGAGTAAGTGGACTAAGGATGGGTCAGGCTGAAGCCCAGATTTGTCCTGGGGTCTAGGACCAGGAAGGGTTGGATTCAGTTTCAGGATGAGCTTGGGCGAGGGAACTGTTGGAGATGAGATGGCTGGAAGTCAGGACTAGGGGACATTAGACTAGAGTGGATCCGATTAGAAGTAGGAGCCCAGCAGTCATGAAGACCAGGGGTCCAATCAGGGCACATCTGCTGTCTTGCTGTGCTTTTGGGGAGGTGACATCCCTTCGTGGAGCCTCAGTTTCCTCCTCTGTAAAACGGGGTAATATTAGCACTAACCGCTAATGTGAGCTGTGAGTCATATCTAGCTCTATGCTTGGCACTGGTGAGCACTCGCCTTTCTGTGAAAAGTATCAGAGCGCTTTGAGGACAGGCATTTGTCTCCGTGGGTTTATGTGCTTGCTGCCTGCCACCCTCCCTTGGCCACCTCCTTTCATTTCCTGGGCCTAGGGAGCTATAGAATGGGGTTGTATTACAGGGGTGGACTTGAGACTGCAGCTGGGGCTCAAGCGTGAAGTCCCAGATCAGGTTTAGATTGGAGGACAAGCTCAGGGGTAGAGCCAGATGGAGCTGAGGTTACAGAGGATGAGGTTGGGTCTGCTAGGCCGGTGTGCTAAACATAGGAAGAAAGTCCAGGTGGGAGTAAGATGTGGATGGGGAAAGTGGTGGGGTGGGAAGAGGGCCAGAGGGCGGCTGAATCACACATGCTGAGATCTGACAACTGCCTCCTTTGGGGACGCTGCAGCCCCATCACATCTCTGAGGCCCCACTCAGAGTGGAAAACATGTCTCACCCGAAACCTGGTAGGGCAGGACGGGAGCCTGGGCGGCCCGCCCCAGGAGGAGGCCCAAGGCTGCTCTCCCTCCTTTGGGACGTCACCAGCCTCCTCCTGGGCAGCTGATACCTTCTCACGACCACCTTCCATCTCCTGCCCTGCCCTTTGCTGCACTGTGGGTAACACCCCTGTGTTACTTTCTGGAGAGGTGAAAGGATAAGGCAAGATCCCCCAAGGCCTAAGTGCTGTGTCTCATCTTGCCAGAGGAGGGCAGAGGCCCAGAACGGAGGACATGTCTCTTGGGAAGAGACACTTCCAAGGTGGCTGGGGGTAAGGGGGGAATTTGGGGGAAAGGCTTGGGGAGTGTGGTGGAATGGGGGCCCGAGAGCCCTCCTGGATTCCCCTCCTTCACCCCACTTCCATTCCTCCTCTGTCCCCAGAAATAAGAATGTCTAAGCCCCTGGAGGCCGAGAAGCAAGGTCTGGACTCCCCATCAGAGCACACAGGTGGGTGGGCAGGGAGCAGGGGGGCAGGGGTCACCGTGGGCAGGGGAAGTGGGACAGATGGGAAGAGAGCTGGGAGGGGACAGGTGTGGTGGGGGTGGCTGATGACAACACATCCTTTCCCTCTCTTTGCAGACACCGAAAGAAATGGACCAGACACTAATCATCAGGTTAGGAGGGAGTGGATAAGCGGGAGGGGGTGGGAAGGAATGGGGAGAGGGGTTCAGAGGGGGCTCTGTGCCGCCTATGGTAGGAGGGCAGGGAGCGGGGGTGGTCAGAAGCTGCTTCACTGCACTATTCCCATCCCCTTGCTCCTACTTTCTCTTTGCAGAACCCCCAAAATAAGACCTCCCCATTCTCCGTGTCCCCAACTGGCCCCAGTACAAAGGTAAGCACCTGTCAGAACAGCCAGGGAAGTGGGCAGCGCTTGGAAGAGGGTCCTCAGGAGGCCTGCCTCAGTCCAAGGGCTGAGAGAGCACTGAGCCTTGGTACCTTGGTAACGAGGTTCCTCCCGCCCCTTCTCACTCTTGGGCTCCCACCCCAGGCCTGTGACTCACGCAGGCTCCTTCCCCTTCCCTAGGGGGTGGGGGTGGCTAGGGAAATCCCCCCCAGAGCCCCAGGGCGATGAACAACAGGAAGCCAAAGGCCCGCCCCCATCCCAACTTCCCTGACCCAACAGAGGCCTGCACCACCGCCTGTCCCCCAATATACACATTTAGCGGCCAGCTGAGGTGGGGGTGGGGGGGCTGGTACCAGTTGAGGATAGCTGTAGGAATGCAGGAGAGAATGACAGGGAGGCCGGAAGCAGCCAGGCAGTGCAAATTCCACATCCAGATGGGGCCCTGTGCCTGGCATTCTGGGCTTCTTGGGGTTGCCTGGGCTCCAGTCTCCACCCTCCAGCCTGGTCCAGGGGTAGCAGGCAGGTCCAGAGGCTTGAAGGTAGCACTGGAGGTGGGGGCAGAGAAGGTGTGAGCAGGACTCCAGACCCTGACCAGTGGTGGCTGAGGGATGGGGTGGGAGGCTGGGAACTGCTCCCCACCCTGCTACAGCTTTGCTCTGTGACCATGGGAAAGTCACTTCCCCTCTCTGGGCCTCTCAGTTTCCTCTTCAGTATCATTGGTCAGGGGGGAGGGGGCAGTCGGATGGGATGGCCTCTGTGGTTGCCTCCATGTCTGGTGTACCCCCATGCTACCATGAGAGGAGAGGATAAAAGTGCTTTGTGAGCAGATGTCCTGCTTCTGTGCTGAGCGCTTTGAACGGGGTCTAGGGGAGACAGGCTCTCGATCTTGACCTCCTTGACCCTCTGATGGCAGGTTTGGCTATTGCCTTAGCCCTCAGAGCACAGCGTGTATCCATTGCCCCCACCCTGTCCTCAGTTGAATCAGATCTTTGCAGTCTGTTCTCAAACTGGCAGCAGGCTTCCTTCTTTTGGGGATGCCAGTGGGACCAAGGGAATGAAGGTTTCTCCCTCCCCTTCCTGGCCTCGGGCTCTGTCCACAACTCGCCCTGTACGCCCTGTTTCTCTGGGCTTTGCCTCTCAACTTCTCTCCATCTCTTCTGTGTCAGTCTTTCCCTAACTGAAGTGATTCATGTGCTTCTGTCACAGTCTCAGGCATAAGACCACTGTGCGCAACTATTTACATAATAATTTTGTTAATTGGCTCAATTTTTTAAAAAAGCACCTTATTATGGAAAATGTGAAGTGGATACAGAAATAGAGAGAAGGTTATAATGAAAATAAAGCCCCTAGATACCCATCAATCAGCTTCAACAATTACCAACTCATGAACTGGCTTGCTTTTCGACAGCTTTTTAAATAAATGTTTTTTAAATGGAAATTTCACAAATGGAAAACCAGAATCACTTGCCATGGAAATAAATATGATGATTATTAAAATTTACCCAGAGTCTCTTGTGTGCCGAAGGGTCTAAACCTCAGAGGCCTGTTAAAAAAGAGGCTTATTAAAAAGAGGCTTATTAAAAAAGGAGATTAGGGCTGGGCGCGGTGGCTCATGCCTGTATTCCCAACAGTTTGGGAGACAAAGCGGGCAGATCACCTGAGGTCAGGAGCTTGAGACCAGCCTGGCCAACACGGTGAAACTTCGACTCTACTAAAAATACAAAAATTAGCCGGGCATGGTGGTGAGTGCCTGTAATCCCAGCTACTTGGGAGGCTGAGGCATTGTGGAGAATTGCTTGTGCCCAGGAGGTAGAGGTTGCAGTGAGCCGAGATTGCACCACTGCACTCCAGCCTGGGCAACAGAGAAAGACTCCAGCTCAAAAAAAAAAAAAAAAGGAGATTAGGCCAGATGCAGTGGCTCAAGCCTGTAGTTCTAACACTTTGGGAGGCCAAGGTGGGTAGATCGCTTGAGCCCGGGAGTTCAAGACCAGCCTGGGCAACATAGTGAGACCCTGTCTCTACAGAAAATACAAAAATTAGCTGGGTGTGCATGCCTGTAGTCTCAGCTACTTGAGACAGAGGCAGGAGGATCGCTTGAGTCTGGGAAGTTGAGGCTGCAGTGAGTCCTGATGGTGCCACTGCACTCCAGCTTGGGTGACAGAGCAAGACCCTGTCTCAAAAAAAAAATTAAAATAAAAGTGGAGATTAGCTAGTATTGGAGAGATGGTAAAGACATTCAAGCACCAATCAGAGACTTTAAGATAACCAGAAACAATGAAAAAAGCACTGAAAAGGGAATAGTGTGCTCACCATGGCATTCAACATTATTTTTTTAAAACTTTTTTTTTTTGAGACGGAGTCTCGCACTGTCACCCGGGCTGGAGTGCAATGGCATGATCTCGGCTCATTGCAACCTCCACCTCCTGGGTTCAAGCGATTTTTGAGGCGGAGTCTCGCTCTGTCGCCCAGGCTGGAGTGCGATGGCACCATCTTGGCTCACTGCACCTCCACCTCCCGGCTTCAGGTGATTCTCTTGCCTTAGCCTCCCAATTAGCTGGGATTACAGGTGTGTGCCACCATGCCTGGCTAATTTTTGTATTTTTAGTAGAGATGGGGTTTCACCATGTTGGCCAGGCTGGTCTCGAACTCCAGACCTCAAGTGATCCTCCCACCTTGGCTCCCAAAGTGCTGGGATTAAGGGGCGAGCCACCGCGCTCAGCCTATTTTTAAAAAAACTTTGTATTAAAATATGATACACATTAAAAACACACATAGATCTTCAATGTATGACTCTGTGAACTTTCAGAAACTTAGCACACCCATGTCACTAGCACCAGATCAAGAAGCAGAGCACGACCAGCCTTCCAGAGGCCCTTAATGCCCCTGCCAGGGATAGCTGCTACCCTGACTTCTCATACTCAGTGTCATTTCATGCTGCATCTCTGCAGCACTTTTTTTTTTTTAACCTCTCTCTCTCTCTTTTTTTTTTAAGAGACGGTGTCTTGCTCTGTTGCCCAGGCTAGTCTCAAACTCCTGGCCTCAAGCAATCCTCCTGCCTCAGCCTCCCAAAATGCTGCGATTACAGGCATGAACCACCACACTTGGCCTCTGTAGCTCTTAAACTTTCTAATACTTATATTCCATAATTTGGGACATGCCATTCACTGTCTATTATTTGGCCTTTCCTTGGCCTCTGTTTGTCTCTGTCCACATTCCAAATATCACCCCCCTGCCAACACACTGTGTCATTTTGCCCAAGTTGCTTTCTGTCTCTGGACTTCCTTTTACAAAATGGTGTTGGGCTATCAGGCTGAAGGATAAACTCACTGTCCACTTTAGGCCTGAGGGTGTGTGATCCATCAGGCCATGCCTTCTCCCACCACTGTGTGTGCTTCAGCCAACAGGCCTTTCAGCCAACAACTGCTGTTGTCTGGCTTTTTACCTAGGAATGGAGGAGGCCAGGGTGGCTCTATGCTGGTCTGTTCTGTGTGTATGGTGCAAGGTGTGTCCATATCATATTCAGAAAGACATGGAGAGGCTTGGCAGACCTCAGGAGCGGAGGCTGAAGCCTGGTATTTCCTGGGCCACATCTGGCTTGTCCACAGTGCAGGACAAATGCTGTGCTTTGCTTATTATGCCAGTATTTTTGTTCTAGATTTTGAAAAGAGTGGCCAGCAGGAGCTGAGTAGGAGCCAGATAAGATTTCCACTTAGGCAGGCGCTCTCTCCAGCCCACCTCCATCCACCCCTACTCCTGTCATTCATTTGTGCCCATTTCTGTAAGCATCTGACTTTGTAGCCCAGGTTCCAAGGTGGTGGTTTTTCTTAGTACCTGAAAACCTTTTCTTCCAACAAAGTCTTACTTCATTGGACAAATAAGGGATGTACCTGGCTAGGTGCAGTGGCTTATGCCTCTAATTCCAGCATTTTGGGAGGCCAAGGCAGGAGGATCGCTTGAGCCTAGGAGTTCAAGACCAGCCTGGGCAACATAGTGATACCCTGTCTCTACAGAAAAATTTAAAAATTAGCCAGGTGTGTGGTGGGCACCTGTAGTCTCAGCTGCTTGGAAAGCTGAGGTGGGAGGATTGCTTGAGCCTGGGAGGTAGAAGCTGCAGTAAGCTGTGATCATGCCACTGCACTTCAGCTTGGGCAACAGAGTGAGACCTTGTCTCAAAAACAAAAAGAAAAAAAAAGCAAGAGAGATGTACCTCTGTGTGATACAGATGAAGGGTGTGGGACCCAGAAGCCACTTATTTGACCTCCCAGGTGCCCAGTGGGAGTATTTTCCTTTTTTTTTTTCAGAAATGGGGTTTCACCATGTTGGCCAGGCTGGTTTCAAACTCCTGACCCCAAGTGATCCGCCTGCCTCGACCTCCCAAAGTGCTAGGGTTACAGGTATGAGCCACCGTGCCCAGCCACTCTTTTCCATTTTACAGACAGGAAAACTGACTCTCAGGAGGGGAAAAGTGCTCTGCAAAGGCGACTTCTGTAGGGAGTTTGGGTGCAGGTGTTGTGTTAGCCCTATCTGATTGATGAGGAAACTGAGGCCAGAGGAGTGGTTTGAAGCTCCCAGCGGTCAGTGCAGGACCACAGACTGCACCCTCATGTCCACACCCCAGTCTGCTCCTCCTGTGCCAGCCTGATTGCCATTGCCACACACGTGCCCTCTCTTTGGTTCACAGGTGGGCATTCTCTCTGGCCTCCACTTAACATTCTGGGGTCCCGGACCCTGCCTCTCTCCCCCCCAGATCAAGGCTGAAGACCCCAGTGGCGATTCAGCCCCAGCAGCACCCCTGCCCCCTCAGCCGGCCCAGCCTCATCTGCCCCAGGCCCAACTCATGTTGACGGGCAGCCAGCTAGCTGGGGTAAGTACTTGGGGAAGGATGGGGACGAGGGGACAAACCAGCCACCCCTCATCTGTTACAGGGCTAGTGGATGAACTGTTCCACCAAGGCCATGGCCACTCTCTCACACCTGCCTCTTGCCCTCTTCTGTCCTCTAGGAGGTCTTGTCCCCTTACTTGCTTGGCTTAGGCACTAACCCCTCTCTGCCTTCTCTGCTCCTCTTCAACCCCTTGCTCCAATTCCTGCTGTCCCCGACACCCCGCAGCTCACGGCACTGATGCCAGCTCAGCAGCAGCTCCTCCTGCAGCAAGCCCAGGCCCAGCTCCTGGCCGCCGCCGTGCAGCAGTCCAGTGCCGCCGCTGCCGCTAACGCCGCTGCCGCCGCCGCCGCCGCCTCCGCCTCCTCCTCTACTTCCTCCTCCTCCTCCTCCTCTGCCTCCTCCTCGACCTCACAGCCCCCAGCCTCCTCTGGGGGGGGTGACCTGCCACCACCACAGCCTGCCAGCCAGCCCCCTGGGACCCCACAGCTCACCTTGTCCCAACCCATCCAGCTCACAGCACAGGTAAGGGCAGCCACTGGGGACCAGGCTCCCTGCAGTGAAGGACATGCAGAAACAGTGAGTGTGTGGGAAGGGGCTGACTGGTCCACATGGACTGTTCTGACCACCAGCCACATGCCAGGCAGTTCCTAGCAACCCTAGGAAGCTTTGGAAGATGTTGCTGTCCCATCTTACAGAGGGGTAAAGTGAGGCTCACAGGGAGGAATATCCCACATCATAATCCTCCCTCTGGTGGTGTGTTGGGGGCAGTGCTTCCTGTGCATCTCGCTGGGAGTTCACAGCCTCCTGGGAGGTTGAGATTGTTGTCCTCAACATACAGGTAAGGAAACCAGGAGTCACTCTCGTGAATGGTACCATGTGGGTACAAAACAAAAGGTTAAGAATAAGAATGAGTGCCCTACCCTCATCGTGTCCCCTGGCTTATCCAACAAGATGCTCTTTCAAAAAAGGGGCCCGTGATCTATGAATTAGGAGGTTCTCCATCACCTCCCTGACTCTGGAGCTTTTGCTGGTCCATAGTTAATCATGAATTAGTGGCTGTCTCAGTTTCCTAGGGCTGCCGTAACATAATACCATAAACTGGGTGGCTTAAGGCAACAGAAACATATTGTCTCCAACCACAAGTCCAAACTCAAGGTATCGGCAGGGCCGTGCTCTCTCTGAAGCCTCCCAGGGAGAATCTGTCATTGCCTCTTCTGGCTTCCGATGGTGCTGTCAATCCTTGGTGTTCCATAGCTTAGTAGATGGCTCACTCCAATCTCTGCCTCCTCTGTCGTCACATGGCCATCTTCTCTCTGTGCACCTGTCTCTGTATTCAAATTTTTCTTTCTTGTAGGGACACTAGTCATTAGTTTAGGGCCCACCCCATTGACCTCATTTTAACTTGATTACATCTGCAACCCTATTTCCAAATAAGGTCACATTTACAGGTACCAGGAGTGAGGGCTTCCACATATCTTTTTGGGGACACAATTTAACCCCTAACAGTGGCCAACAGAGTTCCCATAAGGACAGCCGGGGGAGCAGAGTGGGAGCTGAGTAGGCTTCCTCTTCCGAAGGGCAGCTGTCTCCAGCCCACTCCTGTCCACCCCTTCCCATGTCACCCATTCATGTTGTCTGTCTGGTTTTCACCCATTCATGTTGTCTGTCTGGTTTTCATAAGCCTTAGAGCTGTGGCCAAGTTTCAGGGCAGTGAAGGTCGTGGGAAGCCCTACAGCAAAGCCACCTGTTTAACTTCCCTTAGCCTGGCGTTTCCCTCAGTGACTGCTCCACAAAAGGCTTTTCTCTCACTCCGTCCAACCACTTCCACAGAACCCTAGATATAGATGCTGTCCATGCAGGGAGCTGTCCAGCCCTGGTAAGGCTGTTCCCTTGTTACAGTTCACCCCAATAATGGCCCGTTCCATTATTGGCCAATGCTCCCATTTGGGACTTTCCTTAACACTGAGCTGATAACCTGCCTCCTTAGAACTTCCTTCCACTGGGCCTGGTTCTGTGGAGACACTCTGTAAACTGGGCGCATGGCTCCGTGATGGCTCTTGTAGATGTAGCCTTTTTTTTTTGAGATGAGGTCTTGCTTTGCTGCCCAGGCTGGAGTGCAGTGGCGGATTATGGCTCACTGCAGCCTCGACCTCTTTGGGCTCAAGTAATCCTCCCACCTCAGCCTCCTGAGTAGTTGGGACTACAAGTGCATGCCACCACACCCAGCTAATTTTTTTATATATACATATTTTTTGTAGAGACAGGTTTTTGCCATGTTGCCCAGGCTGGTCTTGAACTCCTGAGCTCAAGCGATCTGCCCACCTTGGCTTCTCAAAGTGCGGGATTATAGGCATGAGCCACGGTGCTCAGCCCAGATGTAGCCTTTCAATACCTGGCTCTTGAAGTAACAGTAACTAGTCTGTTGGGTGCCACCTTTCTTCCAGGCACCATGCCAGTGATGGCCTCTTTGCTCCCATGAATCCTCCCCACAGCTGAGGCTCCAAGGGGTAAAGTGACCTGCCCCAGATTATTCTGTAAGCATGAGTGTTAGAGCCGGCCTGGAAGTCCAGGGCTCTAACCACATGATCCGCGGCTGCTGCTTTTAGCTGTCCTTCACGGAACATGGTTTCTAGCCCCTCCCACCCCGGCCACCAGAGACTCCAGCAGCAGGTGTTCCATTTGCCTTGTAGCATAGACAGCCCTTTACTGAGCAACGCCAAGGGCTTGGGGCTCTTCACTGGGGCTGAGCTCTTTTGCATCTCAGTGGCCCTGCTCTTGTTCTCTCTTTTCCCGGGAAGTCTGCTCCCTTCCTTTACCTGGACAGTTCCTCTTCATCTGAGCCCCAGCCCAGGAGTCCACACCTCTAGGAAGTCATGATGACTTCCCTCCCCCCAGCCGTGCCTGAATCTGCTCGAGGAAATATCAGTTGAAGGAACAAAGACTAGAGGATAGAAGGCAGAACAGGGCAGCCTAGCGCAGACCCAGCCAGGCCACCATCTCTGTGAGCAGCAGACATTCTTGCCTATGCACTCCTAGAGCCACCTCCCCCAGCTCCCCAGGGACCCAGCAGCAGCAAGCTGAGCCTCCACCACCTGCCGTATAGCCCAGGCCCTGATTGTCAAGGGCTCCTTAAACCCCTCCTCCTTTCCTCTCACTCCTCCTTCCCCAGCTTCCCTCAGCTCTGATCTTTCCCTTTCTGTCTTCAACAAGTGCAAAGCTGGGCCAAGTTTGTTTTCTGGGAATTCTCTCTCACAAACTGAGTTGCCCTTTGACGTCATTTCTACAACAGCACCTCCTATGGGCACTGTGCTGGGCCCAGGCTGCAGAGGGACCAGCTCTTCCTGACTTACCTACCCACTGCTCCAGCCTTCCCCGGCTCCTAGGCTCGGATGTCTCTCCCGGGCCGCATCTCATGACCTCCACCCCCCAGTCCACTTCTCATGCCTGCTAAGCTCTGATCCTGCAGTCATTCCACAAACATTTCCTGGCCTCCTGTGTGTCAGGCCATGGCAGGAAGCTGAAGACTTAGGAGTGAGTCACAGCCATCCTTGCCCCTGAGGGGCTCCCCGTCCTGCAGTGGAGCAAGCACATCAGTGAGCCACTAAGAAATGTTTCACTTGAAAGATACTAAGAAGCCCAGGAAAGAGAGTAAAAAACACTCATAAATGCTATCCCTTTGAAATTATATAAAGTACCAAGGAAAAGCCCCCCTTCCAGCCCTCTGATGTCAGCTTCCAAAGTAAATGCTGGTTAAACAGTTTGGCAGGATCCTTCCCTGCAATCTCCTAGCTTGTACAGACGAAGGGGCAATTATAATACAGTTCTATAATTTGTCTGTCCATTGCTCAGTGTGCTGCCTTCTGCCGAGGGGGCTGTGTGGATATTTACCGAATCAATGAGGGATGTTTTGCGGCAGATTTTCAATCAAGGATAGGAGAGATATCTCTCCAGGGAAGTATTTCAGAATGTCTGGGGTAGGGGCAGGCATTGATTGAAAACTTACGTTAACAGTTAAAACATCATTTTATATTGGAGAGTAGGGGGGAAAATTTCCTATTTTCCTAATAGGACCATGGCAAATAAAGCTTGACAAAATCTTTTAGGCTGCTACGACCTAGCGAGTGAAAGTTTCCCAAAGAAACCAACTGAGTGTGATGGGAATGTGGGAAGAGAAATGTGATGTGTGTCTGAGGGAATCAGGACCCACATCTGTCCAGGCTTTCAGGAGGAGGTGGGATCTGAACTCAGGGGAATGGGAAGGAGTTTGCTGGGAAGGGGCTTCCAGGCTGTGGGAATGGCAAGTGCAAAGTGAGAAAACAGGGCAGGCTGTAGCCGCACAAATAGGGATGGATGAGCTGGGAGGGAGGAGCCAAAGCCCAAGTCCAGGTGGCTGAAGAAGACTCAGGAATATTTGGCTCAGATCACTGAAAAGGCCTGGTCTGGAATATCAGGCCCAGCTCCAGGGGTCTGTCTCCCTGTTTCATTGTAGGGCAGGTAAAATGGGTGTCAGCATTTCCAGACTTGTAGCTATCCTGCCCAGGGAGATAAAATACGTCCCCTGGGCCGGGCAGGGTGGCTCAGGCCTGTAATTCCAGCACTCTGGGAGGCCGAGGTGGGCGGATCGCTTGAGGTCAGGAGTTCAAGACCAGTCTGGCCAACATGGTAAAACCCCGTCTCTACTAAAAGTACAAAAATTAGCCGGCCGTGGTGGCATGCGCCTGTAATCCTAGCTACTCGGGTGGCTGAGGCAAGAGAATTGCTTGAACCCAGGAGGTGGAGGCTGCAGTGAGCCAAGATCGTGCCACTGCACTCCAGCCTGGGCAACAGAGTGAGACTCTGTCTCAATAAAATAAACAAACAAAAACACGTCCCCTGGCTAGATTTGAGCCCTTGCCCTCGACCCCAGAGAAGGCAAGGTCAGCCCTACCTGGACCTCGTGACTTGAGGATGGGAAAGTGTAACCCCTGAAAGAGATGGGTTCTGTTGCTTGAATAAGTTGAAGAAGGGGCAGTGGGTACCAGGCCAATCAAAACTGCCCACCTGGAGGTGTGTGGTCAGTTCATCCACAGGGCCTTGGAGTCCAGGAGCCTGGCCCAGGCATGCCAGTTGCTCCCACTGGTTCCTGGGTTGGGATCTGCTGTTGCCTGTCTGTCCTGGAATTTTAGCATAAGGTAGCATGTGATGTAATATGCAGTCCATATGTAGGTATTTTTTTCTCCCTGTTGAATCATTCTCCATTTGTGGTATTCTGCCCTGATCGCCACAACTTCCTGGGTTCCATGTCACAGGGCCAACCACTGGGGGTCCAGAGAAGAACCCACACTGGAGAACGGCCACTCCTCTGCCCCTACTCCCATCTTTAGAGCTTGCCCTAGTGGAGTGACTGTACTAATCGACTGCAGGGGATAGGAGAATGGACTGCAGGGGATAAGAGTAGAAAAGAGAGCCCAGTAGGAAGTCCTTGAAGGCATACAGATGGGACATGAGGGTGGCTTGAGCCAGGAGGGTGAGGATGGGGATCCTGGTTGCTATTTTGTATTGATTGGATAGGTCAAGGATGACTCCTAGGATTTTGGCTTCAGCAGCTGGGTGGTAATGACGTGGTTTCCTGAGTTGGGGAAGATGGGAGGAATGGGATGTTTTGGAAGGCTGGGGTAGAGAGCCAGCAGTTTCATTTTGGACATGTTAGGGTTTGATGAGTCTATTAATCATCCACATGGGAACATCAACTAAGCAGATGCATATTTGAGGCTGAAGCTCAGCAGAGTATCTGGGCAGGAGCTGGAAGTTGTTAGTTGTCAGGAAGAGAATGAATTTGGCCAGGCACAGTGGCTTATGCCTATAATCCCAACACTTTAGGAGGCCAAAGCAGGAGGACGGCTTGAGGCGAGTTCGAGACTAGCCTGGGCAACATAGAGAGACCCTGTATCTTAAAAAAAAAAAATTAACCAGGTGTGGTGATGCATGCCCATAGCCCCCAAGCTACTTGAGAGGCTGAGGCAGGAGGATCGCTTGAGCATGGGAGGTCAAGATGGCAGTGAGCTATGATTGCACCATGACACTCCAGCCCAGAAGATAGAGTAAGACCCTGTCTCCAAAGAAAGAGAGAAAGAAAGAAAAGGAAAGAAGGATAGATGGACAGATGGAAGGAAGGAAGGACTCAGCCAGATTGGGTTCCCACCCTCAAGAGCTCACATTCAAGTGTGGTGACATGAGGTGGGCAATGGTAGCAAATGCTCATTTTGAGGGATATGTTGTAATTTCCAAAATGCTTTCTAGATAATATTACTCAGGCCTCAGAACAACCCAGTGAAAAAGTAGACATTATTATCCCCATTTTACAGATAAGAAAACTGAGGCCCTGGGAGAGAAATGACTCAGTCATAATGACTGCCATTTATGAAGGACCAATTAAGTGAAGAGGAATCAGGCTAAACATTCTACACATATTGTCTCATTTAATTCCTTTAACAGCTCCATGAAGTAAGACTTATTGTGGTGTCACCTGAGGAAACTGAGGCTTAAAGAGGGTAAGGAACGGCCTGAGGTGTGTGAGGGGCAGTCAGGATTCTGGGCTCCAAGGCCCAGGTCTCTCCATAACAACTTGCATCGTGATCCTGTACAGTTAAGGAGGCTGGGGCCCAGAGGGAAAGTGGCTTCCCCCAGGCACACAGCAAGAAGCAGGTGAGAGGGCTAAGGCTCAAACCCCCGAGTTTCCAAGCTGGAAGGGACCCTTGCACCCCACTAGTCTAACCTTCCCCTAGGTTAGGCGTTTCCTTGTTGGTGTTGTTGCCAGGTGGGGATTTTCACCCAGGTGGCTTCCATGGCAGGCACCCACTCCCTTCCCAGGCAGTGCGTCCCACCACCAGACAGACTGAGATTACTCAGAGTGTCAGAAAGCCTGACCTCATTTTAATTTTAAGTTTTATTTTATTTATGTAGTTATTCATTTTTTTAGAGACGAGGTCTTGCTCTATCACCATCATAACTCACTGCAGTGAGGTGCAGTGGCGCCATCATAACTCACTGCAACCTCAACCTCCTGGCTGAAGCAATCCTCCCACCTCAGCCTCCCAAGTAGCTGAGACTACAGGCATGTACCATCATATCTGGATAAGTAAAAAAAAAAAAAAAAATTGTGGAGATGGGGTTTCACTATGTTGCCCAACTGGTCTTGAACTTCTGGCCTCAAGTGATCCTCCCACCTCAGCCTCCCAAAGTGCAGGGATTATAAGCGTGAGTCACTGCATCCAGCTGAGTTTTATTTTATTTTTAAGTAGCAAATAATCATTGTATATATTTATGGAGTAAAATATGATGTTTTGATACAGGTATACATTGTGGAATGATCAAATCAGGCTAATTAGCATACTTATCACCTCAAATATTTATCATTTCTTCGTGGTGAAAACATTTAAAGTACTCTTCTTGCCAGACACAGTGGCGCAGTGTAATCCCAGCTACTTGGGAGTCTGAAGCGGGAGGATGGCCTGAGCCCAGGAGTTCAAGGCTGCAGTGAGCTATAATCACGCACTGCACTCCAGCTTGGGTAACAGAGCAAGACCCTGTCTCTTAAAAAACAAAAACTAAAACTAAAACTCTGTCTTTGATATTTTGAAATATGCAGTACATTATTAGCAGTAGTCACCGTGCAATAGAACACCAGAATGTATTCCTGTTATCTCACTGAAACTGTGTCCGTTGTCCGCCTTCCCTTTCCCCATCCATCCTCCCTTCCTCATTTTGAACACAATCTATCACGATATAGTTTACATAGTTCCCAGACCCCACTCCTTCCTGTTCTCCCCTACTCTGGACTTAACTTGTCTTAGAGAGGGAAGATCCAGAGCTGGTCACAATTTGCCATATCAGGGATGGCAAAGGAATGTCAACTCATGCGCCAACACCATTCCAGTCATGGTGGCTGCCAGAGATTGTGTGGAGGCCTCTAATGGGGGCGCGAGAGGCCATGGGGGATGGGCCGTCTGGCCTGTGCACTGGAGTGAGGTGCAGCACCTGGGCCGTTGCAGCCGGCCGGCTCTGGGGCTCCTCCTCAGTGAACTCCTCAAGTTCACTGTCATGGCTTTCTCTTCTCCCCCAGGTGGAACTGAGCCCTGGTAGGAAAGTGGGCAATTCACCCATGTATCCTGCAATCCACATATCAACCTTTCTGCCCCCAGTCATAGCCAAAGTCCCAGCTATGGCAAAGTACTGCCAGTCTGTCCTGAGGTTTCACCTCATTCATTCATTGAAAATGTATTGATCACCTATGAGGCTCCTGCACTGGGAGGGTGATCAAAATACAGCAATGAGCAAGAATCGGTACCGTCCCTTCTCAGCTTTCACAGGCATGCTAGCTCTTGTGCTAGGTTTCCTTAAAGCTTAGGGACAGAGCAGCTGATCTACAAAATATGCCAGCCAGGGTCTTTTCTCTGGCCTGTCTCCACTTACTATACCTTCTCCACCCTCTGACTGGTGTGCTCTGACTCGGACGTAACACGCCCTCAAGTGGCTTCAGAGGGCCATGCTGCCGCTGGATTGTGGAGAAATGGCGCCTCCTACCGGCTTACCCTAGTCCTGAGCCAACTTACTGTTCCTGTTCACCCAGAATCTTGTCTTCTCTCCTTTCTTTCTTTTTTTTTCTTTGTTTTATTTTGAGACAGGGTCTCTCTGTGTCACCCAAGCTGGAGTGCAGTGGCGTGACCATGGCTCACTGCAGCCTTGACCTCCCAGGGTCAGGCCATCCTCCCACCTCAGTCTCCCGAGTAGCTGGGACTACAGGCACGTGCCACCATGCCTGGATTTTTTGTAGAGACCCCGTCATGTTGCCCAGGCTGGTCTGGAACTCCTGGGCTCAAGCAATCCACCTGTCTCAGCCTCCCAAAGTGCTGGAACTATAGGTGCGAGCCACCATGCCCCATCATCTTTCTCCCCTTCTTTCATTCCTTTAGTTGGCAAATATTTAGTGAATATCACCATGCCCAAGTGCCTTTCTGGGTGAGGATATAGCGGGGAATGAGGTAGATAAGTCTGTGCCCTCTTGGAGCTGACACCCGCTGTAGTTGGGGAGATAGGCAGGAAGCAGATAATTGCTATGAAGGAAAGAAAAGAGTGTAATAGAGAGTGTTGGAGGAAAAAGAAGACTTCATAAGAGTGTGTGGCCAGAGAAGGCCTCTCTAGGGAGGGGGCGTTTGATGGAGACTTAAATGATGAGGAGGGACCACCTCTGTGTAGATCTAGAAAGGGTATAGCAAAGGTATGAGGTGGGGACTTCTTTGTGGTTCAGTAACAGGAAGGAGATCAGTGGGGCTGGATCAGAGTTAGGGAGTTAGAGTTGTGTGAGGCAAGGAAGGAGAGGTAAGCGGGGGTGGTGGGCAGGCCATGCAGGACCATAGCCTGGATCTGGATTATACCACAAATGTGATGAAAATCAGTAGAGGCCTTATGGCTTAATTTATATTTTAAAACAGGGACTTGGACTCCATAGACCACCCCTAGAAGAGTCTGTGCATAGAATTCAGAGTCCATGAACTTGGATGGGAAAAAAATTACATCTCAATTTTTACTATCTTCTGACCAAACCATAGCATGTCCCTCTATCATGAATATAGACAACAGACAACAGTAGTATTAGCGGTACTGAGACTTTGTCACCAAGAGAATGTACGCAGATTTTCAAATTCTCTTATAGTTGTTGCAGATCTCTCAAAACACTGTTTTCACTCATGATTGCTTTGAAATTACAGTAGTCATCAGATCTATTGCTGGATCTTGTTACTTAGTGTGCTAATAAAGAAACCCATAAATGATTTTATGACCACTCAAAATATGTTTGATGCCTATATTTTTTTAAATTTTAATTAATTAATTTTTTTTGAGACGGAGTCTCACTCTGTTGCTCGAGCTGGAGTGCAGTGGTGTGATCTCAGCTCACTGCAACCTCTGCCTCCTGGGTTCAAGTGATTCTCCTTCCTCAGCCTCCCATGTAGCTGCAACTACAGGCGCCCGCCACCACACCTGGCTAATTTTTTTTCTGTATTTTTTTGGTAGAGATGGGGTTCCACCATGTTGGCCAGGCTGGTCTCAAACTCCTGAACTCAAGTGATTCGCCCGCCTTGGCCTTCCAAAATGCTGGGATTACAGGCATGAGCCACCGCACCCAGCCAAATTTTAATTAATTTATTTTATTTTATTTTGTTTTTTGGAGACGGGTGTCTCCCTTTGTTGCCTAGGCTGCAGTGCCATGGTGTGATCATAGCTTACTGCCACCTCAAACTCCTGGGTTCAAGGGATCCTCCCACCTCAGCATCCTGAGTAGCTGGGACCACAGGCATGCACCACCATGCCTGGCTAATTTTCCTTCTCCTCCTTCTCCTTCTCCTTCTCCTCCTGCTCCTCCTCCTCCTCCTTCTCCTCCTCCTCCTCTTCCTCCTCCTCCTCCTCTTCCTCCTTCTCCTCTTCCTCCTTCTTGTTTTTTTCTTTTTGTAGAGACAGGGTCTTGCCATCTTGCCCAGGCTGGTCTCAAACTCCTGGGCTCAAAAGATTCTCACATCTAGCCTCCCAAAGTGCTGGGATTATAGGCATGAGCCACTGTGCCCAGCCAGTTTTTATTTTAGATTCAGGGATACATGTGTAGGTATGTTACAAGGGTTATATTGCATGGATGCTGAGGTTTGGGGTATAATTGTTCCTGTCACCCAGTAGTGAACACAGTACCCAGTAGGAAGTTTTTCAGCCTTTGCCCTTCTCCCTCCCTTTGGAGTCCCTAGTGATGATGACTATAATTATGTGATTGATTTCATTTGAAATTCTATATATCTGGCTGGACATGGTGGCTCACACCTGTGACCCCAGCACTTTGAGAGGACGAGGTGGGTGGATCATCTGAGGTCGGGAGTTTGAGACCAGCCTAGCCAACATGGTGAAACCCCTTCTCTACTAAAAATACAAAAATTAGCTGGGCATGGGCATGGTGGGTGCACCTGTAGCCTCAGCTACTTGGAAGTCTGAGGCAGGATAATTGCTTGAACCCGGGAGGCAGAGGTTGCAGTGAGCCAAGCAAGACTGAGCCACTGTACTCCAGCCAGGGTGACAGAGGGAGACTCCATCTCATCTCAAAAAAGAAAGAAAGAGAGAGAGAGAAGGGAAAGAAAGAAAAGAAAGAAAAAGAAAGAAAGAAGAAAGAAAGAAAGAAAGAAAGAAAGAAAGAAAGAAAGAAAGAAAGAAAGAAAAAAGAAAGATCCTATATATCATATGTTATGTGTTTTTAATTCTGAGAAGAGGGCAATAGGTTTTTTTTTTTTTCAGATGCTGAAGAATTCAGGGCACAAAAACATTTAGACCTCTATTGTTTTAGACCCCTCTCTGCCTGCCTGGGGGCGAATGGATGGTCTGGGGTAGAAGGATGGTGGTTTGGACCAGGACAGTCACTGTGGACAGGAAGAGATGTAGAGGGAACTGGGAAGACTTGCATTGCAGATGGATTGGATGGATGGGGAGAGGAAGGGAAGGTGGGATTAAGGCTGACCCCTAAGTCTCTGGTCTGAGAAACTAGACAGGGATGTGATTAAATGTTTCCCATCTGAACTTCTCACCATGAGACCTTCTGCAAACTGGGATGCACTTTCCCCATTCTTTCCTCTCGCTGGTGATTCAGAACGAAACCCACAGACACCTCTCTAGGCTTCTGGAGGAAAGGGGAATTTTCATTGAGAGTCATGCTAGGGAGGAACAGGAGTTAACAAATACTTTAATCAACAAGCTAAGGGTTATAGGAAATCAGAAAAATGCTGGTAATAAGACTTGATTTCTAGTCTTATTCATTAGATTCAATTCAGTGGGCATTTAATGGGGGCTTACCAGGTTCCGATATGAGTTAGGGATATACGAAGAATAAGATATGCCTCTGGTCTGCTAGAGTCAGTCTGGCAGAGGAAAAGTACACATAAGCAAATGCATTGACTTGGGAGACGTGTAGCACAGGGCAGGTGGGTCTCGTTTTGTGGGGCCAAAAGATTATGCAACTTGGAGTCCCTTTGAAAGAAAAAGACAATGTTTGAAACAAAAATTAGGTATGGGGCCTTGAAAGGGTTCACTGTAAATGGGGGGCCCTGAAGCATAAGTGTTGCCCGCTTCACAGTTGATCCACATCTGGAGGGAGGTGACCATGGAGGTGTTACTGGGCTGGGGGTAGCTGGGAAAGGGAAGGCAGGGTGGACATTGTTTCACAGGATAGAGTGCTAGGACTTCAGAACCCTTAAGCTGGATTCTGAGATGATTAGCAGCAAGAGTTAGAGAGGTCAGGAGCACAGGAGTACCCAGTCCACTGCCATACACGGAATAAGCAGAGGCACCCCCAGGGGGTCAGGGAATAGTGTTCAGCTGTCGAAAAGCAGGGATGTTGATCAGCAGTGACTGTTTGGGTGGGTGGGGGTGAGACACTGGGATATTTATTTACTCAGACCAGGTACATGTTTCAAATCCCAGAGGTATGAATGGATTTACAGCGTGGCCTTCTGGTATGGTTTTCCAGACATCAACTATGCATACCCAAGCAAATATCCAGATATACTCTTTTTTTGTGTGTGACACAAACAGTACCACCTCATACCCTCTGTTCTGCCTCTTGAGCTTTCCACTCAACAGGACATCCTGCAGATTGTTCCATGTCAGGACACAAAGAGACTCCTCATTCTTGCTGGTGACTGCATAGTATTCCACTGTAGAGCTCTGCCCTCATTCATCCAACCCATCCTGTCTTGCTGCATGCTCAGCTACCTTCTACTCTTTTGCCAGAATGCCACTTGCTGCTGGGAATAGCCTTCTAGAGAGGTCATTTTGCACCTCTCTAGAAGGCCATTCCCAGCCTTCTAGAGTGAGAATAGATAAATTTTTAGCAGTAGAATGGCTGAGTTGAAGGCTGTGTGCAGTTGTAATTTTGATAGACATTGCCAAATCACCCTCTCACCAGCATGTACAAGAATGTGTGTTTCCCCACACTCCCCAATGTGGTATTACACACTATTTTTATATTTGGTGATCTGAGAGGTAAAAATGATATCTCAGTGCAATTGCAGTCGTGTTTATCTTATTGCGAGTGAATCTGAGTGTATTTCCATCCAGAGCTGTTCACATTAATTTCACTGGGCACTCTCCAGACCTGTCTGTCAGCCACATTACTACTGGGTTGTCAGTTTTTTACTTATGGATTTGTAATCACTACTTTTTTCTTCTTCTTTAATTATATAGAGTTATTTGCAAAATCTCTCTTTGTATATTAAAGAAATGAGCCCCTTCTGGCCTGGGCAGGGTGGCTCATGCCTGTAATCCCAGCTCTTTGGGAGGCCGAGGCAGGCGGATCACGAGGTCAGGAGATCGAGACCATCCTGGCTAACACGGTGAAACCTCGTCTCTAATAAAAATACAAAAAAATTAGCCAGGCGTGGTGGCGGGCGCCTGTAGTCCCAGCTACTTGGGAGGCTGAGGCAGGAGAATGGCGTGAACCTGGGAGGCGGAGCTTGCAGTGAGCCGAGATGGTGCCACTGCACTCCAGCCTGGGCAACAGAGTGAGACTCCATCTCAAAAAAAAAAAAAAAAAAAAAAAGAAACGAGCCCCTTCTGTTGAATTGCTTATATATTTTCCCAGTTTGTTCACTTCCTGGCACATCAAATTGGTCTTTAGGAATAATAGCATTGGGAAGAATTGAGGGGCATGTGCCAACCCCCACAATTTCCCAGAAGGAAAAAATTGTAAGTAACATGTTATAGCTTTCAACTTTACATAAAATTTGCCAAGTAAATGATGAAGCATCAGTCTTGGTTCATTAACATATCTATGTGGAACACCTACTGGGTGCCAGGTGCTGTTCTAGGCACTGAGGATACAGCAGTGACTGAAACAGTCAAGATCATGCTCTCATGGAGCTGACGTTCCAGTGAGAGGGGCATGTCATGAATGAGTAAACAGGAGGAGCGATGCCTGGAGATGGTGTTAAGCCTTGTGAGGGAGATGAAATGGGGTGATAAGGGGAGGCCAGGCCAGGGGCTGGTATAGACTGGGTGGTCAAAGAGGGCATCTCTGAGAGGGTGACTTTGTGTTAGGATCCAGGCATTAGTGTCAGAAGTAGAACTGCCCAGGAGAGGGAACGGCATGTATAAAGGCCCTGAGGCAGGAACAAGCTTGGTGCATTTGAAAAAAAAAAACAGAAAAGGGCTAAATGGCTGGAGCACAGCCAAGGAGGGATAGGGCAGTGGGAGATGAGCAGGGAGATGAACACAGGCCTCAGTATAAAGGGACTTGTAGGCAGGTGAGGGGTTTTGTTTGCATTGTTGAGGGCTATGAGAAGCCATTGGATTGTGTGTGTAAAGCGGTTTTGCTTTTTCTTTCAGAAATGTTTAAACGTAAAAGTAGAGAGAATTATGTCATGAACCCCACATACTCTTCACCAAGCTCAATAGATATCAACATTTTGCCCTTCCTATTGGCAAATAGGATTTCATCTAAACCCCTCACTTTTTTTGGTGGGTGGAGGATTGGATTTTTTTTCCCCTCCCTCTTTCCCTACCTCATCCCCCCTTTTTTCCCTTTATTTTACTTTATTTTTTACTCACCACTATACAAACAAGATTTTTTTTTTTTTGAGATGGGGGTCTCACTATGTTGCCCAGGCTGGTCTTGAACTCCTGGCCTCAAGCAGTCCTCCTGCCTCAACCACCCAAGGTGCTGGGATTACAGGCACATACCACTGTGCCTGGCCCTGTCTTAAAAAATACTTTTATTAAAATATAATGCATATATAAAGGTGCACAAATCATAGGTATACAGCTGTGAGCACACCCATGGAACTGGTACCCAGATCTAGAAATAATGTGGCCAGCTCCCAGAAGCCCCCTGGTGTCCCTTTTCAGTCTTTACTCCCCAAACTTCAACCATTAGAATCGTACAGGATGTTCTCTGTCATGACTAGCTCTCTCACTGATTATGTTTGGGAAGTCTACGTTGTGGCATGTAACCATGACTTGTGGACTGCTCATTCTCATTGCTGTAGCTTCCACTGAAACAGTTTCTTTACCCATTCTACTGTTGTGCGCGCTTGGGCTATCTTCAAGTCCTGCCTATTTCAAATGGTCCACGTGAACATTGTAGTACATGTCTTGTGGTAAACACATACACATGTATGGTGGGTTACATGCAGGAGTGGAGTTGCTGGGTCCTAAGGGTGGTGTATGTTCAGCTTTCTTTTTTTTTTTTTTTTGAGATGGAGTCTCATACTGTTGCCCGAGCTGGAGTGCAGTGGCGCAATCTGAACTCACTGCAACCTCCGCCTCCCGGCTTCAAGCGATTCTCCTGCCTCAGCCTCCCAAGCAGCTGGGATTACAGGCACCCACCACCATGCCCAGCTAATTTTTTGTGTTTTTAGTAGAGACGGGGTTCCACTATGTTGGCCAGGCTGGTCTCAAACTCCTGACCTCGTGATCCTCCCGCCTCAGCCTCCCAAAGTGCTGGGATTACAGGCATGAGCCACCAAGCCCAGCCAGTTTTCTTAGATAGCGCCTATATTAGTTTGCTAGGGCTGCCAAAACAAAGAACCACAAACTGGGTGACTTGAGGTAAATATATTGCCTCACAGTTCTGAGGCTGGAAGTCAGAAATCAAGCTGTCAGCAGGGTTGTGAGGGAAGGATCTGTCCCTTCTGAGGGCTGTGATGGAGAGATCTGTTCCAGGCCTCTCTCCTTGGCTTGCACGTGGCTGTCTTTTCCCTGTGTCTCTTCACATCATCTTCCCGTTATCCATGTCTATGTCCAAATTTGCCCTTTTTATAAGGACACAAGTCATATAGGATTAGAGCCCACCCTAATGACCTCATTTTAACTTGATCATCTGCCAAAGACCCTATCTCCAAATAGGGTTAATCTCTGAGGTTCTGGGGGTTAGGATTCCAACTTACCTTTTTGGGGGGTGGCAGGGAGTGGGGGGAGACACTGCAACCTATAACAGTGCTAAAGAGCTTCCCGGAGTGGTTGTACTAATTTACACTATTTGCTGGAGTATTTTAAAGCTAATTCCAGACATGAAATCATTTGCCTTGGGAGTGTTTTTTGTTTGTTTGTTTTGTTGTGTTTTTTGAGACAGAGTCTTGCTCTGTCACCCAGGCTGCAGTGCAGAGACACAGTGGCATGATCTCAGCTCATTGCAATCTCCGCCTCCGGGTTCAAGCGATTCTCCTGCCTCAGCCTCCTGAGTAGCTGGGACTACAAGTGTGTGCCACCATGCCTGGCTAATTGTTTGTATTTTTAGTAGAGACAGGGTTTCACTGTGTTAGCCAGGATGGTCTCGATCTCCTGACCTCGTGATCCGCCTGGCTCGGCCTCCCAAATTGCTGGGATTACAGGTGTGAGCCACCGTGCCCAGCCAGGAGTGTTTTTAAAGGAGGAAAGACCTGGTCTGGTTTACAATTTTATTATTTATTTATTTATTTTTGAGACAGAGTCTTGCTCTGTCACCCAGGTTGGAGTGAAGGGGCGTGATCTCGGCTCACTGCAACCTATGCCTCCTAGGTTCAAGCAATTCTCCTGCATCAGCCTCCGGAGTAGCTGGGACTACAGGCGTGTACCACCACACCTGGCTAATTTTGTATTTTTAGTAGAGACGAGATTTTGCCATGTTGGCCAGGCTGGTGTTAAACGCCTGGCCTCAGGTGTGTCCGCCTGCCTCAGCCTCCCAAATTGCTGGGATTACAGGCATGAGTCACCACACCCGGCCTGGCTTACATTTTTAAATGATTCTATTTGTTCTGCGGAAATGTTAAAACAAGGAAAATATTTCATCAAGAAAGAAAGGGTAGCCGGGTTCGGTGACTCACGCCTGTAATCCCAGCACTTTGGGAGGCCAAGGCGGACAGATCACAAGGTCAGGAGATTGAGACCATCCTGGCTATCATGGTGAAACTGTCTCTACTAAAAATACAAAAAATTAGCTGGGAGTGGTGGCGGGCACCTGTAGTCCCAGCTACTTGGGAGGCTGAGGTAGGAGAATGGCGTGAACCCAGGAGGCGGAGATTTCAGTGAGCCGAGATCACACCACTGCACTCCAGCCTGGGCGACAGAGCGAGACTCAAAAAAAAAAAAAAAAAAAAAAAAAAAAAAGAAAGAAAGGGTAAATAAAGAGTGAGCCCTCCCAGGACTGCCCAGTTGGGACTCTCTGGTACCCCATGGTAGAGAGAAGCCTCTGGGTGCCCTTAGCTCAGGGATGCCATTCAGAGACCGAGTGGACGATCCCTCACTGCCCAGTGCCAGATCGCCATGTGGAGCAGCTTCCTGGTTTCAGCCCCTCAAGGTTCAGGTGATGCAGAGAGGATGAAACCCAGCCAGGACTCAGGCTATCTTTCTGTCCACCCCACTCCCTGCCAGGACATACAGCAGCTCCTCCAGCTCCAGCAGCTGGTGCTTGTGCCAGGCCACCACCTCCAGCCACCTGCTCAGTTCCTGCTACCGCAGGCCCAGCAGAGCCAGCCAGGTAAGGCCCCCACCCCAGATGGCCTCCCTGACGCCTCCACAGAACTTCCTCACCTTCCCCTCCCCCTCACCCTGTGTATTTCCCCTTGTCTTTCCAGGCCTGCTACCGACACCAAATCTATTCCAGCTACCTCAGCAAACCCAGGGAGCTCTTCTGACCTCCCAGCCCCGGGCCGGGCTTCCCACACAGGTGAGACTGTCCATTGAGTGCACCAGGCCAGGCCAGCAGCAAGGCCTGCTGAAAGCTGGGTAAACGGGGGTGGGGGATGAGTGAGAGTCTCCTTTCCATTTGACCCAGCCACACTCTGCCAGTGATTTGCTGTGAGACCTCAGGCAAGCCCATCTCCCTGTCTGGGTCAGCCTCTTCCTCTATAGAATGAGGGGAGCTGGCCCAGACAAGTGGTTCTTAACCCTTTCTAGTACATGAGCTCCTTTGAGAATATGATGAAAGATTTAGATCTGATCCCCATTCCCCCAAAATGCTCATGTGTAAAAACACACAAAATTGCAAGGGGCTGCAAGCCTTTAGGCTGCAAATGCCTCGGGCCTCTTCCAGCACTGCAACGGAGGATTCTCTGAACAAGGCATTCGTTAGGTGATTATTTCACATCCACTTCCCAGACTGGAGACTGAAAACAAGGCCCACAGGTGTCTTTTATTTGGTCATTGTCAACTAAATTCCCAGAAAGCACCACATTTCCAGCTCCTCTTGATAAACCAGAAAATCTGGCAGGGCTGTACCTGTGTCTACGTGGTGGCTTGGCGCAGTGAGCAGTTGGCCTGGCCACTGGCAGGAGCAGAGGCCCCTTAGAGAGGGTGCCAGCTCTCCAGGCCACCTTGGCACCTGGACCCCGAGGCCTTTCTTTCAGTTTGCTGCCTGAGTTCTAGACTTTAATGATAATTTTCACTACCTTTTATGAATTTCAAAGTTTTTTTCTACCCATTTTTTATAGCCCTTTAAAAAAATATATGTGAACTATTTCAGAAGGACTGACTGAAGAGTTAGAGACTAATACAGGTCTTAACTGCAGTTCTGAAATCCCAAATGCTCAGAAAGTCAAGTTGTTCTTCCACCATTGGCATGAGAACTCATTTGACTGCAAAACCTGCCCTGCCATGATATAAGCCAGTGTATGACTTTTCTTTGTCCCTCTTGGTATGGCATTTTTGCTGCTGCAAAACTGTTACTGTATCTGATTAAGGAGTAATATTCTTGACCCTAGTGGGGGTGGGGGCCGGGCCACATTATCTATGATATACATCCTATGTAGGCTTTCTTTCTTTTTGTTTTTTTTTTTTTTTTTGAGATGGAGTCTCGCTCTGTTGCCCAGGCTGGAGTGCATTGGCTCAATATCAGTTCACTGCACCCTCTGCCTCCCAGGTTCAAGCGATTCTCCTACCTCAGCCTCCCAAGTAGCTGGGATTACAAGCATGCGCCACCACACCCAGCTAATTTTTGTATTTTTAATAGAGATGGGGTTTCACCATGTTGGCCAGGCTGGTCTCGAACTCCTGACTTCAGGTGATCCACCTGCCTCGGCCTCCTAAAGTGCTCGGATTACAGGCATGAGCCACTGTGCCTGGCTGCCTATGTAGGTTTTCTGAAAACTGAAACAGGCACGGTGGTGCATGCCTATAGTCTCAGCTACTTGTGAGCCTGAGGCAAGAGGATCACTTGAGCCCAGGAGTTTGAGGCCAGCCTGGGCAACATAGCAAGACTGGTCTCTAAAACAACAACAACAACAAAACCTGAGAGGGGTGAGAGTGGGTGGATGATGAGAAATTACTTAATGGGTACAATGTACACTGTTTGGGTGATGGATACACTAAAAGCCTACGCTTCATCACTACACAATACATTTGTGTAACAAAATTGCACTTGTATCTTTTAACATTTTGTTTTTTGTTTGAGACAGGGTCTTACTCTGTCACCCAGGCTGGAGTGCAGTGGTGTGATCACAGCTTACTGCAGCCTCAGCCTCCTGGGCTCAAGTGAAGCAGTCCCCAGCCCTCCTGAGTTGCTGGTACTACAGTCACGCCCCACATGCTTGGTTAATTTTTAAAATTTTTGTAGAGATAGGGTTTCGCCATGTTGCCCAGGCTAGTCTCAAATTCCTGTGCTCAAGCGATCCTCCCACTTTGGCTTCCTAAAGTATTGGGATTACAGGTGTGAGCCATTGCACTCGGCTGTCCTTAAATTTATACCAAAAAAAAAAAAAAAGGCAGGGCGCAGTGGTCACCCCTGTAATCCCAGCACTTTGGGAGGCCAAAGCGGGTGGATCACCTGAGGTCGGGAGTTCGAGACCAGCCTGACCAACATGAAGAAACCCCATCTCTACTAAAAATACAAAATTAGCCGGGTGTGGTGGCGTATGCCTATAATCCCAGCTACTCGGGAGGCTGAGGCAGGAGTATCACTTGAACCCAGGAGGCAGAGGTTATGGTGAGCCAAGATCGCACCATTGCATTCCAGCCTAGGCAACAAGGGTGAAACTCCATCTCAAAAAAAAAAAAAAAAAAAAAACTGAAAAATTCCTAAACATCTGCCCCAGCATTTTGGAGAATAATGGATAAAGGACCTGAGCGACAAACATCCCTGTACCCACCACCTGCTTCATATCCTTTATTGTTAGGGCAATGAAGAATCCCAGATAGAGCTGTTGCTTTTTTGTAAATCTCTCTAATTGCCCTCCCAGTCCTTTTTTTTTTTTCTTAACTTTTACTTTATTTGCAATCTACTCATTGCTTAGGACTTAATTTCTTAAGAGCTGTTTTAGATTCACAGCAAAACTGAGTGGAAGATATAGAGATATCCCATCTATCTCTGCCCCTACACATGCACAGCTTCCTGCATCATCTACATCCCCAACCAGAGTGGTACAAGCGTAACAGGTGATGAACCTACATTGACACATCACTATTACCCAAAGTTCATAGCTGACATTAGGGTTCACTCTTGGCATTGTACAGTCCATGGGTCTGCACGACCTACTCATTTTTAACCCGATTCTCTCAACAGCCCCACTGGGTAGACAGAACAGCAGTGATTGTTCCCATCCTGCAGAGGGGGAAAGTGAGGCCTGGGCTAAGCAGTGATTTGGTGGCAGGGCCAGTCCCTGATTCCCAGGTTGAGATGAGGATGAACCACTGCCTCCAGCTCCAGGGAAAGAGCCCTGGCACAAAAAGCTGGCTGCTCCTTCTGGGAGTTCGCAGGCGTGAAGGGACAGTGCAGAGAGTCCCAGGCAATGAGGAAACCCATGTAGGGCAGCAGAGTCGGACCTTTAAAGGGATTAACAGTGCATGTGGAGGGACCTTTAAAGGGATTGACGGTGCTTGTGGAGGAAGGCGGGGGGAGTCTGCAGGCGGCGGATGGAACGCAGGGGCGAAGAGGGCGGGAGGGGGACTGTGCACCCATCGCTGAGCCCCATCCTGGTCCTCCGCCCTGCATCCCACCCACCTGCCCACCCCACCAGGCCGTGACCCGCCCTACGCTGCCCGACCCGCACCTCTCGCACCCGCAGCCCCCCAAATGCTTGGAGCCACCATCCCACCCCGAGGAGCCCAGTGATCTGGAGGAGCTGGAGCAATTCGCCCGCACCTTCAAGCAACGCCGCATCAAGCTGGGCTTCACGCAGGTCTGGAGGCACCTTGCAGGCTGGGCGGTGGGCGTGGGGGCGTGGCCAGTTGATAGATGCCGCGAGGGGCGTGGCCAGTGGGCGGGCGGAGCGGGCCCAGTGCCGGAAGGCCCCACCCTGACTTCGGGCCCTTCCCCGCCCCACTGGCCCAGGGTGATGTGGGCCTGGCCATGGGCAAGCTCTACGGCAACGACTTCAGCCAGACGACCATTTCCCGCTTCGAGGCCCTCAACCTGAGCTTCAAGAACATGTGCAAACTCAAGCCCCTCCTGGAGAAGTGGCTCAACGATGCAGGTGGGACCAGGCTGGGGTTCCCGCGTAGGGGGCGGGCAGTGGCCGCTGGCCGCGGGAGGCCCCTTCTCATGCTCACGTCTCCCCCGGCGCACAGAGACTATGTCTGTGGACTCAAGCCTGCCCAGCCCCAACCAGCTGAGCAGCCCCAGCCTGGGTTTCGACGGCCTGCCCGGCCGGAGACGCAAGAAGAGGACCAGCATCGAGACAAACGTCCGCTTCGCCTTAGAGAAGAGTTTTCTAGCGGTGAGGCCCCCCTCTCCTGGGTGGCCCTCACCTGAGGGGTGGCGGGCGGTGGGCCTCGGGCTAACGAGCCCTCTGCCTGCAGAACCAGAAGCCTACCTCAGAGGAGATCCTGCTGATCGCCGAGCAGCTGCACATGGAGAAGGAAGTGATCCGCGTCTGGTTCTGCAACCGGCGCCAGAAGGAGAAACGCATCAACCCCTGCAGTGCGGCCCCCATGCTGCCCAGCCCAGGGAAGCCGGCCAGCTACAGCCCCCATATGGTACCAAGAGCCCGCCTGGGGGGTGGGGAGACCACAGAGCTCCGCAGGCACCTGTGTGAAGCCCACCCTACCTGGTTGTCCACAGAGCCTAGAACAGAGACAAGAAGAGTCACTCTTGGAGACAGGCCATCACGTAGATGGGCACAGTTACACAGGGACGGTTTCCAGGGAACTGTGGTCTTACATGGGGGATACAAGCACCCCTAGATACACACCGACATAGCCAGACACAGAGTTATCACAGTGCCATAGCCACACAGGAAGGGATATATGTCCAGGGACGTGGTCCAGGTTAGAACACACAGGCTCACAACCACACAGAGGCAGGGAGAGGCACTTATTTGCCGTTCGGGGAAATTGTCACACCCATGGGTGTACTCTCAGGTCCACAGCTATACACAGGCCCACTTGATATCAGACACAGCTGGGACATCCTTTATCCCATCCTTTTATTTCCATTTCTGGGAAGAGCTGTGATGCTCCAGAGAGGAGCCCCTGCCCCCATCGGTGTGAAGGAGGCACTGTCTGAACTGAGTTCTAAAGGACAAGGGAGAGTTAGCCAGCCACAAGAAGGCAAAGAGCCTTCCTGGACCAGTGTGTACTAAGGCCTAGAAGCCAGGGTGTGCCCAGCCCAATTTGAGAAACTCCAGTGCAATTTAGTGTGGTTGGTGCTGCAGTTTATATGAATGAGGTTGGGGAAGGAGTGGGGGCATGTACCCCAAGTTTTACAGTGAAGAGCTGGAACTTGAACCATGGGCAGTGAGGAGGTAAGGAGTGGTTTTGAGCTGGGGAAGGAGAGAGTCACATTTAGTGAGGTTTCTGGGGCTGATGCAAAGGTGAGACTGGAGGTGGGGTGGCCAAGAAGGAAGCTGATGGTCCCAGAAAATCAAGTAATATGACATCTCAACACCCCGATGCAAAGATATGCATCCATTTAGCCTCGCACTTTAGATCTGCTCTTTCCCTGCCTGGGTCACTTTGAACAGTCTCTCCTGCATTGCTTGCCAACCCCACTGGTAAAAGGGTGGTGTTTGCTTGTCCAGGGAAAAGAGTTTTAGTTTTGCAGAACCAACAATATCAGGAGCATGTGGAGCAGCCACTCTTCCGGTGCAGTCACTTCAGACAGGACACAACCCTGCAAAGACTAGCCAGATGGGGCGGTGTCAGAAGAGAGGTGGGGAGTGTTCTCAATGGAGAATTAGCCCTTCCTGCTTGTGGCTCAGGATCAGCTAGGGCAAGTGTGAAGAAAGCATGTGGAATAATACAAATGCAGCATTGTGCCAAAGCCCCCTGCCCCCATCCTGGGACGGAGGAGTGGGGTCCTACAGGGAGCATCACGGGGGCTGCTGGCAGACAGTGGCTAACCACACCTCCTTTCTTCTCTCCTCAGGTCACACCCCAAGGGGGCGCGGGGACCTTACCGTTGTCCCAAGCTTCCAGCAGTCTGAGCACAACAGGTCAGGGAGGGCAGAAAATGGTGAGGGGGGACTGGGAGGATGTGGCACAGGCTGGAGCCTGAGGTTCCCAAGTGGCTCTGGGTGTCCATGGGCCTCAAGACTGGGCCTGGGGAGTGTGGGTGGGGGAATGGGAGAGACAGTGGGAAGAGGGTAGGACTCACCCCTCCTCTGCAGGAGCAACTCAGCTTTAATCTGCTTCACGATTTCATATGAGAAAAGCATGGGCCTGGTAAAAGGTGAGGCACTTGAGTTTTGTGCCTGGCCTCTGTCATTTTTAAGCTGTGTGAATTCAAGCACTTATTTTATCCTTCTAAGCCTCAGTTTTTATTAAATTATTATGAATGTGTAAAACATAAAAAGATATAAATACATGTATGTAAGAGTGTATGTGTATGTACATATACACACATACATGCATACATACATAGTCTTGTATCCAGAGTTCCCCTCCCTCTTCCTGGGACACGGTAGGTTTATATGTATGGTTATACACCATATATATAATAATAATATAAAATTCGCTGGGTGTGGTGGCTTATGCCTATAATCCCTGCTCTTTGGGAGGCCAAGGCATGTGGATCACCTGAGGTCAGGAGTTCGAGACCAGCCTGGCCAACATGGTAAGCCCTGTCTCTACTAAAAATACAAAAATTAGCTGGGCGTGGTGGCGTGTGTCTGTAATCCCAGCTACTCGGGAGGCTGAGGCAGGAGAATCACTTGAATCCGGGAGGAGGAGGTTGCAGTGAACTGAGATCACACCACTGCACTCTAGCCTGGTGACAGAGTGAGATTCCATCTCAAAAAAAAAAAAAAAAAAAATATATATATATATATATATATACACACACACATAATATATATATGCATAATATATATACACATAATATATATACACATAAAACAACACGTTGCCCCTCCCCAGGCTAGAAAATAGTAAGTGGAGATTTATAAAGTAGTAAGTGCTTGCCTGGCACTGTACTAAACTCTTTCTAAACTGCATTGACTGACTTAATTCTCAAACTCATTTTATGAGATAGGGTCTATTATTATCCCCATTTTCCAGACAAGGGATCTGAAGGTCAGAGAGGTTAAGGCACTCACCCAAGGGCACCACTGGGATGAGACAGAGCCAGGAGTTTCTACCCCAGCAGTCTGGCTGAGTCTGGGCCCTCAGCCCCTGCCAGGTTGCCCATCCCTCAGATGTGGCAGTGTGCCTGGCACCCTTCGCCCCTCCCCAGCCCCTAGAGGGAGCCATAGGGCTTTGTCTCCTGGGCACCCCCGTTTCTAGTCGGTAAAAAAGTGGTTCAGGGCAGGGAGTGTAGAGTGCCAGGGCTCAGCAGGAAGCACCTGCTCTGACTTCCATTGTTATGACAGGGGTCACCATGGCAGAGGCACAGGGAAATGACTCTGGGAAGAGAGGGCAGGGAGGTCTAAGGCTGTTCTGACTGAGGAGATGCTGCGTGAGCTGGGCGGGAGGACAAGTAGGAGCTGACCCCAGGTTCCTCAGTGGGGGACGAGTGGAAGCTGAAGACCCCATCTTTCTGTCTCTCTCTGGCAGTTACTACCTTATCCTCAGCTGTGGGGACGCTCCACCCCAGCCGGACAGCTGGAGGGGGTGGGGGCGGGGGCGGGGCTGCGCCCCCCCTCAATTCCATCCCCTCTGTCACTCCCCCACCCCCGGCCACCACCAACAGCACAAACCCCAGCCCTCAAGGCAGCCACTCGGCTATCGGCTTGTCAGGCCTGAACCCCAGCACGGGGTAAGTGGGTGCACGTGGGAAGCTGTGGGGAGAAGCAGGGTCGCTGCTGCTTCTAGGGTGGGGAGCGGCACCCCAGTTATGTTGGCAGGTCCCTGCCCCTGCTAATGCCTCTGCTTTGCCTCTTGCAGAAGCACAATGGTGGGGTTGAGCTCCGGGCTGAGTCCAGCCCTCATGAGCAACAACCCTTTGGCCACTATCCAAGGTGCGTGCTGCCTCATGTCACACCCATCGTCACCAGCCCTATCCTCTGGGGCCTCGAGCCCTGCCATTGCTGCTCCAGCCATGCCATCCTGCCCCTGCTCACTGCATTGCTTGCCTCTTCATACCCATCTCACCTTTGGGGAAGGTGTGAGGGGTGCTGATGGGGGTCAGTGGGACCGATGGGGAGATGGGGGGCACTCTGGGCAGGATGCTGGAAGGCAAAGGTCTCCCCTGGCCCGGCATGCCCTTAGCCCAGCCTCTCTCTCTCCCCGCCAGCCCTGGCCTCTGGTGGAACCCTGCCCCTTACCAGCCTTGATGGCAGCGGGAATCTGGTGCTGGGGGCAGCCGGTGCAGCCCCGGGGAGCCCTGGCCTGGTGACCTCGCCGCTCTTCTTGAATCATGCTGGGCTGCCCCTGCTCAGCACCCCGCCTGGTGTGGGCCTGGTCTCAGCAGCGGCTGCGGCTGTGGCAGCCTCCATCTCCAGCAAGTCTCCTGGCCTCTCCTCCTCATCCTCTTCATCCTCATCCTCCTCCTCCTCCACTTGCAGCGAGACGGCAGCACAGACCCCTGGAGGTCCAGGGGGGCCCGAGGCAGGGTCCAAACCTGAGTGAGGGCCAGCCATGCCTCCCCTCCCATTCCTCTGGTCCCTGCCTTGGTCCCTTGCCTGGGAAGAGGGCGAGGAGGCCAGTGGTGGGGACGCAGAGGGTCCTCAGAGCAGGAGTGACAAGGGAGGAAAGACCAAAAAAACAACCAACCAAAAAAAAAAAAAAAAAGGAAAGAAACTAACCAACAAAAGAGAAAACCAAAAATAATCACAACAGAAACCAGCTGCCCCAAAGGAACCAGAGGTGAAAAACAAACAAAAAAAAACCAAAAACAAACCAAAAAAAAAAAAAACCCACAAAATCAAACAAACCAAAAAACCAGTCGCGAGCCAGACCTCAGCGTGCTCACCCTCACTGCTACGACGCCAAATAAAAACCCCAGCCAGGGGCGGAGAAGCCTCCAGCAGGTCAGACCTCATGCCACCGAGCCCTGGCTGTGGGACCAACCCCCAACCCTGCCTCCCCCGTGGGGGCTACAGAAGGAAAAAGAGAAGATGCCAGCTTCCTAATCCCAGCCCCCAGCCCTGGGCCAGCGAAGACAGGGCACAGCCTGGGCAGATGGGCTGGGGCTTAGCACCACCCACCAAATGTTCTTTTCCAGAAGGTGAAAGAGAAAGGGCCTGAACAACCTTACACCAAATATTCAGTAGCTTCATCCAAAGGATGTACAGAATTTTTAGCATTGTGCTCAACAGAATGTGTCCCTACCATGTGTCCCCTTCTCCCCTGGCCCCCAGCTCTCCCCACCTGGGCAGGGGGTCTTGCTTTAACCTCCTCCCTCCCCCCAGCAGGGGAGAGTTCAAGGGAAGGCCTGCGGACAACTTTTCATCCCCTGTTCCTCCCTCTTTTCCCCTTTGAAGGGTGGGCTAGGCCATTTTGCCAAGTTCTAGCTCTCACAAGTCCCTCCTCAACCCTGTCACCCTCCTCTGCTCTGGAACTGACTCCCTCCCCAGCCTATGGGAAGGTGGAAATTTCAGGCAAGAGGGGATGAAGACATTCAGTTGAGGGCATTCAGTTGTCTTTTTCCATCCTGTCTGTTTCCCTGAAAAAAAAAAAAATTCATATTCCAGTGCCTATCCGTGGGATCCTTCACGTTCTTTGACATTAACCAGAAACCAAAAAGAGAACTCACCTCGCTTTTCCCACCCTGTGCCCCTCTGGTACTGGCGAATGCCTCTCCCTCCCCCCACATGCACGCACGCACACACCCCAGTGGTGGGGTTCCTCGAGATGGCATCCCCATCAGGGTCCATGTGGTGGGGACAGTGCCACAGCCTGTGGTCCCCATCTGAGAGGGCGCGGTGGTGGCCACCACTCCCACAAGACCTCCACAACTCTTGGCTGGACCCTGTGTTTGACCAGCCCCGGACACGTCTCCACTGACGACGGACAGAGGAGAGACACCACTGGGAGCCACCCTGCCCTCCTGCTATTGTGGAGGCCAACAAAGTTTTGAACCGAAAACCAAAAAAACAGAAACAAACAAACAATAAATTTAAACTAGAAAAAAAATTTATATATATATATAAACATATATATATATATATATATAAAAGGGAAAGAAGATGAGGACTCTTCAAGAATAAGATGGAACCGCGAGGCGGAGCCAAGCCCCTGCACCGGTGGTCCAGGCCCTTGTTCCCCAAGGCGGATGGAAGGACGGATGCTTCTTTCTCTTCACAAATACCTCATGGACGTTGTCTTTGGGAAAGCCGGAGGGGGCGGCTGGGGCAGGGCCTGTCCCTCGGCCAGGGCAGATGGAAGCGGGTGGGCGGGGCTGAGAGAGGGTATCAGGGACAGGGGTGAAGAGCCCCAAACTCCCCTCCCAAATCAACTGAAAAAGCTTTAAAAAAAGACAGGAAAAAAAGGAGTAAGAAAGCAAAAAGAACAGATGAAGGAAAACT